>NC_000012.12:105338915-105641946 GCF_000001405.40 Homo sapiens | reverse complement strand
ACAGTGATCTTTGGGGTTAGATTCTTGTCCATGACAACTCTCTAAGGATTCAAAACAGGAAGCCAGCAGGAGCTGGTCCACAAGGGAATCCTTGAGCCCCTATGCTAGCCCTGGCCTGCCTCCTTCTGGACTTCTGGTTGCGGAAGACGAGTAACTCCCTTACTTTAAGCCATCACTGGTCAACTTTTCTGTTGCTTGCAACCAAATACAACCTTGTCTGAGAGTGAAAAGACGGAGCTGAAACTTAAGCCCAAATCTGTCTGACTTGTCAAACATATTCGCATAAACGCTTCTCATACTCTATACTGTGGCTTATCTGAGGCAACAGATGTGCAAATGGAGAAGGAAAAAATAAGATATCCTAACATGCCAGAGAAGGCTCAAGCTAGCAGCTGATATTCTGCAGCCCCTGCTTCCAGGTTTCCAACCCGGATGACTACTCTGAGAGGCACCATCCATAGGCAGCCAGCTGCAACTTTAGCATAACTTTAAGCATTCTGGGAGCTAATTCCGCCACGTTTGGGGAATAGGATTAGAGTAAGACCCTGATTTGGTTTTTACAGTCTGCCAGGGGCTATTCCTTTCCTTTTACCACTTCCTGGGTCTTTAAACCTCCAGCTTGGCCTCAGGAAATTTTATGAAACCAGAACCTCCATAACTGAAGGCACAGCCTCCATCAACATTTGAATCAGATGGCCCTTCCACTCTGGGTGACAGAAAGGAAACCTCTTTGCCTTATGCCCTAGGAAATCAGCAACCCTCATCTAATGTGATCAGTGTTTGTATCTTGTGGCCTGGCACCAAACTAGAGAAAATGGATACAAACAAAAACATAAGGTGGGGAGTTTTGTACTAATCAGAACCTTGCTCCAGATCATCCCTAAGGCATTAGAATCAAAGAATATAACAGAGGAAAAGTGGGCTAGAGGGAGCTGGTCGGGGAGAGCAGCCAGCTAACAGCAAAGGAATGCACCATCAGCTTTGATCAGGTTTGACAGGGCATCCATCCTCTGTAGCTGGTCCCATTCTCCAGTGTTTACATTTGTCACATCTCTTTTCCTTCCAAACAAAGGATGCTTGACAGTCTGAATGGGTAATTTGCAAGGTACCAGAGCTCCTCAGCCATGCATACACATACATTTTCAGATGGGTTGAGGGCAAGTGGAGGGCACCAGCTACATTTTGAAGACAATGAGGCCAATACCCTTGAAATGTGCCCAGTGCAAAAATAACATCTTGCAAGCCCTTATCTTCATTGTGAAAACTAAATTAATGACTCTTTCACCCACTATGGAGGCCAGCATGTATCAGAGCCCAAGACTTCAAGAATGAGGCTCAAAACACATCTGTAGGAAAATTTAGTGATTTTGACTCTCTGCCCAGACTAATATACTTCTTAAAGTTTGCAAAATTTTATTTTCAGTTTCAGTTGTCTATTATGCAACTTACCTATTGCATGAAAAATGGGTTTTCATTTCTCCCCTCAGGTGTTTGGAGCACTCAGGGATCTGCCTCCATTTCTTGTGCTAGAGCTAAGAGGGGCTACATGTGAATGTGCATGCACATGCCTGCATGAGCGAACTTGACGAGCATGGGGTACAAGGCACCACTGAACTTTGCATTCTTGATTAGAGTTTTGGCTGCAATAGCTGAGCCTGATTCAGTTGATTTCAGTTTTACAAATACCTTCAAACTGTTGATCAGCTACATTTTTGCTTCTAAGCAGACCCACCATAGGAATACCAAACAAACTCCCTTAGTTTAGCCAATCAGCATATTTACTGGAAACTGAACAATTATTGTTCTGAGCAGACACAAGACATGACCAAGATAGGACCCAGGCCTGTAAGGTATGACAGTATAAGAGAGACACAATAAGGCAGGGAGTCTTCATTGGGCCTTCAGAGACTGTTAGAATAGGAACAAATGAGTATTGTGGCTTATGCACCCTGTTGTGGTTTGGCTGTGTCCCCACCCAAATTGCACCTTGAATTGTAGCTCTCATAATTCCCACATGTTATGGAAGGGACACAGTGGGAAATAATTGAATCATGGGGACTATTTCCCCCAGACTGTTCTTGTGGTAGTAAATAAGTCTCAGGAGATCTGATGGTTTTATAAGGGGCTTCCCCTTTTGCTTGGCTCTCATTCTCTCTTGCCTGCTGCCATGTAAAACACGTCTTTTGCCTTCAATCATGATTGTGAGGCCTCCTCAGCCACATGGAACTGTGAGTCCATTAAACTTCTTTTTCTTTACCCAGTCTCAGATATGTCTTTATCAGCAGTGTGAAAACAAACTAATAAAAACCCCTAAATTTGAATGAAGTTTTATGTTTAAATGCATGTGTGAATTTTTCCTGAGAATGACTCTTTATCTTGCACCAGATTCACGAAAGGATCTGGGAGACAGTAAAATGCTATGGGAGAGAGTACTGCCTAATGGGCTCTGGAGATAGCTGGCATGCTGGGCAAGAGACTGAATCTCAGTAACCTTGGTTTCCTCATTTGTGAAATAAGGACAACAATATGAACTTGCAATGATTGCATTTTAAAATGTTGACCAGGCATAGTGGCGCAAGCTTATAATCCCAGCAGTTTGGGAGGCCAGGGCAGATGGACTGTTTTAGCCCAGGAGTTGAAGAACAGCCTGGACAACATGGCAAAACTCTGTCTCTACAAAAAATAAAAATACAAAAAATTAGCCGGCTGTGGTGGCACATGCCTGTAGTCCTAGTTACTTGGGAGGCTGAAGTGAAAGGATTCTTTGAGCTTGGGAGGCAGAGATTGCAGTGAGCCAAGATCGCACCACTGTACTCCAGCCTGGGCAACAGACCCTGTCTCAAAAAAAAAAATAAATAATAAATAAATAAATAAATAAATAAGTGTGGTACTCAAAATACAGTAGGCCATCAGTACATGTGAACATGTGAGCTGTCATAAGAAAGGAGGCAGAGATAAAGAAGGAGAAAAGAAAGCATTGGTGCAGTACATTTTCTAGGAAATACCATACTTTGTGGGTCCCAAGTGCTCTGGGGCTGAGGAAATCAAAGAAGCCTGCTTGGATGAAGTGAGGTAGGATTTTGCCCTTAAAGAACAAAGAGGATATAGATTGGCAGAATGAGTGAGTGTTAGGGTTACAGCTAGAGTGGGGTAAAGGTTAGAAATAAGGATAGAAACAGGGTTAAGAATTTGGGTTAAGGGTACATTCAGGTTTAGTTTTAAGATTAGAGATTAACTTTAAGGAAGCAGTAATATTGTCACACAGAGAATTAGTACAGTCTAGCCAAATAGATGGTGGGAAGGAGAATTGACTAGGGCAGATTGCCCATGGTGCTTAAAAGTGAGTGACAAATTAGACAGCAAGCGTCTTGAATCAAAGCCAGCAGCTTCTCCAGAGTGTTGGGATACAGCAAGCTCCATCAGCCCACTGGCCTTTTTATGTAGGGTTGCACAAGACAATCCAGGTTAATGCCATGTGCTCATTAATACAAGGACCATGCTTTATTCATCTCAGTCTCCCCAGCTTCCAGTCCAGTGCACAAAACATAGTAGGTGCCCAATAAATACTTGCACCAAATCCAAGCTGAACAAGACTCCTAGAAACATGGAAGGCAAAAACTGTCATTCCACAGAAAGTGCTCCATTAATTCCCCTGCATTTATCACTCTACTCTCTTTCCTAAAACCCTATTTTCATTGCTTCTAACCAGGAGAGAGAAGAGAGAGTAAGGGGTGGCTTCTCTTTGAAATCTTCTGCTTCCCTTTCTAAAAACTGCTTTTGAGATGCAAGTTTATACAGTGAAACAAATAAAGAAATAATGATCTTTCAAATACAGGGTCTGCTACCTCTATGTCTGTGGCCTGGTTAAGTCTTAAAACCTCTCTCTGGTATGTTTTCATCATGTGTAAATGTTACTGTTATTGACTGCTCCATTGGGCTATTGTGAATTTAAATCATATAGCAACCAAGAGAGTTACCATTTCTAGTGCTTTTTATTTATTCCTAAAGATGCGTGTATCCTCTTTTTCTTTCTGTATATCATTTTCCTTCAGACTAACGAATTTCATTTAGCCCATCTTGTCATGCAGGTCTGATGGCAATAAATGTGCTTAGCTTATCTTTCTCTGAAAATGTCATTATTCTGTTTATATTATTTAAGGATAAATTTTGCTAGGTATAGAACTCTGCATTAACTTTTTTTTTCCTTTTCACACATTAAAAATGTTATTCCATTGTCTTCTGGCTCTCGTGGTTTTTGATAAGAAGTCAGCCGTCAAATGACTCCTAACTTCAATTGAAATATTTTCTCACATATGTAATGTGCCTTTTCTTTGACTGCTTTCAAGATTTTCTCTTTGTTTGTGATTTTCTATAATTTGGCCATCATGTATCTAGATGTGATTTTTTTTATTTATCCTCTTTGGGTTTGCTGAGCCTCTTGAATTCACAAATTTATGTCTTTCACCAAACTTGGGAAGCACACAGCCATTATTTCAAGTATTTGTTTCTGTCCCATTCCCCCTTTTCTCTTCTGGAATTATAATTATCCATATTTAAGATTTATTGATATTATCCCATGGATCTCTGAATTTTTATTTATTCATCCTTACTTGTTTTTTCTTCCCTGACTCAAAGTAGATGATTTTTATTGATCTATCTTTAAGTTACTGACTCTTTCCTTTATTATCTCCATTTTGTTCGTAAGCCCATCCAGCAAACACTTATTTCAGATAGTGAGTTTTTCAGTTATAAAATTTTCATTTTTTTTATGTTGACTGTCTGATGAGATTTCCTATTGTTTCATTTGTTTCCAGTGCATTTTTCCTTTACTTCATTGAGCATAATTATAAAAAAGCAGCCTTAATGTCCTTGTTTGATCATTCCAGTGTATGGATTATCTTGGGATTGGTATCTGTTTATTTCTTTTCCCCTTGAAATTGGGTCACATTTTCATGGCTTGTTGAATGTTGAGAAGTTGTTTGATTTTATCCTGGTTATTGCAAATTTTATGTTGTGAAGACTCTGAATTGTGTTGGATTCCTTAAAGAGTACTTATCTTTTTGTTTTAGCAGGAAGTTAAATTGGTTATATTCTGGCTGTGAACTCTATCATGTATTAGTTCAGACTGCTTTCATTCTGCCCTTTTCATACAAGGTTCATACAAGGTTTCTCCTAGTCACAGAGACAGGCTTCATTTCCCAGCCTTCGTTTCAGTTAATGTTGCCATATGACTGAGTTCTAAGCAATAGAATGTGAGTAAAAGTAAGGTGTACCACTTCCAGACAGAAGATTCCACATACCATCTCCCATTCTCTTTCCCTTCTACTAGCTGGTGGTGTCCATGTCCTGAGTGATCACCTGTTGCAGACGGAAGAGCTTCTGGCAGCCTAGATATGTAGTAGACTGTGATGAGCAGAGCCCCACAACTCTGATCATTCATTGCTGCCAATCCTGGAATGGCTATAGACTGTTTGTGAGAACAAAATAACTTCTACTCTGCTAATCCACTGGAAATTGAGATATGATTGTTTGAGAAGTTACCCCACTTTAATTAATATAAGGTACTTTAAGAACTTCTGAAGGAGAAAGTAAGATTCTGGTTAGAATTGGATATTTTAAAATGATATCCACATTAAAGTAGTGGTTAAAGTAGTGATTAAAATAGTGGTTAGAGCAGCTGGTGTGGGCAAGGCCTCCTAAGGAAGAGCAAAGGACTGAGGCTGGAGCTCCCAAATACCCTGACTTTCAAGAGTTGAGCAGGGAAGAGGAGCCACAAAAGAGACTGAGAAACAATGGCCAGTGAGCTGGGAGAAAATACGTAAGATGGTCAAATAAGCAAAGTGTAACAGTGATGTAAGAAAGAGAAATCACCCATGGTGAATAGCAGAGAGAGACTAAGTATAGTAAATACCAAAATGGTCCATTGGACACAGCAATATGGAGGTCTTTAGTGATCTTGGTGATAATAGTTTCAATAGTGTGGCAGGGACAAAAGTTAAGCTGTAATACATTGAAGAATATTTTCTTAAAGTAGATATAGCAAATATAAACTAATTATTTGGAAGCTTTGCAGTGAAAATAAGATGGGGGAATAAATTCATGACTAATTGAGGGAGGTATTTTTGTTTTAAAATGGGAGAACCTTGGGCAAGTTTAAGTATTAGGAATTAGCCAGTGGAGATGGAGATGTTGACACCACAGGAAAGAAAAAGGGAGTAATTTAACAGAAACCATATAGTATCTGATTGGCTTCTAAAAGGGAAAACAATAAAAGTGTATTAAATGATGACTGCGTTCCACATGCTACTCTAGGCACTTTACAGTATTTTTACTTTTACTCTTCCAAAATATTTCCTGTCACTACTCCCCTCTCTCACTCCACTCTAATTACAATGGTCTGCTATTCTTTGGACATACCAAGCCCATATTCTAGCCTCGGACTTTGGCACTTAGGGGTCTCTCTGCCTGAATATCTTCCCCTATATCCACATGACAGCTCACTCCCTCATTTCCTTCAGGTCTTTGCTCAAATACCATCTTCTTAGACAGGCTTTCCCTGGGCACCTTGTATGAAGTAGCAACCACACTCCTACTCTCTTTTTTTTTTTTGCTCTCTTCTATTTTTCTTCGTAGAACACACTAACACAGTAAAGCCTCCGTATCCATGGGTTCCGTATTAACAGATTCAACTAAGCATGGACAGAAAATATTCAAAAAAATAAATAAAAAGTAACAATACAACAATAAAAACTACAAATTTAAACACAGCATAACAGCTATTTATATAGCACTTAAATTACATTAGGTATTATAAGTAATCTAGAGATGGTTTAAAGTATATGGAAGGATGTACACAGCCTACATACAAGCACTATGCCATTTTATGTAAGGAGCTTGAGCATCTGTGGATTTTGGTATCTATGGGGGTTCTTGAACCAATTGTCCTTTCATACTAAGGATGATTGTATTAATTTATCTATTTAATGTTTACTGTTCTCACCCAGATACCACCACCACCTGCCACTTTCTGCCCAGAATGTAGAGTCCATCAGGACAGAAATCTTATCTGTTATTTTCATTGCTGTATCTCTAGTGCCTAGAAGAGAGCTTGGCTCTGTGCTGTGAGACTCAGAGAGGTTGTGTAACTTTCCCATGTAACACAGCTACTGGGTTGTGGGAGCCAAAACTGGAACCAGTTCTCTTTCACTTCAAAGTCCCTGCTTGTGTTTCTAACCTACACTAAGGAGGGTCAGTCTCACATTACATTTCTCAAATTGGTTGATACGACTTCTTTACAGCTAACAATTTTTCAATCAGAAAGTTTAAGTCATTCCCTCCCTGAGCCTGTTCCCCTGGGAAACAAGACATGACTTTGAAGTATTTAATTTCCATTGAATTAACAGTAGCCTTTAAATGAAAAAAGCTATCTCTTCTTTACATGAAAATATTAGATTCTGTAAAAGAGACCTAGCATGAGAGATATTCTACTCTAATGAAACTTTAGGATTGCATTTCTAATTTCTGTGGAAAATGACATTAGAATTTGATATGAATTACATTGAATGTGAAGATTGCTTTGGGTAGTATGGACATTTTAACCATGTTATTTATTCTAATCCATGAACATGAGATATTTTTCCATTTATTTGTGTTTTCTTTCTTTTTTTTTTTATTATACTTTAAGTTTTAGGGTACATGTGCACATTGTGCAGGTTAGTTACATATGTATACATGTGCCATGCTGGTGCGCTGCACCCACTAACTCGTCATCTAGCATTAGGTATATCTCCCAGTGCTATCCCTCCCTACTCCCCCCACCCCACCACAGTCCCCAGAGTGTGATATTCCCCTTCCTGTGTCCATGTGATCTCATTGTTCAATTCCCACCTATGAGTGAGAACATGCAGTGTTTGGTTTTTGGTTCTTGCGATAGTTTACTGAGAATGATGATTTCCAATTTCATCCATGTCCCTACAAAGGACATGAATTCATCATTTTTTATGGCTGCATAGTATTCCATGGTGTATATGTGCCACATTTTCTTAATCCAGTCTATCATTGTTGGACATTTGGGTTGGTTCCAAGTCTTTGCCATTGTGAATAATGCCGCAATAAACATATGTGTGCATGTGTCTTTATAGCAGCATGATTTATAGTCCTTTGGGTATATACCCAGTAGTGGGATGGCTGGGTCAAATGGTATTTCTAGTTCTAGATCCCTGAGGAATTGCCACACTGACTTCCACAATGGTTGAACTAGTTTACAATACCACCAACAGTGTAAAAGTGTTCCTATTTCTCCACATCCTCTCCAGCACCCGTTGTTTCCTGACTTTTTAATGATTGCCATTCTAACTGGTGTGAGATGATATCTCATAGTGGTTTTGATTTGCATTTCTCTGATGGCCAGTGATGGTGAGCATTTTTTCATGTGTTTTTTGGCTGCATAAATGTCTTCTTTTGAGAAGTGTCTGTTCATGTCCTTCGCCCACTTTTTGATGGGGTTGTTTGTTTTTTTCTTGTAAATTTGTTTGAGTTCATTGTAGATTCTGGATATTAGCCCTTTGTCAGATGAGTAGGTTGCAAAAATTTTCTCCCATGTTGTAGGTTGCCTGCTCACTCTGATGGTAGTTTCTTTTGCTGTGCAGAAGCTCTTTAGTTTAATTAGATCCCATTTGTCAATTTTGGCTTTTGTTGCCATTGCTTTTGGTGTTTTGGACATGAAGTCCTTGCCCATGCCTATGTCCTGAATGGTAATGCCTAGGTTTTCTTCTAGGGTTTTTATGGTTTTAGGTCTAACGTTTAAATCTTTAATCCATCTTGAATTGATTTTTGTATAAGGTGTAAGGAAGGCATCCAGTTTCAGCTTTCTACATATGGCTAGCCAGTTTTCCCAGCACCATTTATTAAATAGGGAATCCTTTCCCCATTGCTTGTTTTTCTCAGGTTTGTCAAAGATCAGATAGTTGCAGGTATGCGGCGTTATTTCTGAGGGCTCTGTTCTGTTCCATTGATCTATATCTCTGTTTTGGTACCAGTACCATGCTGTTTTGGTTACTGTAGCCTTGTAGTATAGTTTGAAGTCAGGTAGTGTGATGCCTCCAGCTTTGTTCTTTTGGCTTAGGATTGACTTGGCGATGCGGGCTCTTTTTTGGTTCCATGTGAACTTTAAAGTAGTTTTTTCCAATTCTGTGAAGAAAGTCATTGGTAGCTTGATGGGGATGGCATTGAATCTGTAAATTACCTTGGGCAGTATGGCCATTTTCACGATATTGATTCTTCCTACCCATGAGCATGGAATGTTCTTCCATTTGTTTGTATCCTCTTTTATTTCCTTGAGCAGTGGTTTGTAGTTCTCCTTGAAGAGGTCCTTCACATCCCTTGTAAGTTGGATTCCTAGGTATTTTATTCTCTTTGAAGCAATTGTGAATGGAAGTTCACTCATGATTTGGCTCTCTGTTTGTCTGTTGTTGGTGTATAGGAATGCTTGTGATTTTTGCACATTGATTTTGTATCCTGAGACTTTGCTTATCAGCTTAAGGAGATTTTGGGCTGAGACAATGGGGTTTTCTAGATATACAATCATGTCGTCTGCAAACAGGGACAATTTGACTTCCTCTTTTCCTAATTGAATACCCTTTATTTCCTTCTCCTGCCTAATTGCCCTGGCCAGAACTTCCAACACTATGTTGAATAGGAGTGGTGAGAGAGGGCATCCCTGTCTTGTGCCAGCTTTCAAAGGGAATGCTTCCAGGTTTTGCCCATTCAGTATGATATTGGCTGTGGGTTTGTCATAGATAGCTCTTATTATTTTGAAATATGTCCCATCAATACCTAATTTATTGAGAGTTTTTAGCATGAAGGGTTGTTGAATTTTGTCAAAGGCTTTTTCTGCATCTATTGAGATAATCATGTGGTTTTTGTCTTTGGCTCTGTTTATATGCTGGATTACATTTACTGATTTGCGTATATTGAACCAGCCTTGCATCCCAGGGATGAAGCCCACTTGATCATGGTGGATAAGCTTTTTGATGTGCTGCTGGATTCGGTTTGCCAGTATTTTATTGAGGATTTTTGCATCAATGTTCATCAAGGATATTGGTCTAAAATTCTCTTTTTTGGTTGTGTCTCTGCCAGGCTTTGGTATCAGAGTGATGCTGGCCTCATAAAATGAGTTAGGGAGGATTACCTCTTTTTCTATTGATTGGAATAGTTTCAGAAGGAATGGTACCAGTTCCTCCTTGTACCTCTGGTAGAATTCGGCTGTGAATCCATCTGGTCCTGGACTCTTTTTGGTTGGTAAACTATTGATTATTGCCACAATTTCAGCTCCTGTTATTGGTCTATTCAGAGATTCAACTTCTTCCTGGTTTAGTCTTGGGAGAGTGTATGTGTTGAGGAATTTATCCATTTCTTCTAGATTTTCTAG
Organism: Homo sapiens; assembly: GCF_000001405.40. Classification (NCBI taxonomy): domain Eukaryota; kingdom Metazoa; phylum Chordata; class Mammalia; order Primates; family Hominidae; genus Homo; species Homo sapiens. The sequence goes on along the minus strand of NC_000012.12, from coordinate 105,631,517 downwards.
TTTATTTGCGTAGAGGTGTTTGTAGTATTCTCTGATGGTAGTTTGTATTTCTGTGGGATCGGTGGTGATATCCCCTTTATCATTTTTTATTGTGTCTATTTGATTCTTCTCTCTTTTTTTCTTTATTAGTCTTGCTAGCAGTCTATCAATTTTGTTGATCCTTTCAAAAAACCAGCTCCTGGATTCATTGATTTTTTGAAGGGTTTTTTGTGTCTCTATTTCTTTCAGTTCTGCTCTGATTTTAGTTATTTCTTGCCTTCTGCTAGCTAGCTTTTGAATGTGTTTGCTCTTGCTTTTCTAGTTCTTTTAATTGTGATGTTAGGGTGTCAATTTTGGATCTTTCCTGCTTTCTCTTGTGGGCATTTAGTGCTATAAATTTCCCTCTACACACTGCTTTGAATGCGTCCCAGAGATTCTGGTATGTTGTGTCTTTGTTCTCGTTGGTTTCAAAGAACATCTTTATTTCTGCCTTCATTTCGTTATGTACCCAGTAGTCATTCAGGAGCAGGTTGTTCAGTTTCCATGTAGTTGAGAGGCTTTGAGTGAGATTCTTAATCCTGAGTTCTAGTTTGATTGCACTGTGGTCTGAGAGATAGTTTGTTATAATTTCTGTTCTTTTACATTTGCTGAGGAGAGCTTTACTTCCAACTATGTGGTCAATTTTGGAATAGGTGTGGTGTGGTGCTGAAAAAAATGTATATTCTGTTGATTTGGGGTGGAGAGTTCTGTAGATGTCTATTAGGTCCGCTTGGTGCAGAGCTGAGTTCAATTCCTGGGTATCCTTGTTGACTTTCTGTCTCGTTGATCTGTCTAATGTTGACAGTGGGGTGTTAAAGTCTCCCACTATTAATGTGTGGGAGTCTAAGTCTCTTTGTAGGTCACTCAGGACTTGCTTTATGAATCTGGGTGCTCCTGTATTGGGTGCATATATATTTAGGATAGTTAGCTCCTCTTGTTGAATTGATCCCTTTACCATTATGTAATGGCCTTCTTTGTCTCTTTTGATCTTTGTTGGTTTAAAGTCTGTTTTATCAGAGACTAGGATTGCAACCCCTGCCTTTTTTTGTTTTCCATTTGCTTGGTAGATCTTCCTCTATCCTTTTATTTTGAGCCTATGTGTGTCTCTGCACGTGAGATGGGTTTCCTGAATACAGCACACTGATGGGTCTTGACTCTTTATCCAATTTGCCAGTCTGTGTCTTTTAATTGGAGCATTTAGTCCATTTACATTTAAAGTTAGTATTGTTATGTGTGAATTTGATCCTGTCATTATGATGTTAGCTGGTGATTTTGCTCGTTAGTTGATGCAGTTTCTTCCTAGTCTCGATGGTCTTTACATTTTGGCATGATTTTGCAGCGGCTGGTACCAGTTGTTCCTTTCCATGTTTAGCGCTTCCTTCAGGAGCTCTTTTAGGGCAGGTCTGATGGTGACAAAATCTCTCAGCATTTGCTTGTCTGTAAAGTATTTTATTTCTCCTTCACTTATGAAGCTTAGTTTGGCTGGATATGAAATTCTGGGTTGAAAATTCTTTTCTTTAAGAATGTTGAATATTGGCCCCCACTCTCTTCTGGCTTGTAGGGTTTCTGCCGAGAGATCCGCTGTTAGTCTGATGGGCTTCCCTTTGAGGGTAACCCAACCTTTCTCTCTGGCTGCCCTTAACATTTTTTCCTTCATTTCAACTTTGGTGAATCTGACAATTATGTGTCTTGGAGTTGCTCTTCTCGAGGAGTACCTTTGTGGCGTTCTCTGTATTTCCTGAATCTGAACGTTGGCCTGCCTTGCTAGATTGGGGAAGTTCTCCTGGATAATATCCTGCAGAGTGTTTTCCAACTTGGTTCCATTCTCACCATCACTTTCAGGTACACCAATCAGACGTAGATTTGGTCTTTTCACATAGTCCCATATTTCTTGGAGGCTTTGTTCATTTCTTTTTATTCTTTTTTCTCTAAACTTCCCTTCTTGCTTCATTTCATTAATTTCATCTTCCATTGCTGATACCCTTTCTTCCAGTTGATCGAATCAGCTCCTGAGGCTTCTGCATTCTTCATGTAGTTCTCGAGCCTTGGTTTTCAGCTCCATCAGCTCCTTTAAGCACTTCTCTGTATTGGTTATTCTAGTTATACATTCTGCTAAATTTTTTTCAAAGTTTTCAACTTCTTTGCCTTTGGTTTGAATGTCCTCCCGTAGCTCAGAGTAATTTGATCGTCTGAAGCCTTCTTCTCTCAGCTCGTCAAAGTCATTCTCCATCCAGCTTTGTTCCGTTGCTGGTGAGGAACTGCATTCCTTTGGAGGAGGAGAGGCACTCTGCGTTTTAGAGTTTCCAGTTTTTCTGTTCTGTTTTTTCCCCATCTTTGTGGTTTTATCTACTTTTGGTCTTTGATGATGGTGATGTACAGATGGGTTTTTGGTGTGGATGTCCTTTCTGTTTGTTAGTTTTCCTTCTAACAGACAGGACCCTCAGCTGCAGGTCTGTTGGAATACCCTGCCGTGTGAGGTGTCAGTGTGCCCCTGCTGGGGGGTGCCTCCCAGTTAGGCTGCTCGGGGGTCAGGGGTCAGGGACCCACTTGAGGAGGCAGTCTGCCCGTTCTCAGATCTCCAGCTGCGTTCTGAGAGAACCACTGCTCTCTTCAAAGCTGTCAGACAGGGACATTTAAGTCTGCAGGGGTTACTGCTGTCTTTTTGTTTGTCTGTGCCCTGCCCCCAGAGGTGAAGCCTACAGAGGCAGGCAGGCCTCCTTGAGCTGTGGTGGGCTCCACCCAGTTCGAGCTTCCCAGCTGCTTTGTTTACCTAAGCAAGCCTGGGCAATGGCGGGCGCCCCTCCCCCAGCCTCGCTGCCGCCTTGCAGTTTGATCTCAGACTGCTGTGCTAGCAATCAGCGAGATTCCATGGGCGTAGGACCCTCCGAGCCAGGTGTGGGATATAGTCTCGTGGTGCGCCGTTTTTTAAGCCGGTCTGAAAAGCGCAATATTCGGGTGGGAGTGACCCGATTGTCCAGGTGCGTCCGTCACCCCTTTCTTTGAGTTGGAAAGGGAACTCCCTGACCCCTTGCGCTTCCCAGGTGAGGCAATGCCTCGCCCTGCTTCGGCTCGCGCACGGTGCGCGCACCCACTGGCCTGCGCCCACTGTCTGGCACTCCCTACTGAGATGAACCCGGTACCTCAGATGGAAATGCAGAAATCATCGGTCTTCTGCGTCGCTCACGCTGGGAGCTGTAGACCGGAGCTGTTCCTATTCGGCCATCTTGGCTCCTCCCCCCCTCTTTCTTTTTTCTCATTAATGTTTTTTAGTTTTCAGTGTACAGATCTTTTAGTTCCTTGATTGAATTTACTCCTAAGTATTTTATTTGTTTAAGCTATCATAAAGGAGTTTTCTTAATTTCTTTTCCAGATGATTTGTTATTAGTGTATAGAAATGCTACTGGCTTTTGTAGGTTAATTTTGCAACCTGCAACTTTATTGAATTTGTTTATCAGTGTTAACAGTTTTTTTAACAGTCTTCAGGGTTTTCTATATATAAGATAATGTCATCAGCAAACAGAGACAATTCTACTTGTAAACAAAAAAATAAAATTCTAAGCCCTCTAAACTGACTGATGGACCCCCTCTCAGCCAAGGGCATTCCAAAGTAAACCTGAAAATATAGTTCAGGTGATGATGGAAAGTGAGGGGTTGGACATGCCTCATTATCTCCCTCTCACTGGAATTTAGTCACAGCTGACCTGCATTAACATTAAAGCAGTGCTTAAGACCCACAAAGCAAACTCTTTATAGCGATAAGATACCAAATTCCATCCTGGCTGTAGCATAGCATCAGATGACAGCAGGCTCTGAAAGAAACTGAAGTATTTTACCCCAAAATATATTTCTTCAACATATTTTAAAATGGGCCTGTGAAGCTGTCTCTTGCGGGAAAAACCTACATTATGTAGAGAATCCCCTTCCCTTTCCAGATCTTTTCCTAAACCAAGAGTGAATTAACTGAGAGTCTAGCACCTTTTAAAGTCTGATGAGAAACATTTACAATCTATTCTCTCTGAAGCCAGCTACCTGGCGGCTTCCTCTGCATAATAAGAACCTTGGTTTCCACAGCCCCCTATCTTAACCCAGACACTCCCTTCTATTGATTCCAGGTCTTTAGATAATAACTTAACTCTTTCAACCAATTGTCAATCACAAAATCTTTGAGTCCATCTATGACCTGGAAGCCACCCCACTTTAAGTTGTCTTGCTTTTCTAGACTGAACCAATATACATCTTACATGTATTGATTTATGTCTTATGTCTCCCCAAAACATATAAAACCAAGCTGTAGGCTAGGTGTGGTGGCTCGCACCTGTAATCCCAGCACTTTGGGAGGCCAAGGTGGGTGGATAACTTGAGATCAGGAGTTCGAGACCAGCCTGGCCAACATGGTGAAACCCTGTCTCTACTAAAATACAAAAATAAGCCAGGCGTTGTGGTGGGTGCCTATAATCCCAGCTACTCAGGGGGCTGAGGCGGGGGAATTGCTTGAACCCAGGAGGTGGAGGTTGCGGTGAGCCAAGATCATGCCATTGCTCTGCAGCCTGGGAAACAGAGTAAGACTCCGTCTCAAAAAAAGAAAAAAAAAAAAAAAAAAACCCAAGCTGTACAATCATCTTGGGCACATGTTCTCAGCAGGAACCCTGAGACTGTGTCATGGATCATTGGTCATCATATTTGGCTCAGAATAAATCTCTTCAAATATTTTACAGGATTTGACTCTTTTTGTAGACACATTTCTTCCTTTTCTGTATGAATGTCTTTCTTTTTCTTACCTAATTGCTCTGGAGAGGACTTTTGGTATGATATTGAATACAAATGGTGAGAATGGGCATTCTTGTCTTACTCCTGATCTTAAAGGAGAAGCTTTTGACTTTTCATCACTGAGTATGATGTTAGCTATGGGCTTGTCATGTACGGCCTTTCTTATGTCGAGGTACATTCCTTTTATGCCTATTTTTGAGAGGGTTTTTTTTTTTTAACCATGAATTAATATTGAATTGTGTCAAATGCTTTTTCTGCATCTGAGGTGATCATGTGGTTTTCATCCTTCATTTTGTTAATATGGTATATTACATTTTTTAATTTATGTATGTTGAACAATCTTTGCATTCCTGGAATAAATCCCACTTGATCACAGTGAATGATCTCTTTAATGTGCGGCTGATTTTGGTTTGTTAGCATTTTGCTAGGGGTATTTGCATCTATGTTCATTGGGAATATTGGCCTATAGTCTTCTTTTCTTGCGGTGTCCTGTCAGGAACTTAACTATGAAAACCAGCAGAGCAAAAAGTTTCCAAATCATGTTAAAATTTATTTCTTCAGTTACCAAGGGGAAAAACAAATGTGTATAGAGCCCATTTATTTGTATCAGAATGAACTTAAGAAGAAGCAATTTAAGGCCAGGTGTGGTGGCTCATGCCTGTAATCCCAGCACTTTGGGTGGCCGAGGTGGGAGAATGCTTGAGCCCAGGAGTTCAAAACCAGCCTGAGCAACATAGGGAAACCCTGCCTCTACAAAAAAAGTTTGAAAATTAGCTGGGAGTGGTGATGCGTGCCTATGGTGCCAGCTACTCAAGAGGCTGAAGTGGGAGGATCACTCGAGCCTGGGAGATTGAGGCTTCAGTGAGCTATCATCACACCGCTGTACTCCAGCCTGGATGACAGAGCAAGACCCTGCCTCAGAAAAAATACAAAAAAAGAAGAACCAATTTATACTTAACAATTTTCTAGAATAAGCAAATGAACCCTGCTTCTAAGATCTTACACATCAGAGTACCAAGGACAAAGAGGCAAATATGGAGTAGATAAGTTGAAATATATTTATGAAAAAGTACTTTTCTAAATCTGAAGTTTTTCAAATGTACTCATACGCATTGTCTTATTTGATCTTCCAACTTTTTCTGATGCATGTGTGGTATCTGTTATTCCTATTAAATCCATTTTTTACAGTTAAAGCTTGGATAAGTTACTACCAATAAGTGGAAAATTAGGATTTTGATCCAGATATTTCAAATCTAAATCCTATTTCCCTGAGGCTCACCAGGCTGCTGAAAGCAGTTGTATATATAGATAAGGTAAAATATTTACTCCAAGACTAGAATGAGTAATTGAGTATCAAATGGAAATGGGCAGCGCTATTGGATGTTCATGTTCACATAAGGTGAGATTGAACTGATTGGAAATACACCTGTGTGTGCAGTGTGCATATGATGTTTGCATATATGAATATATTTTATATATGTACACATACATATATATGTGTTTGTGTTTGCATTATACTTGGGACTATACATATATGCAGTTGGGCAAATCTTAAAATAAGCGTGAAGATATCATAAGCTGATTTAATGGAGCAGAAACGAATGAGAGAAATTTGGGAGAAGAATCAGAGAGCAAAAAGGAAAGATTAGAAGTGAAAAATGAGAAATGCTTCCTCCTGCCAGTCAGTCCATCTGGATCTAAAGAGTCTAGCACTCAAATCACTGTTACCTCCACACCCATAGCAGAGCTCATTCATTGTTCAGGGCAATCTTTCCCACTAGCTTGGATACAACCACAGAGTCCACCCCAAAAGTGCCCCAAGCAGCCATTACCAACGGATCAGAGAGCACTTGCAAAGCCTCTCCAACACTGCCCTGGGAGGCACTCACTGACTTTACTCTCAACAGTATTTTAAATTGAACTCAGTGGACTACAAGGACCTCCCATTTAGATTCATTCATTCAATCAGTCATTGAGCAGTTAATATGCACTTTTCTAAAGCTAGTTTCTCCTTTTCTGGGTCTTAACTTACATACCACATCCTCAAGGAAACTGCTTCCTGATCCTGTTTATGGTACGGTGGTCATCCCATTTCATTATCTCAGCACCTGTTTTCTTTCTTTTTCACATTTTTTTTTGCGGGGAGGGTACTGTGTTTTCTGTCTCCCTCACTAGTCTGAAACAGAGGATGTGCATGTCACAAGCTCCATTGTATTTTTGGCACAGTACTCAGCACATAGTATGTGTTGAATAAGTACTGATTCAATGATTGAATAAGCAGATGAAGTAATAAATAAATACTCAGTGCTTGACCTCAATTGGCTCACAGTCAAGGGCAAGAAGTTTTTTGTTTTGTTTTGTTTTGTTTGTTGTTGTTTTTGTTTTTTCAGAGATGGTGTCTTGCTCTGTCACCCAGGCTGGAGTGCAATGGCGCAATTTCAGCTCACTGCAACCTCTGCCTCCCAGGTTCAAGTAATTCTCCTGCCTCGGCCTCCCAAGTAGCTGAAATTACAGGTGTGTGCCACCACACTTGGCTAATTTCTGTATTTTTAGTAGAGATGGGGTTTCGCCATGTTGGCCAGGCTGGTCTCAAACTCCTGACCTCAGGTGATCCACCTGCTTCAGCCTCCCAAAGTGCTGGGATTACAGGCGTGAGCCACCGCGCCCGGCCAAGAGGTTCTTATGCATACAGATAAATGACACTTTCAACACCATCAACAAGCTCAGAGAGCACACTGAGCAGAGGATTTTGAGAGAACAAACAGAGGACAGCTGGAAGGCTTTCCAAAGAGATGATGCTTGAAGGATGTGTAGGGAGAAGCAAAGCAAAGAAGTGAAAAAGGATATTCAAGTCCAGAGGCAAATTTAAAACTATGGCATTGAAGATGAGCTATGCTTGAGTGAGGCTGAAACAGAGGAAGCCACAGTGGGGTGGGGATGGACTAGTGGCCAGTTGGGAGGGTACTAAGGCAGAGGGGCCACACCAAGGAGGGCTACCAGCTGCTTGTTTTTTCTCTCCCCTCTTGCCAGCTCCCACCTTTCCTCCCCTTGAACTGTCTGGCCAGGAATCCCATTCATTTTTGCAATGAACTTGCTGCTCTTTGGTAGACAGCCTAAGCCCAGAAATGGAGTAAGATTACCTTTGTGTTTATTTTAGTCTCACTTTAAGGATCTTATCTCTAGCAAATCCCCCATTATGGTTCACCATAGCGAGACACATAGGAAGAGCCACTTTTGCAAAAAATAAAGGTCCAATGATTTTCCCCAACCCCATTAAACTGTCATGAAGTTATGCTTTATTTACCAATGCAGATTCATTGCTTGCAGTCCATGGGCCCCAAGGCAGGAGGACAGAAATGAAATCCTGAGGTATACAATCGTTGTGGTGTCTGGACTTTGGGGGAAAATTTTTCAGGGTTTTATGAAGAATTAGCTTTCATACTAAACTTTATTAAACTTTATCACTGAATTCTTTCCCTTTGGAAAGGGCTTTTCAGCTATTAAGCCTGGAGAACAGCCCACGTCGGATTAATTCCAAATGAAATGTAGTGGAGGATCTGGAATCCTCTGAGCACAGACACATAAGTCTCATTAAATGTGTATAGATGCTCACAACAAAGCCCAGCTCAATTATACCCTGAGAACGGCGCTCAGAGAGACTGACAGGGTTGAGGCCTGGCCAGGGGTCTCCCGGGCACACACAAAGAAGCTTCAGGGAGAATGCAAGCATCACTCTGCCCCACAAAATTTTCTTTGGCTAATTGTAAAGGAAAAATTACTTGGAAGTGCCAATTAGCCTCACTTCTTTTTGTCCATTTTAATTTCATTCCCCTTATCAAATCAAGATCTGTGACAGCTTAATCCGAACTCAAACTCTCGGTCAAATATTTAGAGGCCGAAAGTGGTGAAGAAAAATTCCAAGTGAAACCCCAGGCTGGGACCCAAGTAGAGAACTAATTCACCTTGATGAAATAATTGCATTGCTAATACCTTGAAAGAAAGAAAATTATTTTCTCAGACAAAAAGAGCTGACCTCCCACTTTCACCCCCTACGCTCTTCCTGAGAAGCAGAAATCATCAATCCTCAACTGGTAGCAATAGAGAACAAATATTTGGGGTCTCTGTTTTGGTCTTGGGGCTTGGTTGGTTTGGATCCTATTTTCAACAGCACTTTTTCCTTAAAATGTAGCAAATATTACACAGCTAATAGGAAATCTACTTATTCTTTTCACAGGCCAAATAAGCTTGGAGAACATACATTCTTAAGGCGTGTGAAGTTTGCTTTTGGCACAGAAAGCGATCCAGAAAGTCATGCAGAGAGGGCAGGACTACATGGTTGAGAGCTTCTTGGAGGCAGAATGAATCAAGAAAAGGTTCTTTAGCTAAATAATTACTGAGCCCTTTGTGGACACTAAATAAATGGTACCTATTAGCATATGTCTTTAACTCCCAGACCTACAACTTTTTCCTGTTTTAATCTTTCTGGAATTTCAGTATGTCTTGTCATTAAAATGTTCATTGATTTAGTGTAGTAGTGTTTCTTTTCTTTCTGAAAAGCTATTATTAAATTGAGAGTGAATCTTGTAATAGATTATACCTGATTATTAAAGAAATATCATTATTAATACTGTCATAGTTGTTATTATCATTATTTAAAGTTAAGACATGACACAGAGAGATATCTCATGGGAGGGGACTTTGATGAATTAGTAAATGGACAATTAAATGACCAGGAAGGACCTCGAGTACAATGTTTAGGAATTTGTAAATTTGTGGTCTGTAATGTTTGATGCTTTCTGAGCAAGGGAGTGGCACACCTACAGACATTTATAGTAGTGATATGGAAGGCAGAACAGAAGAATGAGATGCTGGAGAAAAAAAGAACAAAGACTATAAAAATTGTCCTGATGAAAGTATGAGAACCTGAGCTACAGTAATATCAGTGTTCAGACAAAGAGACGTGGCAAGGCTTGTGGGATTTTTGGAAGATAGAAAGATCATAATTTGATGACCCACTGATGTTGACAGCCTGCCTTGATTTCCCATTTCACACATAAGCGAGTCTCCTTATGTAGTATAAAGATCAAAATGCACAATCTGACTGGGGCTCCAGGCCATGAGTCTGGCACACATTTTACATTTTAAAAGCCCTGTGTTCGGCAACTCACACTAAATCTCTCAACCATCCAACTTGGGACTCATAGAGCACAGCGGGTATGCCAACACATGAGACATCCTTGAGGCCAGAGAGAAATGGTTGCTCATGAGGCAGGGAAAAATCTTTAAGGTATTATTGCTGTGTCACAAGGAGGAGATATCTAGAATGATATGTAGAAAGCTCTGCCTCCACTGAAACCTCACCAAGGATAAGATCACATCTGAAGTTGAGGTAAGTTTTCAACTCTCAAGGAATTAATTATATAGATCTAAACTACAGTAGAAAAAAATCACTCCATGGTTTAATGTGCATTTCAAATAAAATTCAGATACATAGAATGATATGTAGAGGACTCTGCCTCCACCAAAACCTGATAAATGAATTCAGTAAAGTTGCAAGATACCAAATCAACATGCAAAAATCAGTGGCATTTCCACAAGCCAGAAGTGAACAATCTGAAAAATAAACCAAGAAAGCAATCTCATTTACAATAGCTACAAAAAATACCTAGGAATTAATTTAACCAAAAAGGTGAAAGATCTCTACAAGGAAAACTATAAAACATTGATGAAAGAAATTGAAAAGGACAAAAAAAAATGGAAAGATACTTTACATTTATGGATTGGAAGAATCAACATTGTTAAAATGCTTATACTACCCAAAGTGATCTGCAGATTCAATGCTATCCCTATCAAAATCCCAATGACATTCTTTACAGAAATAGAAAAGAAAATTCTAAAATTTATATGGAACTACAAAAGACCCAGAGTAGTCAGAGCAATCCTGAGTAAAGAGAACAAAGCTGGAGGCATCACATTACCTGAATTCAAATTATACTACAAAGCTATAGTAACCAAAACAGTATAATACTGTCATAAAATCAGACACATAGACCAATGGAGCAGAATATAACACCCAGAAACAAATCCATACATCTACAGTGAACTCATTTTTTTAAAAGGGTGCCAAGAACCTACATTAAGGAAGCGACAGTCTCTGCAACAAATGGTGTTGGAAAAACTGGATATCCATATGCAGTAGAATGAAAGTAAAGCCCTATTATCTCATCATATACAAAAATCAAATCAAAATGAATTAAAAACTTAAATGTAAAACCTGAAACTATGAAACTACTAGAAGAAAACTCTGGCAAAATGCTTCAGGACATTGGTCTGGGCAAAGATTTATTGAGTAAGACCTCAAAAACACAGGCAACCAAAGCAAAAATGGGCAAATGAGATCACATCAAGTTAAAAAGCTTCTGCACAACAATGGAAACAATTAACAAAGTGAAGAGACAACATAAACAATGGGAGAAAATATTTGCAAACTCTTCAGCTGACAAGGGATCCATAACCAGAATGTATAAGGAACTCAAATGACTCAGTAGCAAAAAAACAAATAATCCAATTAAAAATGGATGAAGGATCTGAACAGACATTTCTAAAAGGAAGACATACAAGTAGCCAACAGGTATATGGAAAAATGCTCAACGTCACTAATCATCAGAGAAATGCAAGTCAAAATCATAATGAGATATCATCTCACCCCAGTTAAAATGGCTTTTATCAAATAGACAAAAAATAATGAATGCTGGCAAGGATTGGTGGGAAGGTAAATTAGCACAGCCACTATGGAAAACAGTATGGAGATTCTTTAAAAAAGTAAATATAGAACTACCATATGATCCAGGAATTCACTGCTGGGTATGTGCCCAACAGAAATGACATCAATATATTCAAGAAATATCTGCACTCCCATGTTTATTGCTACATTATTCACAATAGCCAAGATATGGCATCAACCTAAGTGTCCACCAACACATGAATGTATAAAGAAAATATGGCACATGTACACAATGAAATATTATTCAGCCATAAAAAAACAACAAAATTCTGTCATTTGCAACAATATGAATGAAATAAGAGGGCATTATGTTAAGTAACACAAAGAATCTAATTACACCCTTTTCTTCAAACTGTGGGGCTATATACCATCTTCTAAGTGAGTAGTAATAATCACAATACTACCACTAGTACTAATAGTAATAATGGAGACCCCCAATAATTTGTTCATCCAAGAGAAACTTTCCAAGTGATTGTGAGATTCCCACACCCACTCCAGCAGGGAAAATAGGGGAGAATGGAGGTATGACGGAAGTACTGCCTTCAATGATTTCAAAAGCAATATTATGACATCCTCTCAATGAAAAAAATCATTAAAAACACACAGAATTTTAGTCTCTGATAGAATATCCCACTACTTATATGTATGAATATTTTTAAATGTCTGTTAATGTCATGGGAACTAATAAAATACAAATTAATTTAAAGACATTGCTAATATGTAGTGACCTTTCAGCATTTCTTTCTTTTTTTTTTTTTTTTTTTTTTTTTGATAAAGAGTCTTGCTCTGTCACCCAGGCTGGAGTGCAGTGGCGTGATATCGGCTCACTGAAAGCTCTGCCTCCCGAGTTCACACCATTCTCCTGCCTCAGCTTCCCGAGTAGCTGGGACTACAGGCGCCGGCCACCACGTCCGGCTAATTTTTTTGTATTTTTGATAAAGACAGGGTTTCACCTTGTTAGCCAGGATGGTCTCAATCTCCTGACCTCGTGATCCACCCACCTCGGCCTCCCAAAGTGCTGGGATTACAGGCGTGAGCCACCATGCCCTGCCCATCATTTCTTATTTCTCAATAAGTGAGTATCAAAAGTCCAGCGACTATCCTGCCTGTGTGGGGGGACAGGAGTGGGAGAAAGCAATGCAGACTTTAGGATATTAAGATAGAGTATTTATACTCAAAAACTTTGTGCTATTTATCTAATAGGATTCTCCATATTTCTTTTATATCTTATTACCTTCTGGGCCTCTCCCATGTGCTGGGCACCATGGTTAGGTGCTGCACCTACAGTGACGAGAAGGAGGTCACTTTCCTGACTTTGAGAAGCTCTGGGTCCAGCTGGAGAAGCCATGAGTTCAGCTACTATAATACCAGTGACAAGCACCACTGTGAGGAAATGCAGAGTACTAAGGGAGAGATCAGGAGGCCTTCACCCACCAGAGGAAGATCCATCAAGACTTTCAAGTGTGCAGGAATTACTGCCTTCGATAATTCCAAAAGCAGTATTATGACACCTCTCTCACTGAAAAAAAAAAAACATTAAAAACATACATGATTTTCATCTCTGATGGAGTATTCCACTATTCACATGTGTGAATGTTTTCAAACGTATGTTGATGTCATGGTGATTAATAAAATAACTAATAATTTAAAGACATTGCTTATGTATAGTGACCTTTTGTCATTTCCTATTTCTCATTCAATGGTTATCAAAACTCCAGCAACTACTTAAATTAGGCTTGAAAGATATGCAGGAATCAACCAATCAAAGAGGAGAGAAAATCATATTCTGGCGTATCTCAGGGAAGGTCTTTGGGTAACAGCTAGAGGCAACGAGAAGAAAGGAAAGTTGAAAGAGCTGAAAAGAGCTCTATAAGGCTAGCATGGAGTGTGCTATGGAGGGAGAGGGCAACAGAAGAAGTTGGAGATGTGGACAGCAGTCCAATAAGGTGAAGCTATATGTGTGTGTGTGTGTGTGTGTGTGTGTGTGTGTGTGTGTGTGTGTGTATTAGACAGAGTTTTCTTCTTGTTGCCCAAGCTGGAGTGCAATGGAGTGGTCTCGGCCCACTGCAACCTCCACCTCCTGGGTTCAAGCAATTCTCCTGCCTCAGCCTCCCGAGTAGCTGGGATTACAGGCACCCACCACCACACCTGGCTAATTTTTTTTTGGTATTTTTAGTAGAGACAGGGTTTCCCCATGTTGGCCAGGCTGGTCTCGAACTCCTGACCTCAGGTGATCCGCCCACCTCAGCCTCCCAAAGTGCTGGGATTCCAGGCGTAAGCCACCGCACCTGGCCAGGAGGGGCTTTAAAAAGCCATGTTAAATTCAGGAAAACTGAGGTCGAAGGCGTACCAAGAAACTTGCTCATGGTTACAGAGCAAACTAGGCAGAGAGCTAGCCTGGGCTCCCACCTTTCCAAGTTTTAAACCAAAACCTGCCACTTGACTTCTTGAAGATAGGAGTAAGCGCAGCAATTTCCGCAAATGAGAATGACAGGCCAGGGACCTGTGCCCAAGCCCGTGTCATTGACTAAGCACAAACAGTAGGCAAGAACGTGATGGTCCTTATTACCCATCTGGGACTGTCTGAGCTAATTAATCATAGTGACAGCTCCTTGGTGTGAGTCAGAAGGATTCTTTCTTTTTGCGAATGCTGCTAGTTTAACCTGCTTCAGGCAAGACTTTGCTTTACAGCAGCAGGATGAAGCCTTGTTGAAAATGATGAATGTCTTTTGGAGAAAAATAACATTTTGATAAAGACCCTTCCCGTCAGCCTCATCAGGTTAGAGGAGAATGGTTTTCCTTGTGTGTTTTCACAGTCATCTTACAAGAAAGCCAGGTTTATCTCTGGGCTCCAAATCAACTAAGCTACAGAGGCCTTTTATGATTACAAATCAAATAAATAACCTGTCTTTGTCTCTGGCTTTTCATGAGAAATTATGGCTGAAGCTGCCACTTAGATTTCAGCTTTCTTCGAAGGCCTGTGTGTATCTCATTATTCCAGTTGCTGACTCTGACAGCCCCTGAAGATCATGATTTGGGCTTAAGCTACAAGCAGGCCCAAAAAACAGACGTTATAAGAGGTTTGGAGGCTTTTTGCTTCAAGTTATTATTTTATCCTTGCTTTTTGGCATTAGATTTGACCTTTTTTCCAATCATATAATTCTCCATTTTCTTCTTTGGAAAACGCTTCAGCAGGAAGAGGAAGAAGAGGGAAAACAAAGAAAAGAAATGGAAGGAGGGAGAAAGGACAAAAAGTGACTTCTGAAAAGCATTTGAAAACCTATTCATGGGAGGAAGAGAAATTTCTCTTTTGGTTGTGTACTGATGAGGTGCCCTCACCCCAGATTTGTCATGAATTCCCCTAAGTGGAGGCAGGGTGGGAAGAGTGGCCAGGAAGAAAGCCCAGTGGGGCATGTCCTATAAGAGCCAAAGTCGGCAGAGAGCAAGCCTCACCTCCAGCTGAGAGGGACCTCAACTCCAGGGGATCTCATGGCTTTGTAATTCCACTGGCCATTGCTGGAAATGCAGATTCCATGGTGAGGGGAAAAAAAAACAGATGTCAGAAGCCAGGGTATGGGTTAGGGTTCTGCAAGTCAGCCAGGAAAATAAGGATAAAATGGTAGACTGAAACTAAGAAAGGAACTGACTTAGAAGCAGGGACTGCTAGCTTTTGTTTGCCTGCACGAGAGACTTAGCAGGACATATGTATACTCACAAGCATATACGTAGGCACACACATGCCTGCATGCTACAAACACACGTGCACATACACACACAGTAATACACATAGTGCCTAAAACCAGCAGCAAACCAATCAATACCATGATTAAAGATTGGATTGAGCCTGCCTTTAACTGTATCAGCCTGCTTTCCTGCTTCTGTTTACTAATAATTCATTTATATTGTAGAATATCACTATTAGTTACTATTGTGGCACCCAGATGCATGGTAGCAAAAAAAGAAATAGGGTCTTATGAAAGTGCACATTCTTTATTCCAGGAATTCCACTTTCAATAATTTGTACTAAGAATGTAACTGAATGTATCCACAGATATATCTATGAGTGTTAATTGCAAAGTGATTTATAATAGAAATATCCTAAATAGCCAACAATACAGGATTGTCTAAATCATCTTACATCATAAAAATCAAATCTTATGGGGCTACTACAGATTACATTATTGGAGAGCATTCATTTCAGCAGTCAAGAAATACTTATTTGGCACCAACAATGTACAAAATATGATAAAGCAAAGTGGGGGGCAATTGATAAAATTATGGCCATAATATGCTTGCTTTTTTCTTTTCTTTCCTTTTCTTTTTTTTTCTGAGGTGGAGTCTCGCTCTGTTGCCCAGGCTGGAGTGCAGTGGTGTGATCTCGGCTCACCACAACCTCTGCCTCCCAGGTTCAAGCAATTCTCCTGCCTCAGCCTCCCTAGTAGCTGGGACTACAGGCGTACACCACCATATCCAGCTAATTTTTGTGTTTTTAGTAGAGATGGGGTTTCACTGTGTTGACCAGGCTATTCTCAAACTCCTGACCTCGTGATCTGCCCACCTCGGCCTCCCAAAGTGCTGGGATTACAGGCGTGAGCCACTGAGCCCAGCCGCATTTTTCTTTAAAATTTATAAATACACACAAAATGTCTAAAAGACAGACACTAAAATGTTAGCCAACATTAGATTGGTGGGCTTATAGATCATTTTGATATTTTATTTTTGTTTATAATGAACATATATAAACTATGTAAATGGAAAAAAGTAATACAATTTTTTAATGCAAAGCCAATTTGTTTTTACCCATACACAATAGAATTGATTTTGACATGTGAAATACCCCTAACATTACCATTAACTTTTAGTTAAATAATAAGGTTTTGCATTTAGAAGTTTTCGCTAACCCAAATAACAGCTAACAACAAATATTTTAGCCATTAATAGATATTGATCAACTGATGAATTTTATTCTGAATGTCACATAAACACCAGGTCTTCCCCAAAACTGTATCAGTAAGGCAAACCAAGCTCCAGTCAAGCTCAAATTCAAGTTTAGGGAGCCCTTCCTTTTCACTAGACAACATCCCAACATTGTCACAGCCTGGACTTAGGGGTTCTGCAGGGACAGCCTGCTATGTGTATTGCTAAATTCCTAGAAGGTTCTTCCCCATAGGACTCATGTCGATAGTTTCCAAGGCAGAATCTCTGCCAGGTGTGGAAAGTACCAGGTAATAAGCTTAGCTAATCCTAGGGATATTTTGATCTCTCTGCAATTGGGATCACATCTAAGTTATCCAGGGGAAGGTCAAAGAACTCATAACCTATAGGTCCCATGGTCTTTTTCCTTAAATAGGTCCTCTGAGGAAAGATGGGAAGATGGGGATCACTTCTCCCAGGGAAAAGAGGAGAGAGGGAAGGTTTAATAACACTGCGTGGCCCACATGCTATTAAGGCATAAAGGGATTAGTCAGCATCAGTTTTGAGTTTCCACCTTCCTTAGTTACTCCTTCAACATTATATGCATTTCAAACTCTCCCCTAGCTTTGAAGGTGGGAAGGAGGATAACTGTTTGACTCTCCTGCAAAACTCCTCAAAATGCTATGAAAAAGTGTTAATGATATAATACATGATCCAATCACCTCCTTCTGAGTGCCTCCCTGGACACATGGGGATTATGGGGATTATAATTCAAGATGAGATTTGGGTGGGGACACAGCCAAATCATATCAATAAGGAATCAAGTAGTCAAATTCTCAGAGGCAGAAAGTGGAATGGTAGTTTCCTGGAGCTGGAGAGCGAGCAAGCAATGGGGTGTTATTGTTTAATCAGTACAGACTTTCGGTTTTAAACAATGAAAAGTTCTCCAGATGGATAGTGGTGATGGTTGCACAACAAGGGGAATGTAGTTAAAGCCACTGAACTGTACATTAAAAAATGGTTAAGATGGTAAATTTTGTGATGTATATTTTACCACAATTTTCAAAAATAAAAATTAGTTAATTAATCGATTTTTTAAAAAGGAAAAATATAAGCAGAGTCACCAAATTTGATTGGAAAGGGGCTCAAGGGAGGTCTATTTGAAGAGGTGACATTTAAGCTGAGGCTTGAGAGTCTGCAGGATCTCCCAGATGAAGAGTATGAGGGAGGCTTTTCCGAGCAGAAGGAACAGCACACCCAAGGGCCCTGGGGCAGAAGGGATCCTGGGGAACCTAGTGAGTGAGGGGAGCATGACACAGGGTGAGGTCATGCAGGGCTTCATGGACCCTGGAAAGGAGCCTGGGATTTATTTTAAAAGCTTCGGGAAGCCACAGATGGATATTGAGCAGGACTGTGACACGATTTGGCAAGATTTGCTTTATTTTTAAAATCTCCACACACCCGCCCTGGGATAGTGGTGTGGAGAGGGCAAGTTAGAAGGCAATCACCCCAGTGTGAATGTAGATGATGTCATGTTTGAGCTGAGGAAACTAAGGTTCAGAGAGGTTGAGTACTTCACCTGGGGTCACACAGCACACAGCTCTCAGAATTCAGAACCAAGGTCTGTGCTTCCAAAGCCCGTGTTCCTTACAATTTGTAAATTAAAAAAAAATAATAAAGAAAGAAAGAAAAGAAATTAGAATACACTGATATATTAGTTAATTTTTGCACTGCTATAAAGAAATATCCCAGACTGGGAAATTTATAAAGGAAAGAGCTTTAATTGACTCACAGTTCCACGTGGCTGGGGAGGCCTCAGGAAACTTATAATCATGGCCAAATGGGAAGCAGGCACCTTTATCACAAGGCAGCAGGAGAGAGAGGAAGGCATGGGAAACTGCCATTTATAAAACGATTACATCTCGTGAGAACTCACTATCATGAGAACAGCATAAGGGGAACTTCCCCCATGATCCAATCATCTCCCTCCCTCCACAGGCAGGGATTACAGGTCCCTCCCTCAATACATGGGGATTATAATTTGAGATGAGATTTGAGTGGGGACACACAGCCAAACCACATCAACAGGAAAGAAGTTACCTCATAGTTCAGATCCTTTTAAGAGAGAGATGCACCATACCATTGTTCTGCTCTTCTGGATGTGACACCAAACAATTTGACGATAAAAGGGGTAGAGAAGGGAGATTGACACACAGAGATGAGACAGCAGAAAACAAGAGAATTAGAAGGGGAAAAGGAGACAAAGGAGCATTCCCAGGGATCCTGAAACACTCCTGTGGCCTGGATGTTTCCTAAGCCAGATATCAACACCCTTTCTTCCCCAACCTGAGGTGTGATCAGCCAGTGAAGAGTTGAGGGTCAGAAGGCCAGAGGGTGACCAAGTAGCAATTTGAGGCTATGAATGTGATGAAGCAAACTTAGTAGGAGTTCTGGGGCCCATTGCAGCTTCTCTGAGGAGGACAGCAAGCACCAGGGCAAGCTTCTCAAACTCATGGGGCCCTCAGGGTGATGAGGCCTTGCTAGTTTTTGGAAGATGAGAATGGGAATAACAAAAAGGATTAATGAGCATGTTTCTTAACAAAGAAAATCCCTGGCAGTGTTGAGTCCCCTTCTCCTGGGATTAGGCCCCATTTTTATATTAACTGGTACCAACAAACACAGAGCAAAACCTCTACCAGCTCAAACCTACCAGTCAAAAACCCTCAGTCACTGATCTTGGGTGCAATCCTCTACATGGAGGAGAAAAGGCAAATCTCAATCCTTAAAAAAAAAAAAAAAAAAAGTTTCTCTTAGGGATTTATCTCAAACAAACTTTGTGTGGTGATTCTACATGGAGGAGAAAAGACAAATCCCAATCCTTTTTAAAAAAAAAAAGTTTCTGTTAGGGATTTATCTCAAACAAGCTTTGTGTGGTGGTTCAGGCCTATAATCCTAGCATTTCCGGAGGCTGAAGCAGGAGGATCTTTTGAGGCCAGGAGTTTGAGACCAACCAGGACAACAAAGCAAGACCCTGGATCAAAAAGAAATAAAAAGAATTTACCCAAAATAACTTTCAGGATTTCAAAGACTCTAGCTAAAGCTACAACACAGAATCAGAGAAGGTTACAGTTGAAAGGGACTCTTAAAATGCTTCTTGTACAACCCCATCATTTTAGAGGCAAGGAGTTGCAGTGTTGGGATAGGACCTGACTTGCCCAAGGTCACATGATTTCTTACTGGCCAAACTAAGAATAGAATCCAAGCTTCTTTACTCACAGTCCAGTGCTCCTTCTAAATATACTTTCTATCCTGTTCCATTCCACATCTGCATTTGACCCATAGTCCTGCAAAACAGCAAAAACATCCCAGCTCCACACTGCACAAAATATTATCTCTGCTGCTTTTCTCAGCTCTCCTGAGAGGTAGGGGGCCAATAATACAGGGTTTTGTCCTCATTTGTCTTGGTAAGTGTTCTACACGCAGTGCCTAACACGTACTGGGCCACAGGGGATGGAGGTTGAGTTAATAAAAATAGCTGCCCTTTGTACACTGCTGACTCCATGCCAAACTCTGGAAACTGAGGGCTTGACGTGTGCTATTTTATTATTACTACTAATTGTAAAGCTTTGAGGTGGGCCCTGATATCATCCTTACTTCACAAATGGAGAAACTGAGGCTGAGAGGCATTTGGTGACCTACTGGGGTCATAGATCTCTTCTCCCAAGTCCGAGGATTTGAGTTCACAAAATCAGACTCCAGAATCTACTTTCTTCACGCTATACAATTCTCTCTCTCTCTCTCTCTTTCTTTCCCTCTCTCTCTCTTTCCATCTCTCTTCCTTTTGTTTGGGCAAATGAACAAATGTCCATTTGACAAATGAAAACCAGAGAACTGAAGGCACTTGCCCAAGGTCACACAGCAAGGAAGCCATGTCAGTGAGGCCCCTGAGCCAGTCCTTCTGCTCCAGGTCTAGTGTCCCTCCTTCCATCCCCAGAAATCTGCTTAATCTTAGCTTCTCCACGAAGAACTTGGTTGCATTATGTGTCATATAGTTGTTAAAGGAGGAACACAGAATGATCTAACTTAGAAAGGAAGGTGATGATTGCAATGCCATGAGCTCCGGCTCTGCAGTAAGGTGTGCCTGGCTGAACCCTGGATGCTTCAAATTCAGTTCAGTGACTTTGAGGTTTTTAACCTTCCTGTGCTTCAGTCATTTCATCAATAAAATGAGAAAAGTATTACCTCTCTCAAAGAACTTCAGTACGATCTGGAATTTGCTGGCTGTGATTTATTAGTGTACTTAATACCTGCCCCACCCCCTGTAGACACCCCATTATCTGAGAGTCAGTAAATAACATGGTGTGGATAGTCAGTCATATAACATGATGTTTATCAGCACAAACGTGACATTGCCACGTCCACGCTGAATAATTTACATGTTTCTACCTTAGGTTTCTGTGATGGTTCATACTGAGTGTCAACCTGATTGAATGATGCAAAGTATTGATCCTGGGTGTGTCTGTGAGGGTGTTGCTAAAGGAGATTAACATTTGAGTGAATAGGCTGGGACGGTACACCCACCCTTAATCTGGGTGGGCACAATCTAATCAGCTGCCAGCACAGCCATAATAAAAAGCAGGCAGAAGAATGTAAAAAGACTAGGCTGGCTTAGCCTCCCAGCCTACATTTTTCTCCCATGCTGGATGCTTCCTGCCCTTGAACATGGGACTCCAAGTTCTTTAGCTCTGGGACTCAGACTGGGTTCCTTGCTCCTTAGCTTGCAGATGGCCTATTGTGGGATCTTGTGATCGTGTGAATTAATACTACTTAATAAACACCCATATATGTTGTGTGTGTGTGTATGTGTGTGTGTGTGTGTGTGTGTGTGTGTGATGGTTAATACTGAGTGTCAACTTGATTGGATTGAAGGGTACAAAGTATTGATCCTGGGTGTGTCTGTGAGGGTGTTGCCAAAGGAAATTAACATTTGAATCAGTGGGCTGGGAAAGGCAGACCCACCCTTAATTTGGTGGGTCTGCCTAATAAGCTGCCAGCGCAACTAGAATGTAAGTAGGCAGAAATATGTGAAAAGGCGAGACTGGCCTAGCCTCCCAGTCTACCTCTTTCTCCCATGCTGGTTGCTTCCTGCCCTCAAACATTGGACTCTAAGTTCTTCAGTTTTGAGACTTGGACTGGCTATCCTTGCTCCTCAAGCTTGCAGACAGACTATTGTGGGACATTGTGATTGTGTAAGTTAGTACTTAATAAACTCCCCTTTGGCCGGGCGCGGTGGCTCACGCCGTAATCCCAGCACTTTGGGAGGCTGAGGCAGGCGGATCACGAGGTCAGGAGATTGAGACCATCCTGGCTAACATGGTGAAATCCCGTCTCTACTAAAAATACAAAAAATTAGCCGGACATGGTGGCAGGCGCCTGTAGTCCCAGCTACTAGGGAGGCTGAGGCAGGAGAATGGCGTGAACCTGGGAGGCGGAACTTGCAGTGAGCCGAGATCGCACCACTGCACTCCAGCCTGGGCGACAGAGCAAGACTCCATAAAAAAACAAAAAAAACAACTTTCCCTTTATATCTATCTATCCTATTAGTTCTGTCCCCCTAGGGAAAGCTGATTGAAACACATTTTGGTACCAGGAATGGTTCTAGAGGAATAGAATATTAAAGGTGGAGTTCTTTCATTGGTTTTGGGGTTTCTGGAGTTGGCTGCTTAAAATGATTAGAACCAAAAATGCTAAGACTCTACTTCTAATAGTACGGAGAACACTAATAGTCCTTGGCATGAACTGTTTAGAGAGTTATGCAAAATAAATGCATTTGACACTTCTGATTCATCGCTTGTGAGAGGCAAGGAGCTTAGTGACTCTATACATAATACCTTTGACCATATGTAGAGAACCAAGGAACATAATGAAGCTGATAGGTTGCTCCTAAGTTCAGTGGACAAAGTGACGAAAGAAAATGATGAACTCAGGGATTCCATCTACTGGCTTCAGAAGCAGATACTGAGCCTCAAATCTGCTAAGATTGCCCTAAGTGAGCATCTTATCTCCTGTAGAAAAACAGCTGAAATTGTGGAAAAACAGACACAAGCTCTTATCACGTGAGTGGCTGACCTGCAATGAAAGGTGCATGCACAGCCTCACCAGGTGTCTACTGTTAAAGTGAGGGCATTGATTGGAAAAGAATGAGACCCTGCAACATGAATGGGGACGTGTGGAAGGACCCTGATGAAGCTGAGGACACTGAGTTTGTTAACTCTGATGAATCTTTTTTGCCAGAAGAAACAGCTTCCCCATCCCCAGTAGTGGCAACATCCCCTCCCGGAACTGTACTGCCATTAGCCTTTCCACATTTATCATAGGAGATAAACCCTGAGCTGCCAGAGGCAACAGTGATGGCCTCCCCTGAGGCAGTTGCCAGGGAAGATATAGTTGATTCTCCTCAGGAGCCACCCCCAACACCCCTGTTTGCTTCTAGACCTATAATTAGGCTAAAGTCACTGCGGACCCCTAGAGGTGAGGATGAGAGTGTGACCCATGAGGAGGTGCCCTACATTCAAAAAGAACTGCTTGAGTTTTCTAATTTATATACACAGAAATTTGGAGAACAGGTGTGGGAATGTATACTAAGGGTGTGGGATAATGGTGGAAGGAACATAGAGTTGGATCAGGCTGAATTTGTTGATTTGGGCCCACTAAGTAGGGACTCTGCATTTAATGTTGCAGCTCAGGGAGTTAAAAAAGGTTCTAATCATTTATTTGCTTGGTTAGTTGAAATATGGATTACAAGATGACCCACTGTGAGCGAGCTGGAAATGCCTGATCTTTCTTGGTTTAATGTAGAGGAAGGGATCCAAAGGCTTAGGGAGATTGGGATGGTGGAGTGGATTAGTCACTTTAGACTTACTCATCCCAGCTGGGAGGGTCCAGAACATATGCCCTTGATCAATGCCTTGTGAAACAGATTGGTGAGGGCGGCACCTGCATCTTTGAAGAGCCCTGTAATTGCTCTTCTCTGTATGTCAGATCTAACAGTGGGAACGGCAGTTACTCAACTACAGAATTTAAATACAATGGGAATAATTAGATCCCGAGGTGGCAGGAGCCAAGTGGTGGCACTCAACTGTCAAAGGCAAGGTGGGTGTAGCTACCGTAATGGACAGCAGAATCAAAGTGGCAATCAGAATAGTCTAACTCGTGTAGAGCTCTGGCATTTGGCTAATTAATCATGGTGTTCCTAGAAGTGAAATTGATAGGAAGCCTACTGCATTCCTACTTAATTTATACAGGCAGAAAACTTCTAGGCTGAATGAACTAAAGACTAATTTTAATTATAAAAATAGAGAATCGCAGCCCCTCAATCAATTTCCAGACTTGAGCCAGTTTACAGACCCAGAACTTCTTGAATGAAGGGGAGGCTGGGTCCCCTTGAGGAAGGACCTCACTACATTACTGACAATTTATGCAGTAAATCTTTCTCCCATCCTTCCCCAACGAGACCCCCAGCCTTTTACCAGGGTAACTGGGCACTGGGGAAAGGGAAATGATCCGACATTTTGGGATCTACTGGATACTGCCTCTGAGCTGACGTTCCAGGGGACACAAAACATCATTGTGGTCATTCAATTAAAAAAGGGGGCTTATGGAGGCCAGGTAATTAATGGAGTTTTAGCTCAGGTCTGATATACAGTGGGTCCTCAGACTCATCCCATGGTCATTTCCCCAGTGCCAGAATGCATAACTGGCATAGACATACTTAGCAGTTGGCATAACCCCCACATTGGCTCCCTGACTGGTAGGGTGAGGCCTATCATGGTGGAAAAGGCCAAATGGAAGCCATTAGAGCTGACTCTACCTAGAAAAATAGTAAATCAAAAACAATATCACATCCCTGGAGGGATTGCGGAGATTAGTGCCACCACCAAGGACTTGAAGGATGTAGGGGTGGCGATTCCCACCACATCCCCATTCAACTCTCCCATTTGGCCTGTGCAAAAGACAGATGGATCTTGAAGAATGACAGTGGATTATTGTAAGCTTAACCAAGTGGTGACTCCAGTTGCAGCTGCTGTACCAGATGTGGTTTCATTGCTTGAGCAAAATAACACATCTCCTGGTACCTGGTATGTAGCCACTGACTTGGCAAATGCCCTTTTCTTCATTCCTGCCCATAAGGCCTACCAGAAGCAATTTGCCTTCAGCTGGCAAGGCCAGCAATATACCTTTACTGTCCTACCTCAGGGGTATATCAACTTCCTGGCTTTGTGTCATAATCTTATTTGGAAAGAACTTGATTGCATTTCTCTTCCACAAGATATCACACTGGTCCATTACATTGACGACATTATGCTGATTGGATTCAATGAGCAAGAAGTAGCAAACCAATGGACTTATTGGTGAGACATTTGTATGCCAGATGATGGAAAATAAATCCAACTAAAAGTCAGGGACCTTCTACCTCAGTAAAATTTCTAGGGGTCCAATGGTGTGGGGCCAGTTGAGATATTCCTTCTAAGGTGAAGGATAAGCTGCTGCATTTGGCCCCTCCTACAACCAAGAAAGAGACACAACACCTAGTGGGTCTGTCGGAATTTTGGAGGCAATACATTCTTCATTTGGATGTGTTACTCTGGCCCATTTATCGAGTGACCCAAAAGGCTGCCAGTTTTGAGTGGGGTCCAGAATAGGAGAAGGCTCTGCAACAGGTTCAGGCTGCTGTGCAAGCTGCTCTGCCACTTGGGCCACATGACCCAGCAGATCCAATGGTGCTTGAGGTGTCAGTGGCAGATAGGGATGCTGTTTGGAGCCTTGGGCAGGCTCCCATAGGTGAATCACAGCAGAGGCCTATAAGATTTTGGAGCAAGGCCCTGCCATCTTCTGCAGATAACTACTCTCTTTTTGAGAGACAGCTCTTGGCCTGTTACTGGGCTTTGGTGGAAATTGGACATTTGACAATGGGTCATCAAGTCACCACGTGACCTGAACTGCCTGTCACGAACTGGGTGCTTTCTGACTCATCTAGCCATAAAGTGGGTTGTGCACAGCAGCATTTCATCATCAAGTGGAACTGGCATATACGAGATCGGGTTCAAGCAGGCCCTGAAGGTACAAGTAAGTTACATGAGGAAGTGGCTCAAATGCCCATGTCTCCACTCCTGCCACCCTGCCTTCTCTCCCCAAGCCTGCACCAAAGGCCTCATGAGGAGTTTCCTATAATCAGTTGACAGAGGAAGAGAAGACTAGGGCCTGGTTCACAGATGGTTCTGCACAATATGCTGTCACCACCGGAAGGTGGACAGCTGCAGCACTATAGCCCCTTTCCAGAACATTCCTGAAGGACAGCAGTGACGGGAAATCTACCCAGTGGCAGAACTTCCAGCAGTGCACCTGGTTGTACACTTTGCATGGAAGGAGAAATGGCCAGATGTGCAATTATACACGGATTCATGGGCTGTAGCCAATGGTTTGTCTGGATGATCAGGGACTTGGAGAAGCATGATTGGAAAATTGGTGACAAAGAAACTTGGGGAAAAGGTATGTGGGTGGACTTTTCTGAGTGGTCAAAAACTGTGAAGACATTTGTATCCCATGTGAGTGCTCACCAATTGGTGACCTCATCAGAGGAGGATTTTAATAATCAAGTGGATAGGATAACCCGTTCTGTGGACACCACTCAGCCTCTTTCCCCAGCCTCCCCTGTCATCGCCCAATGGGCCCATGAATAAAGTGGCCATGGTGGCAGGGTTGGAGGTTACACATGGGCTCAGCAACATGGACTTCTACTCACCAAGGCTGAGCTAGCTACGGTTCAGGGACTTGAAGAAACATGATTGGAAAATTGGTGACAAAGAAATTTGGGGAAGTGGTGTGTGGATTGACCTCTCTGAGTAGTCACAAACTGTGACAATATTTGTATCCAATGTGAGTGCTCCCCAATGGGTGACCTCAGCAGAGGAGGATTTTAATAATCAAGTAAATAGGATGATCTGTTTTGTGGACACCACTCAGCCTCTTTTCCCAGCCACCCCTGTCATCACCAGGCCACCCCTGTCATTGGCCAATGGGCCCATGAACAAAGTGGTCATGGTGGCAGAACAGAGGATATGCATGGGGTGAGCAACATTGATTCTCACTCACCAAGGTTGACCTGGCTACAGCCACTGCTGAGTGCCCAATTTGCCAGCAGCAGAGACCAACACTGAGCCCTCGATATGGCACCATTCCTAGGGGTGATCAGCCAGCTACCTGGTGGCAGGTTGATTATATTGGACCTCTTCCATCATGAAAAGGGCAGAGGTTTGTTCTCACTGGAATAGACACTTACTTCGGATATGGGTTTGCCTATCCTGCACACAATGCTTCTGCCAAGACTACTATCCATGGACTCACAGAATGCCTTATCCACCATTATGGTATTCCACACAGCATTGCCTCTGACCAAGGTACTCACTTTACAGCTAAAGAAGTGCAGCAGTGGGCTCATGCTCATGGAATTCACTGGTCTTACCACGTTCCCCATTGTCCTGAAGCAGCTGGATTGACAGAACGGTGGAATGGCCTTTTGAAGTCATGATTACAATGCCAAATAGGTGATAACACTTTGCAGAGCTGGGGCAAAGTTCTCCAAAAGGCCATTTATGCTCTGAATCAGCATCCAATATATGGTACTGTTTCTCCCATAGCCAGGATTCACGGGTCCAGGAATCAAGGAGTGGAAGTGGAAGTGGCACCACTCACCATCATCCCTAATGATCCACTACCAAACTTTTACTTCCTGTTCCCGCGACATTAAGTTCTGCTGGCCTAGAGGTCCTAGTTCCAGAGGGAGGAACGCTGCCGCCAGGAGACACAACAATGATTCCATTAAACTGGAAGTTATGATTGCCACCAGGACACTTTGGGTGCCTCCTACCTTTAAGTCAACAGACTAAGAAGGGAGTTACAGTGTTGGTTGTGGTGATTGACCCAGACTATCAAGATGAAATCAGTCTATGACTCCACAACAAGGGTAAGGAAGAGTATGCATGGAATACAGGAGATTCATTAGGGCATCTCTTAGTATCACCATGCCATGTGGTTAAGGTCAATGGGAAACTACAACAGCCCAATCCAGGCAGGACTACAAATGGCCCAGACCCTTCAGGAATGAAGGTCTCCACCAGGAAAAAAAAAAATCATGACCTGCTGAGGTGCTTGCTGAAGGCAAAGGATATACAGAATGGGTAGTAGAAGAAGGTAGTCATCAATACCAGCTACAACCATGTGATCAGCTGCAGAAATGAGGACTGCAATTGTCGTGAGTATTTTCTCCTTCTTCTGTTAAAAACATGTTTGTGGATGTATACACTTGTACTAAGAAAATGTCTTCATTTTATTTCTTTTCTCCTTTATCATGGGACATAAGATTTTTTGACTTCACATCAGCATTTAAGTATTGTTAACTTTATGTGATAGTATTTGGATTGGGGATTGGTGCTTTTCTGGTTTTGAGAAAGATAGTTGTATTATGTTAGGTGTAATTATGACCTTATTATTGTCTTTATTTGAAGATCATGTATGATCTCAGGAGATGTGTATGGGTTCAAGTTGATAAGGGGTGGACTTGTGATGGTTAATACTGAGTGTCAACTTGACTGGATTGAAGGATACAAAATACTGATCCTGGGTGTGTCCGTGAGGATGTTGCCAAAGGAGATTAACATTTGAGTCAGTGGGCTGGGAAAGGCAGATAGATCCACCTGTAATTTGGGTGGGCACAATCTAATCAGGGGCTAGCAAGGCTAGAATATAAGCAGGCAGAATAATTTGAAAAGCAAGACTGGCCTAGCCTCCCAGCCTACATCTTTCTTTCATGCTGGATGCTTTCTGCCCCCAAACATTGGACTTCTAATTCTTCAGTTCTGAGACTCAGACTGGCTCTCCTTGCTCCTCAAGCTTTCAGACAGCCTGTTGTGGTAGCTTGTGATCATATAAGTTAATACTTAATAAACTCATATATATATTTCCTATTAGTTCTGTCCCTTTAGGGAACCCTGACTAATGCAATATATCTATCCTATTAGTTCTTTCCCTCTAGAGAACCCTAACTATTACAGTTTCCTTGTCTATATGTAGGGATAACAATACCATCTACCTCCTGGGGTTGATGTGAAGACTAAATGAATTTTTACATGAGAGACACTTAGAGCAGTGACTGGCATGTGCTACCTATGTGTTAGCCATCAGTTATACTTCATCCATATAGATGGAAGCCTCAGTTTATGGCTATGAAGATATAAAGTTTTACATTTTAATTTTATATATACCTAGTGTATTAGTTCGTTTTCCTGCTGCTGATAAAGACATACCTGAGACTGAGTAATTTATAAAGAAAAAGAGGTTTAATGAACTCACAGTTTCACGTGGTGGGGAGGCCTCACAATCATGGTGGAAGGTGAATGGCACTTCTTACATTGGCAGCAGGCAAGAGAGAGAATGAGAACCAAGCAAAGGGGTTTCCCCTTAGAAACCACCAGATCTGGTGAGACTAACTCACTACCAAGAGAACAGTGTGGAGGAAACCGCCCCCATGATTCAATTATCTCCCACCGAGTCCCTCCCACAACATGTGGGAATTACGGGAACTACAATTCAAGATGAGATTTGAATGGGGACAAAGCCAAACCATATCACCCAGGAAAGAGAAGCTTGCTGGAAGTAAGGAGGGAGAATGTGATGGAAAAGGAAATGTCAAAGCTAGATGACCTCCTTCACAATTCAGGTCCTTTAGCCTGGTTGGGCACCTAATGGGGAAAAAAGATGGAGTGGAAGCTGATGAGGATTTAGTGAGATGCTGAGCACAAGAAAAGCTGCTTTGGGGGCCCAGCGGCAAAGTGGGATATAGAGTTGTGAGGACTCCTTGACTCTATAAATATGACCCAGCTCTCTCCTGGGAGCAGCTGGAAGTGGGCCTGACACAAACAATGGTGGTATTAGCAGTACGAGAGGAAGGAGAATTTTCCTAATACCTAAGCAGGCACTGGCCAAAGGAAAGGCGAGCTGAAGCAGAAGCCAAGTCGCAGAGTGATGCTTTCTGGTGACTGCGGCCACTGGGCTGGCTTGGGAGCTACCAGAGATACTGCAGAACTCAGGGAAGGAGCATTGAGCTTCAGCCCTGCTGTTAGGCAGGGGAAGGTTGTGGGGATGGTAGACATTTGGGCTGCAATTGTGGATGTGGAGATATGACACACAAAAGTACACTGATGTCAGAGTCCCTGACACAACATAGATGCCCTGAAAAAAACAGGAAGGCCAGGAAAATTTTACACAAGGAGGTGAGAAAGTATTTCTGATTAGTCCTGAATCATAAAAGACAAAATTGATCACGATCACGTACTCTGGGTCACTGAGGTTGTGCTGTCTATATAGGAGAGAGAGATTCATTCATTTGGGGTTGGGGGAAACCAAGGAAGATATACTATTTTGTTTCTGTAATCCAAGTTGACACACTGAACATTTTCAAGCTTTTCAAGAAAAGTTGGAATTCAGCAAGGGCATTTTGACAGCACTGAAATTTATGTCTGGCTGGAATGAGATAGTACTCCACATTTTTAAACAGTTTTGGTCAGAGGAGAAAAATGTAAAATTGGTCCCTAGCTAATGAGGCCCTGATCTTCCTTTTATGGCTCTCTAGTATGCAATTAAGGTTAGCTTCATGTAAACTGCCAGTGCGCTCAGACTTTTAACAGCCTTATGTATGTCAGGAAGGAAAATAAATAGTCCCCTGTTTGTGCTTTATGTGGGGAAATTATTGAGATAAACAGCTTGGGCCTGGCAGGTGTGACTTCTTTCAGCTTAACGTGATGGATTTGCCAGTGGAAGCTAGGCTGATAGCACCAAACTGTTGATAGAGGAAAAACATGGTAAAGATTCTGACAGTTATATAAGCACCAGAGCTAGGCATGGTCTGACTTGTAGCTGTGAGATTCTCAGATTTTCAGTGTCTGAGTATGGAAGAAACTAGAATGCTGAGATAGAGGAGACTCATTCTGCAGGAATAGGTCAAATCCTAGAGCTCTGGAGGAATTTAGAGATAAGGAAGTGAGTCCTAGAAAGGGCTAAAGGCTACCCAGCTATTCAGAATTGGACCCAAGGTCTCCAGAACCCATGCTGTTCCCACTATTCTAAACAGCTTCCAAGCACCTTGACAAATCATGCATTGATGAATTCAGTCTTGGAGACCTGGGTTTGGCCCCTGGTTTGGCCACCATCCCCTTGCTCTGGTCACCCCTTCTATTACCTCCACTATAATCCATATTCTTCACCACCTCTAGCATTTCCTAAAATGCAGTTCTGAGCATGCCTCACACCCTGTCCCCTATTTAAAACCCTTTGATGACCCTCTCTGCTATCAGAATAAAATTTTTAGTATTGCTTAAAAGGACCTTCCAAAGCCTGGTCTGTGCTTACTTATCCATCTCCATTCATAATCTCCAATTCCCTCTCACCTAAACTCTATGCTCTGGTCATTCTGAACTATTTGCTCTTTCCCTAAATGTAGAATAGCCACATAAAACACAGGATCCAGCTTAACTGTATGGACTGTTTGGGTCATATTCATCCTAAAGCATTATTTGGGATTAAAATTAAATAAATTTAAATTAGTCAAATTTAAATTTATTTAATTTTAATCCCAAATAATATTTTAGAATGAATAAATTAATCCTAAAATATTAATAAATAAACAAAATTTAAATGTGACTATATATATATAGAGAGAGAGAGAGAGAGAGAGAGATGGGTCTTGCCCTGTCACCCAGGCTGGAGTGCAGCGGGACGATCCTGACTCACTGCAACCTCTGCCTCCCAGGCTCAAGTAATTCTCATGCCTCAGCCTCCCGAGTAGCTGGGATTACAGGTACGTGCCACCATGCCAGGCTAATATTTTTTTTTTTTTTTGTATTTTCCGTAGAGATAGGGTTTCGCCATGTTGGCCAAGCTGGTCTCAAACTTGACCTCGAGCAATCTGCCTGCCTCAGCCTCCCAAAGTGCTGCGATTACAGGCATGAGCCACTGCACCCAACTATTTTTATTGGTTAAATGTGGCGTAAATCTGGCAACGTTCAAATTGGGCCTGGCTTTTCCTCACCTCTGGGACTTTTTTAAAATGTGCCATCCTTTAGCTGGAACACCAAGCCTCTCTCTCATTGCTTAGCTAACTCATTGAGTCAGAGACTCTAAAGCTTCATTTTCACCTTCCACAGAATGCAGTTATTGCTGGCATGTGACTACCAAGTCAGCAACTATATTTCCAAGCCTTTTGCATCCAGGTGGGCCATGTGACTAGATGTCCCCAGTAGAATGTGAGTGTAAATATGCAGCCACTCATGGGCATAGTGGTTAAGAGGCAGGTGTGCCTACTCTGCCCTATTTTTCCATCCACCAACTGGAAGTAAAGGACTTCCAGGTCCTAGGAGATGATGGAGCTACAAGATGGATGGAGCCTGGGTCCCCAAATCATTGTGAGGAAGGCCACCCACCAAACACATTGGCAGTCCCATGAATGAGAAGTAAACTTCAGTCATGTCAGTGAAATGCGGGGATGTGGGGATTTGTTTGTTACAGCAGCTAGCATTACCTTAGCTAATATACCCATTCTTTGGGTCTGAGTTTTGATATCCCTTCCTCATAGAGGGCACCCCAAACTGGGTTAGTAGCTCCTCTTATGTGCTCTCAACCCTCCCATTCTTATTCCTCCAGTAACACCCACCATGCTGTATTGTGATCAGCTCTTTGCTTGTCTATTTACTTTTTCTGCAGGACAAAAATGTTCCTTGGAGTTTGGTATTATGATTGTGTTGGCTATGGCTATATCTGCAAAGCATAGTACTAATGAACGAATGAATGAATGAATGAGTGGAGCCTTTCCAATTCTTTGAGTCTGTATCCTTATCTTTAAAATTGAGAGGACAGACAAAATGATCTCTAAGATCTCTCCCAAATCTATGATTCAGGAGTCTATAAATATAACTGAAATGGATACCTATTGTTCTGTGTTCCCAGAAACCCCTTTTCCTTGGGAGAAATCTTATTCCATTCCATGTGGTTCTGATGGACTGGGAATCACTGCAATTCATGCACCCCACACTGTCCCATCTTTTATCACCGCAAAGGTGGGCAGGTCACCCAGGCTGGACTATAAAGTTTTACCTTCCTTCAACAGCGATTGGTCAGGGACAGGACCCAATCCAAATTTTTCTCTGAATTTGTATATATATATATGTATTTTCCCTGAAAACACACACACACACACACACACACACACATATATGTAAGTGTGTGTGCATATATATATATATAAAATCTGGGAAAAAAATTTGGATTGGGTCCTGTCTCTGACCAATCACTGTTAAAGGAAGGTGGAACCCTACATACATACATAAATTAAATATATGTCTAATTTATACACACATACATAAATTTATATATGTATATATATGAATATGTATGTATATACATACATATACAAAACAGACTTCAATTTTGTCCACTGGGGTTCCTATAGGCCTCTCAGTGGCAATCTGCCCCATTATTAGAAAAAGAGTATCTACAAAGTGAAGCTAACACATAAGAGAAATCAGAGCCAAGAGACAATGATAAAAATCCATCCTCAATAATATTTTCTAAGTTTCTGGATCTAGCTGTTCCTGAAGCCAGACACCTCCGGACTTCTTCATTATGTGAGTCAGTAAACTCTAATTGAGGCTTGAGCCAAATCTTAGATTCTGCCCCTTACATCAAAAAAATTGCTGACTAATGTTTAAACGTTGTGTTTAAAATAAAATATTCCAGGGACTACACACTGTTTTGCACATAGTAGGTTTAAAACAAAATTTACTGAACTGATAATGAGAAAACAGTAGATAAAATGGGTACGTTAATATTTAATACAAAACATAAAACATGTGCCTACCTCATTGGCGATGAAAGTGAATGAACTTAGGAATATTTTTCAAATTCGGTTTTGTGCTGCAAGGGCAAGCCTAGAGAACAGTTACATCATATAATTTTTAAAATTTGGAGAGCCCTTGTCAGAGGTCACTTGTCCTTTTCTCATTTTCACACAGTACGGAAGGAAGATACGGGTTTGTTTTTTTTTTTAAGTTTTGTTTCAGGTTCAGGGGGTCCATGTGCA
This sequence comes from Homo sapiens, assembly GCF_000001405.40. Classification (NCBI taxonomy): domain Eukaryota; kingdom Metazoa; phylum Chordata; class Mammalia; order Primates; family Hominidae; genus Homo; species Homo sapiens. The sequence goes on along the minus strand of NC_000012.12, from coordinate 105,597,846 downwards.
GGTTTGTTATATAGGTAAACTTGTGTCACATGTCACAGGGGTTTGGTGTACAGATTATTTCATCACTCAGGAACTAAGCATAGTACCTAAAAGTTATTTTTCCTGATCCTCTCCCTCCTCCTCCGCTCCTCCCTCAAGGAGACCCCCGTGTCTGTTGTTCCCCTCTTTGTACCCACTGGTTCTCATATTTAGCTCCCACTTATAAGTGAGAACATGAGGTATTTGGTTTTCTGCATTAGTTTGCTAAGGATAATGACCTCCAGCTCCATCCATGTTCCTTCAAAGGACATCATCTCATTCTTTTTTATGGCTGCATAATATTGAATGGTATATATGTACCACATTTTCTTTATCCATTCTTCTGTTGATGGGCATTTAGGTTGATTCCATATCTTTGCTATTGTGAATAGTGCTGCCATAAACATATGTGTGCATATTTCTTTACGGTAGAATGATTTGTTTCTTTGTGTATATACCCAGTAATGAGATTGCTGGATCAAATGGTAGCCCTGGTTTTAGTTCTTTGAGGAATCACCACACTGCTTTCCACAATAGCTGAACTAATTTTCACTCCCACCAGCAGTGTACAAGGGTTCCCTTTTCTCTGCAACTTCACCAGCGTCTGTTATTCTTTGATATTTTAGTAACAGCCATTCAGACCTGTGTGACATGGTATCTCATTGCGGTTTTCATTTGCATTTCTCTAATGATTAATGACATTGAGTAGTTTTTCATATGCTTGTTGGCTGCATGTATGTCTTCTTTTGAAAAGTGTCTGTTGATGTCCCAGAAGAAGTATAGATTTTTAACAAAATTTGACTGATGATTACAGAAACCAAGTTGGGGCAGCTGCCAGTTGCACAACAACATCCACCTCCTGTCCTGCATAGCCATCTAATTAGGGAGTGGAAATACCCTACCCAAGCTTGAGCAATCAGATCCTATCTACCTGGAACTTGAAGCTTAAATGGAGAGACACAGACTGAAAGTTGGGAGCACTGGGTCACATTAAGAGCCTGTTCCAGCAAGAAGGACGTTGAACTTCTGCTTCTCCATTTCAGGGACTGTTCCCGCCTTTCTGATTCTTATTGTCTATTTATCCTTCCAATCCTATGGGCTTCCCTGCATATTTTTCCAGAATGTTTTTCTTCAGTTAGGCAGCACTGGGTTTTGTTGTTGACAATTAAAGAAACTTCACTGATTCCGATGGGGTACAGGGAGACGACAGTGTGAAGTGGAGATTAGATATTGTTGCCCTGGGGTTCATCAGCCACGCCCATCCCCCAGCATTTCCCCTCCTCTGTGCTCTGCCATGTTGAGGACCAGCCCACCTCCACCATCAGCAGTGCCTACAATTGAAGCCCCCAACTCCCCTCTGACACATAATACTTCCCAGAGTTGCCACTATTTTGCATTGTTATGTAGAATAGTTTAGCTAGTCTGTTGAGCTTCTCTCTGTCTCAAACTTCCCACTCCAGAACAGGATTTTGACTTGACCTCTGCATACTCTGACATTTTGTGTTTTTCTCAAAACAAAAGACCAACATTCCTCCAGGGATGAGTTCTGCTTTTACTCTGACAGAAAAACTGTTGGCAGCTTTAAAATATCAGTTAGTTTCTGCTTCTAGCCCTGAAGATTTCAGACATATTGGAAGTCAGACCCCCAGTCCCTTGTCATAGAAATACCCACGTGCCTTGCTTGTTTAAAACACCATATTGCACCAAGAGAGGTGCACCTGGGCTTCCTGCTTCCTCATTTTCTTACAAACTTGTTTCCCTCCCTTGAGAATTGGGTACCTCCTTTGATGCTTCTGGCTTCTCCTACAGGTTACATGACTTAGTACATAATCATGTCCTTTTGTTTCTCTCCAAGCTCTTTCAGCAATTCAGACCCAGGGAGAGAATCCAGAGTAGAAAGGCTTCTCTCTCTCTCCAGACTCCCCCCAGGCATCTGGCGTTCCTCACACAGCTGAGGTGGACTGGTGGCATGGTGACAGGCAAGTGGGAAACAGGCCACCATTCAGGTGGTCTGCTGCTCGTGATCCACTGTGGGCTGAGGAGTGAAGCATCAAGCAATCCCGGCTGTCCAGCAAGAAGGCTGACACGTCTCCAGGAGAGAAAGGAGAGGCAGTCCTCCCCAGAGGGCAGGCAGTGAGCCTCACCCTCTTCCCATGGCATCACACAGCTCAACTGCTGCCAAGGAGGAGCGACTGTCTTTCTGCACCAAGTAGGTCACATTGAGTTGCCCAACAAAATGCCAGAAGGCTGTGTCTATGCCTGCTGGACAGTCATCGTGGCAGAGGGGCCAATCATCTGCAAATGAGGAGTCTCACTTTGGCATTCTGGGGGGTGGAAAAGAAAAGGAGCCAATGATGGCTTATTGGCTGCCAGACTGTGCCATAAAGCAATAGTGCAGAAGAGGTCCAAGATGGCAGCTCATCTGCCGACCAAATGCTTGGAAATTATTTCATAGTTTGGAAGAAGATCTTGAGCTCCAGGTGAGCTCAAGATTTTATTTCAGTGGCCCAAACAGTTGCACTTTCCTGACTGTTAATGGAGATGGGTGGACTGGATCTTGGAATCATAGAATATTAGAGAATGAATGAGCCACTGAAGTAGCTCCCTCATACCATGGATGGGCAAACAGAGGCTGATTCATGTAGTCAACATGTGTTTATTGAGACTTGCTATGTACCAGGTGAAGTGGTAGGTGCTAGGCATAAAATGGTGAGCAAAAGCATCCACAGCCCCTCACCTCAAGGAGCTTACAGTGCAGTGGAACAAAGAAGGAGATATTTATTGGATAATAACATGTATAAATATTTAACGCAAACAAATGACTTCTGTAAAGAGGGACACTGTGTACTAAGGACGTATTTAAGACACGCCTGACATGGTCATGGCATCCCTATAAGGAAGTCCTCTCAGATCTAAGACTTCAAGACGGAATAGGACTTACCTAGATGAAGGGGTGCTTGAAGACAGGGAGAGGCAGAGAGAGAGAGAGCATGTGCAAAGGGCCTGAGTCAAGAGAGGGCAGGGGATGTTCAGGAAAGTACAAGCACCCAGGGGGGTAAGGGACTGGACTAGAGAGAGGTAAGCAGGGGGTAAAGCTAGATGGGACCAGAGAGGGAGGCAAGAGGCCTGTGCAGACAGAGTTTTGAAAGGTTAGTGTGGTCCACAGAATTCTAAGGTGAGACACAAGATTCCTACACCCTGCAATCTCCTCTCTTTGAGTATGAGCAGGTGGGACCTGGGAATATCATGGAAAATCAATCCTGAAGTTGTGATATACTAAATGGCAAAAGAGTTTCTGAAGGTAGTTGTCATTGATTTAATCAGAATAAAGATTTTGCTTTAATCTTTTTTAAGGTATCAGGTAGGACTGACCTGATCAGGTGAGCCCTTAAAAAAGACGAGAAGCAGCAGCAGACACTCTCTGCTGGCCTGGAAGAAAGGAAATGACCATGGCGTGGACTGCCTATGGAGAGGACCATGCAGCTGAGTCCTGAGGGCAGCCTATAGGAGCTGAAATTGACCCCTAGGCAGGAGCCAACAAGTAAACAGGGACCTCTGCCTTACAACCACCACAAATGAATTCTGCCAAATGCCTCAATAAGTTTGGAAGAAGATCCTGAGCTCCAGGTGAGACCCCTACAGCCCCAGCCAACGTGTTGATTTCAGCCTTGTGAGGTCCCAAGCACCCTAAGCAGAGAACCCAACTACCCCAAGCCCAGACATTTAACCCAGAAGAAACTCGAGATAACTAATAGATGTTGTTTTAAGTCCCTAAGTTTGCAGTAATTTGTTGTGCAGTGATAAAAACTAATACAGCCATTTAAATATTTTGGTATTTATTTTTAGAGGATTAGGAAGTCCCTGGAGAATTTTAAGGAGGATCCAGGAGGGAGTAACATAATCACATTGGATTTCTGAAATCCTGAGGCTGTCATATGTAGGATGAATAGGAAAGGTGCACAGGAGGAAGGCAGAGTCCAGTAAGGAGGTCAGAGTTGATGGTGCTTCTGACAGTAGGGATGGAGTTGGTCAAGAGAGTGGTAGACAGAAAAAATGTTCAGGCAGTAACCAAAGAAAACTCTCAGATCCTTACCTTTTGGAGATATATTTGGAAATGTTTGCTTCAAGATAATCCAGACAGTGGGTAAGAGTATAGATGGAACAAAATTTGTCATGCTTTAATAATCGCTCAGGCTGAGCAGCAAGTATACCATGTTTATTATACTTTTATCTCTATTTTGTGGGTATACAAATATATTGATTTTTAGGTAAAATGTATACACAGTGAAATACACAGATTTTAAGAATTCATTATGACAAATTTTGACAAAAACATATACTTACATGACCCACACTCTCTGATATGGTTTGGCTCTGTGTCCCAACCCAAATCTCATCACAAACTGTAATCCCCATATGTCAAGGGAGGAACCTGGTGGGAGGTGATTGGATCATGGAGGCGGTTTCCTCCCATGCTGTTCTCGTGATAGTGAGTGAATTCTCATGAGATCTGATGGTTTTATAAGTGGCAGTTTCCCCTGCTCTTCTCTCACCTGCCAACATGTTTGACGTGCCTGCTTTCCTTTCCACCTTGATTGTAAGTTTCCTGAGGCCTCCCCAGCCATGCAGAACTGTGAGTCAATTAAACCTCTTTCCTTTATAAATTACCCAGTCTCATGTATTTCTTTACAACAGTGTGAAAATGGACTAATACACCCTCTGTCAAGATAGAGCAGTTCCATCACCCAAGAAAGTTTCCTCCACCCCTTACCAGCCAATCTCAGGCCCCCATCCAGGGTCAACTACTGTTGTTCTGATTTCTGTTGTTGTAGATTAGTGTTTGCCTATTCTAGAACTTCATATAAATGGAATCACACATGTTCTTTCTTGTGTCCCGCTTCTTTCACTCAGTGTAATGCTTTCATGATTTATCTATGCTGTTGTATCTATTAGTAGTTAATTCCTTATTATTGCTAAGTAGTATTCCATTGTATGGCTATCTTAGGTCGTTTAAATATTATCCTATTGATGGAAAGACATATGGATCATTTCCCTATTTTAACAATTATGAATAAATCTGCTATGAAATATGCTTGCGTGAGTCTTTTTGAGTACATATGTTTTAATGTCTCTAGGATGGACTTTCTGGGTAATAAGTAAAGGCATGTTTAATTTTATAAGAAACTTCCATACAGGTTTCCAAAGTGGTGGTACCTTTTTAAACTTTCACCAACAATTTATAAGAGTTCTAGTTGTTCCACATCTCATTTGTATTCAGTGCTGTTGACCCTTTGTGTGCAGGGAAGGGAGGCTGGCTTGTTGATGCCAGCTGTCCATTTGCCTGGAAGTTAATAATGTTGAACTTTCTTTTCTATGTCTATTGGTGATATGAACGTCTTTTTTAGAAAGTACCTATTCAATTCTTTTGCTATTTTTAATGAGGTTCACTGTCCAATGGAGTTGTAACAGTCCTTTAAATATGGGCACAAGATATGGGCATATCTCCTTGTCAGAGATATGTATGGAGAATATTTTATTACAGTCTGAACTTTACCTATTCAATTTTTATAATGATGTCTTTTAATAAGCAGGCTTTAAAAAATAATAAAATTCAATTCAATTGTTTATTTTTGCTTTAGAGTTATTTTTTTCTGTGTCCGCAAGGAGGCCAAGATATTCTCCTATATTTTCTTATAGCGTCATAGTTTTAGCCTTTATTTTTAAGGTTTGTGTATGGTGTAAAGTAAGAGTTGAGTTTCCCTTTTTTATATACATTTATGCAGCTGTGATACATCAGGTGCTACAGTGGTAACCAGAGGGGCCGTTGGGCCAAAGAAAAATATTTTGTTTTGTTTTTGTTTTTATGGTGGTTGTTCAAATGATAGAGATCTCGGTATATTTAAATGACAGTGGGAAGGATTCAGTAGAGGCAGAGAAGGTGAACCCATAGGAGATCAACACATATGGCTCCTGAGGATGGAGGAAGGGCCAGGACACAGAATGTAGGAAGGAAGCATGGCCTGAGATGAGAGGGATCACCTCCTCATGCAAGTGTGAAGAGAGAGCTGAAGGTTTGCAACAGTCACTGTAAAAAATGGAAGGATCCCTATGCAGTTGTTAAGTATGAATTCACAATGATGTTCCTCTGCCTTATTGCATCACTGTTTTTTGTTTTGTTTTGTTTTGTTTTGTTTTGTTTCCTAGCAGTACACACAGTCACTTGAATTTGAAATCAAATGTTTGGATTCATCCAGGGTCTAGGTGAGATGAAAAGTAGAGGGGCAAAGAGTTATGGAAATCATGCACTGAGGTGCGTACACTGGCTCGAGTTGTCTATCAGTGAGGAATGACCATTGGGTGTATGTAAAAGAAGCCAGAAGTAAAAGGGGGCTAAACAACTATGAAAAATGTAAAACCATCAATGTCCTTCTTTACCTTGGTTTCTGTCTTACATGAAAGAAGCTGGAAGTAGACAATGCAAGATGAGTTTGTCACCAAGAACCCAGGTTCATCTTTCTCTTTCACTGTTCCTTGTGTACAGTTTCCAGTCATAAAGTCAATTTGCCACCCAAGATGGCTGCTGGAACTCCAGCCAGCACATCCACGTTGCAGGCAAGAAGTAGTAAAAACAGGAGAAAGGCTGTAAAGGGCACATGCCTGCTGTCTGACAAACTTTTAAAGGGCTGATCTCCTGCAAACCCTACCCAACAACTTCCTGTTACATTTTTGGCTACCCCTACATACAAAGAGGCTGGGGAGTTTAGCTTTTTAACTAAGCACGTTGCCTCCCAGAATAAAATCTGGAGTTTATAATCACAGGAAGAGGGCAATCATAAATGTTGGGTAGGCAAATTACAATTTCTGCAACTGGAGAGAAATTTAAAAATGGTGGAGGTGAATTGGGAGAACATAAAGGATTCAGTGGACTGTAAATATCAATGAAGACCAGGAACATGAAGGATAGGAAGGGAGTTGTTGTGTAATAAAGTTAGAAGGATAGGAGGCTGCTGTAAGAGAGAAGGACTATGAATCATTAGCCCATAAATTAGAGAAGATTCAAGCAATAACTAGATCATGACTGTGAACCCGGGATTTCACAGCACAGGTGGAGTGGAAAAGAAAGTCAGTGGAAGTTAGATGATCAAAGAACTGAAATAATTCCAGGCAAGTCAGGACTTGAGAAGGAAAGAGCAGTAAACAAGGTGTCAATGTGTTTAGGGAATGTCCAAGAGACCAGTAGCTGGCAAAAATGAAGAGGAAGCTGATTTACTTAGGAGGAATGTAACTTAAAGGGTCAAGATTTTTACCAGCCCACCTCCAGACCTGGCAGTATGTGAGAGATTTAAGAATAAAGAAACTTCACTTAAGAGGGCTACAAAGAAGCACGTCTTCCGGGGCAGGAAGTGGATGGTTGTGGAGCTCAAAATAGTAATTGAATATAAAGGGAAGTCAGATTTTGTAGATGTTCCTAGAGGGCAGGGTTCAAGGGACTGGGAGGTATAGAGGCAGAGGACTGCTGCAGATGCAAAGAAATACAAGGCACCCTGTGATTAAACTATGGAGGAGCTCACCGACAGAAGGTGGAGAGAGGCTGAAACTTTGGGAACCAACTGAAAACAAGGATGAAAGTTCAAGTTAAATTTGGTCTCTTTTAGCAGGGTAGGCCCTTGGTTAAATGGCCAGATAACTTGGCTGACTCTGCCAAGAGAGGTTGTGAGCTGCCCCAGGTCTCAAAGTCATATGTGGCAAATTGGAGGCTGTCCCCCGGTCTCCTGATTCTCAGCTCTAAAACACGATCCCACAGTCACAACCTAAGAAAAAGGGAAACGCTCCTCTCATGGGTCTTCTTTCATTCATGTATGTGTTCCAGGGGCCACCACTGTCATTGTGTCCTAGTTGGAGGACATGCCATAAAGTTATGCCCCAGGACAGTGATGGGTCCGTCATTTCCTCCTTCATATGTAGAGCACTTTGCAGAATAGCAAACTAGCAGGAGGCAGGCTTGTCTTCTCTTAACATAGACTTCTTCAGGAAGATTCTTTCTAGGAATTAGGGTCAGGAAAAAAAAATCCTTCCATCTTTGCTTTCATTAAACTATGAAAAATGTAAAACCATCAATGTCCTTCTTTTCCTTGGTTTCCAGGAAATGTAGACTTAAAACTAAAAACCTAATTGTCGCAGGTTCTTGAAATGAAGAACTTAGGTATATCTCTCTTAAGTAATTTCGAACATCTCTTTGTTAAAATGATCCTGTTTTATGAGCTTTAATACTATCAACCACACTTCAAATTCTCTTTCAATAACAAATAAGACATACATTTTATTGCTCAGAATTCAAGAAATTGTTAAATAAGATTACAAAGGCTGGGCGCAGTGGCTCATGCCTGTAATCCCGGCACTTTGGGAGGCCGAGGTGGGCGGATCACCTGAGGTCAGGAGTTCGAGATCAGCCTGACCAACATGTTGGAACCCGATCTCTACGAAAAATACAAAAATTAACCAGGCATGGTGGCAGGCACCGGTAATCCTAGCTACTCAGGCAGGAGAATCGCTTGTACGCAGAGGCAGAGGTTACAGTGAGCTGAGATCATGCCACTGCACTCCAGCCTGGGCAACAAGAGCAAAACTCCCTCTCAAAAAAAAAAAATGAGTAAATAAATAAGATTACATAAAGAGCTCTCAGAAATCAATAGGAAAAATTGAGCATAGTAACAGAAAAAGTATGACAAAGATAAAAATAGGCAATTCAAAGAGGAAAAACAAATGGCAAATAAACATAAAGATATTCAAATGAACAATAAAAAAGAGATACAGATTTTAAAAAATAATAGGTGGTTGCACATACCCATCAGACTATGAAAGATTAGCAAGACTGACAAAACTTAATTTTGGACAAGGTGTTGGGAAAGGGGTAGTCTCATGAGCTCTGGAAAGAGCATGCATCAGTAAGCACTTTCTGAAGGGCAGATATTAAGTGTCAAAACTTTTAATGTATTTTTTGACACTGAAATTCCCCATTTCAGAATGTATTCTATGAAAATCATTACACGAACACATAAGAACATATGTTCGTCACACAGTGTTTTAGACCAGGGAAAGTTATAAACAATCTAAGTGTCCATCTCACTGGTAAAAAAGAATACTATGTAGTCATCCAAGTGCTTATGAAGTTCTACATTAACACAGGAAAATGTTCACAGAAAATTATTGAGTGAAGCAGCAATTACAGAGCATAATGTATACCATGTTCTCACTTATGTAAATGTATATATCTTTAAATAGGACTATTTGCATATTCACCAGATTCCTGAAGTTCTGGGTGATAGAATTTGTGATTTCTTCTTTATAATTTTTCACGATTTCTGTATTTTTCTTAATAATGGCCAGGAATATATTTTGTAATCAAATGGAAAAAAAAAAACAATTTTATTTTGGAGTGAGGGCACATACGTGCCAGTGAGCGAGAGGAATGACCCACACAGGGAGCGTGGCTGGAATGTCATTCTCAGCAAGGGAAGCCCTTTCAGTTAATGGTGCATGGACCTTGCCATGCATGCTAATGGGAGATTGGCCAGATCCTGAACCTGCCTCCTCTCCAGCTTCACTCACCTCTGCCCTGGTGAGTCTGAGCCTGAGACTCATCATTTTGTGAAACAGGATTTTAGCAACTTGCCTCAAATCATGGAAGTAAAAGGTGAAGAACACCTGAATTTGAATGCAGGTAGCTGAGTCCGGAGGCTCTGCATAACTGCTCCTCTAAACAACATTGACTTTGCCCAGGAGAGCTGAGCCGCAAGCCTTAGTTTTCTCCCTCAACGTCTTATTACAAATTTGTATCCCAGCTCCTGAAGACTTTGCTGCAGCCCTTTCTTTATTACCAGACATTTGCTTTAGATCGGTGCCATCCAATACAGTAGCCACTAACCCCATGTGGCTGTTTAAATTGAAATTAACCAAAATTAAATTTTAAAACTCAATGTTTCAGCTGCAATAGCCACTTTTCAAGCACTCAATACCACACAGAGCTAGTGGCTTCTATAAGAGGCAACACAAACATAAAATATTTCCATCATCACAGAAAGTTCTGAGCTCTGGGAGGTCAGGAATGGTGTCTAGCTCACCACTCTGTTCTCAGCAGCTGGTTGAGTGTCTGATACCCAACAGACCCTCACTGAAAGAGTAAGAAATTAATGATTCCATCCATCAACTCCAAGCACGTTGATGCTAGGTGGGAAAGGCATTTAGCAGGAGCTAACTTTTAAGCCAAGTCCCAAAGGTAATTATATAAATGGGTGGGTAAAGAGAAGGGTAGAGCATTCCGGATGGGGAAAAGACATTGATTTAGTGAGAAATGTGAAGGGACTTGGCACCGCCGAGCTATTGTTCTCAAGCTCTTTTCTTGCTGCCAATTAGAAATCATCCTAGGCGGTGTTTTCTTATCAGGCTTCCTCCAGTGTGCACACAACCTGATTTGGTATTGTAAGGTCTGCTCTGACTAACTGGGCTCTTGGCAGTTCAACAGTCAGGCAGTTTTAGATTTTTTAAAATTTTGTTTTGTTTCATTATTAAGTTTTGATTGGAGCTGAAAGCATATACCCCAAAGAACTACAAGAAGTTTTCCAAGAGACCTTTAATCCAAATGCCCATTAGTTCAAATGTTCATATAATCATTATCAAAATGGGTGTCCCTTAAATGGCCCTGGGGTGTAGAGGAGGCAGCTGAATTCTGTACAGGAGCTTTGTTCAATCCCCTGGCACGAGATTCCAAGCCAGTTACTTCAGGAGGCATAAAAGCAGAGTTGGTCACAAACTAGTTCTAAGAATCATCCTTTTTTCTTCCCCCAAGTTTAATATTGACCTAGACTACATGCGGTTGAAACCCAGCTTTGCCACCTATTAGCTGTGTAACATCTCTAAGCCTTTATTTCCTTTTCTGTAAAATGAAAATAATAGACATGTTAGAAGTATTAAGTAAGCTAATGCTTATAAAGTGCTGTGATGGTTAATTTTATATGTCAACTTGACTGGGCCCCAGGGTGCCCAGATATTTGCTTAGACATTGTTCTGGGTATATCTGTGAGGGGGCTCCTGGATGAGATGAACATTTGAATTGGCAGACTGAGTAAAGCAGACTGTCCCCTGCAACGTGGATGGGTCTCATCCAATCCATTGAAGGCCTGAATAGAGCAAAAAGGCGAAAAAGGGAGAATTCTCTCTCTCTGCCTATCTTCAAGCTGGGACATCAGCCTTTTCCTGCCTTGAGATTCAGACTCAGCCTAACACTTAGACCATTAGCTCTTTGGATGCTTGGACTTAAACTCAGACTGGAACTCACACCATCAATTGAACCTGGTTCTCAGGTCTTTGGCCTCAGACTGGAACTATACCGTAGGCTCTCCAGGGTCTCCAGCTGGCTGACTGCAGATCTTGGGACTTAGTCTTCATAACCACATGAGCCAATTCATCTATCTATCTATCTATCTATCTAATCTCTATCTATCTCCTCTTAGGTCTGTTTCTCTGGGGAACTCTGACTGATAACAAGTTCTTAGTACAATGCCAAGTACATAGTAAGCACTATATAGGAATTTATTGAATACATAATACATAACAAAAATGTATATGTTTTTGCCATATTTTCAAATACATTTCTGCAATTGACAAGTGTTATTAAGGATGAAAGTCATAATTATAATTATTACATTAACTATTTTTTATTAAGCTCCTAATAAACACTAATCTTTACAACAATCCAGAAATGCCTCTCTATTACTCCATCCTCTACCTCACTTCTATCTTGATCCAAACCACCATCACTCCATGCCTGCACTAGTTCAGTAGCCACTTATCTGATCCCCTGGTGTCCACTCTGACCTCCCATAGGGTATCAGGGGTGTCTTTTAAAATAGTAAATCAGAGCTCATCATCTCCATATCCAAAACCTGCCAGTGACTACCCATCTAATAGAGTGGCCGAGCTGGATTCAATTTTGTCATAAGTAAGAATTTAAGATGATCACTATATCCAAAACACTATGTGTCTTATGCTATTATTTTCCCTTTACCAGAGTGAGTAAATTGAGGTTCAGGGAGAATACGTTGCTTATCAAAGGCTGCTCAGTAAGTTAGTGACGGGGCAAGGATTTGAGCTCTGTCTGTCTAAATCCATAATTGTTGTTCTCAATCACAGTGATGAATGGATGGCATGTAATTAAAGAGTGCAAGGACCCCACACCACAGGTGTTCTCCACCCATTTCCAGGCCGGGAAGTTTGGGAAGGGTCAATGTTAACCTCTTGATCACCTTTCCCCTGTCACAGACAGGAGAAAGGATATGGGGTGTTCTCTCTGGTCACAGGCTCCAGCTCCTTGGATGGCAATGAGACTCAGTCCCCACAGAGCTTTCCTGTAGGCTTCCCTGTGCACCTCCTGCCTGCCTCCTTCCATGGCTCAGCTTAACTTTCCCATTGCCCTGTCTTTGTACTCCTTCCCCAGAATGTTCCTAGCCTTGACACAAAAGAAATGCCTAAGCCACAGCAAACATCCATCTGAAATATCTGACATTCCGTGTCCAGTAACATAGCAGGAGGAACTCTGATACACAGACACCCTACTGATTCTGTGTTTATGTTGTCCTTTGAGACAGACTAGCTGGGTAATAAAATGATCCCAACCTCCAGTGTATGATTTCTACCATTTGGATGCCCGTTTCACGTTAATCAGTAATCAACTTTTCAGTCTAATATTATGTATTCTTCATTCCTGATTATTACGAATAACTTAATTCAACTATTTTCATGGTTCATGTATGTATTTTATTTTATATTTAAATATTTTTAGATTCATATATAGTCTTATGTATTGTATATATCATATGATTACATGTCTATGACTGCAACTTAGTTACTAGCTAAATGCTGACAACTCCCAAATTTATACCTCCATTCCAGACATTGCTCCTAAGTTCCAGACCCATATATCCAGCAAGCCACTCAACATCCCACTTTCATGTCTCCCAGACATAAAAGTTCAGCAAGTCCAAAACTAACTCATGATCTCCCTTCCAGAGCCTGTTTGTCTTCCCATGCTCAGTAAATGTCAGCCACCCTCCCACCAGGTGTTCAAGCTAAAAACCGAGATGCCATCCTTGGCACCACCTTAGCATGCATTCCCAAATCCTGACTACCTTGCCTCTTAAACTCATTCAATTATCAGTCTACTCATTTAACAATTATTTATTTTGCAGCGTTGTATTAAAAATGAATGATATAATGGTAAACAAGATAGACATGTCCTTGTCTCTCAGAGCTCATAGTCATAAATCACAACAGCACATTTTGGTGAATGAATGAAGAGAGTTTTACACAGGATTGAGACTTCATATAGTTTCATTAATGGGCAATCACATATTCTGTGTTAGATCTCATCATGGACCATCTATAAAGAGGTAAAGTATAGTGTCTAAAGGCATGAACTTTAAAATCAGAATTATCTGATCAATAAGTTGATATGCTTTTATTACACACCTATTACATGCTAAGCACTTCGTAGGCATTAGGAATTCGGCTAACAATAAGCAAAGTCTTTGCACCCCCAGCATCTTGGAACACTTTCCTGGGTTTGAGAAACTCCCCATCTTGATGGACTGACAAATTTATTCCCTCTAAGGAAGACATAAGCTTACTTCCTCAAAGTCCCTTGCAGCTAAGTTGCAGGCATGTAATCTGGGCTCAGCCTATCAGAAGCCTCCATAAACTATTTGACGCAAGGAAAGTGGTATCAGGAACAATTTGTTTAAACAAGTGTGGTAACAGCTACATCCATCTCTCAGAGGCAGTAGTAGGAGATGTTTTAGCATAAGTGACCTAGTGGTTACCTTAGGAGTATAAGGTGTTGAACTAATTCAGTGATTCAGCCGGTGACTTGGTGAGCATTTCATGTTTGGTTCACCAGGGTCACTCAATATCTTTTATAAAATTTCTTATTTGTTTCCACTAACCAATATTGGGTTCTGTTGTTTGTAACTAAGAATCCAAGGTGATACACCTAGGTTGAATCTCAGGCCTTCAATATATTAGCTGGATGTTTCTGGGTAAATTATTTAACTTCTTTCACCCTCAGTTTCCTCATCTGCAAAATGAAAAATATTCAGTGCAATAACTCATGGGCTTGTTGGGAAGGTTGGTGGGGGTTTTCATTAGAATTTTCCAGCCTTGATGTCTCAATATGCTCTTCTTAAATAACTGTCATTCTAAGAATTCAAGGAATGGATTTTTGTTTCTCTCCCTTCTTTGGTTCCTTCTACCTTTTCCTGGGCAGAATCTTCTGGAGCTTCCAGTCAATTCATGCAACTTTGAGAATTAGAACCAGGCCTCCTGTAAAGAAGGTAGGATTCAGAGGAGTCAGGCAGACCTGGGTGTAATCCTTGATCTGCCACCTCCCAGCTGTATAAGCTCAGGTGAATCGCTCAGCATTGCATTGCACATTTTAATTGCAGAATGTGATTTTCCATGTCCCTGCACACATCACCAAATTCCGGAAAATGAACCCCTTGTAATGTAAGTGCTATTGTTTGCCAGTGGTTTATCGGATAGCAGGGGAAAATAGCCATGCTGTCATACCATCAGCTCCTTTGACTCAGCATTTAACAGTTTGCCGTGTTTCTATATCATTTGATATTCACAACAACCTGGACTGAGCTGTGCAGAATCGCTGTCCTAATTGCCACTTCACAGAAGAAATTGACAGTCAGAGAAGTTGAGTCCAAGTCAGTACTTTTTCTGCTATACCCAAGTTTTAGGGGTGAACAGGACATTTCAATTATATATTTTGTCTTCTGGACTCAAAATGATATTTAAAAGACAATCAATTGGCCAAGTCTGGTAGCTCATCCCTATAATCCTAGCACTTTCGGAGGCCAAGGTGAGGAATTATTTGAGCCCAGGAGTTTGAGACAAGCCTAGGCAACATGGGAAACCCCCTCTCTACCAAAAAAGATACAAAAATTAGTCAGATGTGGTGGTGCGCACCTGTAGTCCCAGCTACTGGGAAGCTGAGGTGGGAGGATCGCTTCAGCCATCGGGGTGAGCTGAGATTATGCCACTGCACTCCTGGGCGACAAAGCAAGACTTCATCTCAAAAATAAATAAATAAATAAAATAAAACTAACCAATGTTAAAAATAAATAAAGGAATAAAATACAATACACTAAAGCTGCTAGTTTTCTAGTATATTCGATGTTAATCTTTTGAACACCTTCCTGCTTTTGGAGGAACTCCCTATTAGGTGATCTGACTATGAAAACCAAAGAGGACTCTCCCTGCTCCCTGGTTGCTGAACATGGGCACACAATCTAAGAACAGTCAACAGGGTATTCCAACTCAAGTCTGTGGCGATTAAGCAAGCAATCCAATGACACAGAGGAAATTAGGACTTTAACTCAAATGGCAGCAAGTTCACTCCTAGAAGCCTGAGGGTCCAGTGGTGGCAGCAGTGGTGACATAGTGGCAGCCTGCTAGCAAGCACCTTCTGCTGGGGGTCTTCAGCTGTGGCCTAACTCCCTGGGATACATGCATTTCCTGAGCTGGTTCTCTGGTCTTCCATCAATTTTGGAAGCTACTCAGTATCTTTTCAATACGTGCATTTTCTTGTTACAGTATGTTCCTTGCATGCCATAACCCTAAGTGGTACCCCCAGGGAAGCAACCACATGACCTACTGAGATGTTCTCTCTAATGCATCTGGCCTCAGAGTAGGATTTATGGGAAGACTGGTCTGACTTGAGCTCCCTCCAACCTCCAAAGTCTGGAAGACTTTTTTTGTTTTGCTTTGTTTTTTGAGATGGAGCCTTACTCTGTCACCCAGGCTGGAGTGCAGTAGCACAATCTCGGCTCACTGCAACCAGGCTCACTTCCCGGGCTCAAGCAATTCTTCTGCTCAGCCTCTCGAGTAGCTGGGAATACAGGTGCCCACTACCACACCCTGCTAATTTTTGTATTTTTAGTAGAGATGGGCTTTTGCCATGTTGGCCAGGCTGTTCTCGAACTCCCAACCTCAAGTGATCCACCCACCTTGGCCTCCCAAAGTGCTGGGATTACAGGAGTAAGCCACCGTGCCCGGCCTGTAAGACTGAGTCGCAAAGGTGCTTTGAGTCACCTACAGGATAGACCCACATACCAAGGATCACAAAGACAATGGGCCAGCCAGCCTCCTGTGTCCTGCGGACCTATGTCCTGTGTTTACACTGTCAATTCTACCACCACATACAGACAATCTCAATACACATACAATTCATGACAAACCAGAGCCAGTCTAGTAAAAGAATGCCTGAAAGAGCACCGTGAGAGAGCATTTTCAAAATGTTTGTAGTGAGCAGCTACCACTAAGAAGGAAGTGGGCATGGGCTCAGAGCAAAAGAAAGACAAATTCATTAGAAAGCCCGGTGTAGGCTGTTTAAGAGCTTCCTCGTGCAGAGCAGACACTTTGTGATGTCTATAATTTCAGAGTGTTCAGATAAGTCCTGTTATTTATCAAAAGGAAGAGGCCCATAAAACTGCAATTAGGCTATGACGGAATCTTCCCAAACTATTAAAGCCTACCTCCCGTGGGTCTCGCAAGCACACTTCACACATTGAATGGCTTTCAAAGCAGTTTCATAAGCTCACTATTATCATCTTTGTGTTTATTTTATAGATGAGGAAACTGAAACTCAAAGAGGTTAAGTGACTTGCCCAGGGTCACACAGGTATTAAGTGGCAGAACTGGGAATTGAGCCCAGGTCCGCCTGGCTCCAAAAGCCACATTCTTTCCACTAACCCACGGTGCTGTTTTCCTTCCCAAGGCAATTGTCAAGGCAATTGTCAAGATCCTTTGCCAAGAAGTGCTAACAACTCATGTCTGACAGTGGATGAACAGGAAGTCTCTCAGTGGCCTAGTGACATGTGGGAGTGGCAGACCATGAGATGTGAGTGTGTAGGGATGGGCCAGGCTGTCAGAGAGGCCAGGTGATTTCTGGCTTGGTTGTTTTTCTCTGGAAAAAGTCTTGGTGGGGTCATTAATTCAGGAAGTGTGAGGAAGAGAGAGAGGAGCATGGGGTAAGGCTAGGAAGAAGGCAAGGGGAGAGAGAGAGGTTTTGCCCTCATACATAACCTCCTTCCTCTCCTGAATGGAGGTTGCAGGCTCCAAATCTGAAAGAGCAGCTCCCCTCTGGAAAAGCCCCTTCAAAAGCCCCTCACAGCCCCAGCTTTCCCCGACCTCTGAGGCTCTCCTGCAGTGCCTGTCCTGGCAGACACCCTTCCTCATGCCTGTTCCTTGGCTGGACCAGAACCTCTTTGGGGTTGTATTAGGCAACATAGCTAGACATCACTTGGGCTAAGAGGTAGGAAATGGAATAACTTTGAGCCTTGAACAGGGTGTCCTTGGAGATGATTTTATTAACGTGTGACTTGCTTCAATTCAGAGCCCTCTGAGGGCACAGTCTACCCTGCCTGCCAGCAGCCCAGACAGAATGCCTGAAGGAACAGAGGTTTCAATGAAAAGTGCAGCCTCTTGAAGCAAGGACAGAGCTGTCCTTACAAAGGACTGATCTCCCCTGAAGGGACGGCCACATCCCACACTGATTATGAGTTGACTATGATGAAAACACGGGGAACATTCGAGGGACAAGTTTGCCCCACTCTAGATAGTCATTGTGATGAGGGAGCAATAACACACCGGGCCACTTGTCCAACCTCTTAGCACTCCCTGAGGAGACAGAGTGAGCCACCTGGCTGGTAAACAAGAGCCAGTCGTCTATCTTTCTTTAATGGGTGGTGCTGACCCATCAAAGATCTCGAGGAGGGAGACTTGGCCTCTCTTCCTCCATCCTTCCCTACCTGGAGAAGTGTGTGGCTTTGCAGATTCCAATTTGCCCTCAGGTTGGTTGCTCCAAGGTCCAGTCTCAGTGCTGGAAGTCAATAAGCCCCTGTGGGTTCTCACTCCAAGTCCTTGCTCCAGTCATACAGATGAGGATTGGGCCCCATTTTCCTCACTCCTTTGTCTTGGTTCAGAATCAGAAGGGAAAGAGGCAATATTGATTTGTGTCTTCTCAAAATCCCAGTTATAAAAAGTGGTAGCTCTTATTGTTAGTATCATCATCATCATGCTTCTGAGGCAAATCGATGAACAACGAAAACTTAGGATTTTCATCTCTGTTGGTTTAGTCAGAGATGTTCCAATGGGTTTGGGCCATAATCCTGAAAGAATTCCTAATGCCACGATCCCAAATGTTGAAATCCCAAAAGACCAAAATCCCTAAAGTCTAAAATCTTGAAAATTATAATCCTGAAAGATAAAAATCTTGAAAATACAATTCTGGAAAAAATAATTTAAAAAAAAACTCTTTAGAATACATTTATTTACATTTTTAAAAGAGGATTTATTTGAGAAACATACAAGAACATGACAGAATACTTTATAATTTACTTTATGCAATTAAAATAGCCAATAATAGAATACATATTTTTGGAGCACAAACACTTAAGTGTGCTTAGGACAGTCACAAGGGTATAATAGTTACAAGCAGACAAGCCAGATTTATAGGGAAACAGGTCAAAAAGTGAATTGTATAAACACATATCACTATCGTTGGTAATTGTGTGCACCCAGCTTTATAATTGCAGTCACTGAAATATCATGATGGACAACCTAAGTCATTTGACAAGATAGTTAAAAAACCTCAGTGGGTCATCACCACAGCACAGGCAAGTTACCCAAAGAGCTGAGTTCTAGAATTTTACCTTTCACAAGTGCAAATGTACAAAAAGGACATCTCTCATTTATTGAGGAAGTTTCCACATTTTTACGTACACATATAATGCTTACGCACAAAGCCAACATTGTGATAATGCACCTTCATGGAGTCAAATCTTCAAAAAAAAATACATAAAATGAATTAGAACTCTTTAAAAAGCCTTTACACAATCTATACCTCCAGTATTGAAAATGATGCAAAGATGAAATATATAACATAGCAAATTGTAAAAGATAACACTGATAATTTTAAGTAGTGGTGGAAAAAAACTTTAAAAAAGAAAGAAAAGAAAAAACTAAAACAAAACAAAAAAGAAGCTTTGACATGAAAAAGTGTATTACAAGGACAGATTATGGGCAATTGCACGGAGACAGTCCATAAGAGCTGCCCAACTTTTACAATCATTAACTATGTTTTGAAGTCTTGCATCGAGATGAATAGCTACTTTTTTTTCTTTTAGGGCACGGCTCCCCATGGAGAATATGTTCACTTTCATTTTCTACATGGCACTGCTGTTTTTGAAATTCTTCTGTGATTTAATAGACCCCAACACGACGAGCATTCCCTATTCGATTTTTCCATCTTCTGTGCCGTGTTTCTATGTCACTTTGGGCACCCAGGTACCTATTTGGAATGCACTCATCTACAGGCCACATATTTGGCAGAAACAATACTGGTGATCAAACAGCACCATTGTTGCATAAGTGTCTTCTTATCCTATCATATACACAATTATTTTTGAGCCAGTCAGTAATGGCTGGCTTCTTCAGGTAAATGTAGCATTCATTCATTCAAAGCTCCTGGAATTTCATTAGATGGAAAGGATGCTAACGCAGACAAATGATGCATCTTTAAACCGAAGATTTTATCATTGCCATACTTCATGGCCAATCCATTATCAAGGTACAATAACCTTGGTAATTGTGTCAAGACAATAATAAGGTAATAGTTCCAGCTAACTTGATGGAACTAACATGATACAACTATCCTGTGTACAACCAAAAATGCATTAATCCCTCCTCCAGAATTTGGCTTTCAAATTTTCAATATTAGGGATTTTAATCTTTTGGGATTGTGATTTTCTGGATTTTAGATGTTAGGGCATTTAGACTCTAGAAATTGTGATCTTTAGCAATTATGCCTTTTGGGATTATAATTGGCATGAGTCCCAACACCACTGCAAATGGCCTCAAGATCAGCACCTGCTTCCCCTCCCCAACTCCTCACCATCCCTCACCCCTAAACACTCCATCCATCACTCCACACCACATATCTTCCGGGCTTCTTAGCGTATAAACTCTTCCTTCAGAAGCGGGGTACTGAGGTCACTTACAATACAGCAACAGGCTGTCATAAACAATGTTGAAATCTTCATTGTCCCACTGTCTGGGGCCAGGTCCTTGTTAGGTCGGTTTTGCAAAAGTCTGCCAAGTATCCAAGTGTCTAGCAGGAGGAAGGGGCTTACTCACTCTCTTGCAGACATTTCTACCTATCAAAGCCAGAGAACAATATGGCTATAGAGTCGTCACAAGGTATACGAGACTGTGTCTGTGTGAATATAGAAAAGTGAATATGTGTCTGCACAAGCCCAAATGTCTGCATCTGTCATGCCCATCTCTTTGACAACCCCCATGTGTCTCAGTTTCCAACTAAGGATCAACTGCTGGGTTTTTGTGAATTAGCAAGGAACCAGAGGGAAGAAATGATTGCCACAGAATGCCTATTAGCAAGGGACTTGGAGGGACAATCTGGTGAAGGGGGTTAGGGGGCTTGAGAATGTGTTTGCCTAATACTTCAGAAATCATTAAGGAAGAGGGCCAGGCACAGTGGCTCATGCCTGTAATCCCAGCACTTTGGGAGGCTGAGGCAGGTAGATCACTTGAGGCCAGGAGTTCAAGACCAGCCTGGCCAACATGGGGAAACCCTGTCTCTAGTAAAAATACGAAAGTTAAAATTAGCCAGGCATCATGGCAGGCACCTGTAGTCCCAGCTACTTGGGAGGCTGAGTCAGGAGAATGGCATGAACCCAGAAGGTGGAGCTTGCAGTGAGTGGAGATCACGCCACTGCACTCCAGCCTGGGCAACACAGCAAGACTCCATCTCAAAAAAAAAAAAAAAAACTACAAAAGTTAGCTGGGCATGGGGGTGCACACCTATAGTCCAGTTACACAGAAGGCTGAGGCACAAGAATTGCTTGAACCCGGGAGGCAGAGGTTGCAGTGAGCTGAGATCATGCCACTGCATTCCAGCCTGGGAGACAGAGCGAGAATTTGGGATTCTAGAGATTTTGGGGCAATCTAAAGCTTCCTAATGCCACATTGGCCCTTGGCACTGCCATGGCCTGGGAGACACTTTCGAGGGTCATTGCACACTGTCACTCCTAAAGTTTGCCTGTGTAAATGTGACGCACCATCCTCACTTGCTCCTTATAATTGGGTGCATCTCTGTGCTTTTTGCCATCTCTCAACTCCTAACATTTTCTTCATGCCATTCCTATAGATCTTAGATATGGGTGAGACTTTCAAGAGCAGGGATGGGTCTTGAGTCACCTCCGTAACCCAGCACCCAGCAGAGCCTGGCACAGGGTAGAAGCTCAGGAAATGCTGGGTATGGAAGAGATACATTTGGCTGTCTAGAGTGTACAGATTCTCTCCTAATTAACAACAACACACCATTTTAGACCCTCCCCAGAGGCTCTACAGTGAATCATCTGATAGTTCCTGTTGAAAGCTTGGCTAAACTATTAATGCTCCACAGAGGGGGAAAAAACAAACAAATATCTTATCAGGGTTTCTCAAGCATTTCCACCCTAAGAGGAGAGGAGGTGAAATCGTGTTCAATACAGGAGTTTCCAGACATAGCCTAAAGCATTCCCTACCCCACTACCCCACAGAATCACCACTTAAAGAGCTGACATCTCATTTCACCCTTGACTTTGTTGAGAGACGATAAAACAACCAGTAATACATGGAATGTTTGGATATTAAAAGAAATCACTGGTATTGTGGACATCATCCATTATGATGTCCAGTGCCCCCTTTTCTTTTGCTATAGGCAAACTCATAAAGAGATTAAGTGAATCCACATGGTCTGGAATGGAAGGAAGACCCTACATGCTTAGCCCAGCAGAAGTCAAGGAGGCCCCTGTTGTTCTCAAAGCCAGGGAGCATGGCCAGAAAACAGACAAGGGCAATACATGATCTGTGCAGCTGCAGAAACAGGTAAGAAGACCACCAACCCAGAGAAAGGAAAGAGGGCTTCCTGGAGAAAGTGACAACTAAGCTGAGAACATGAAGATTATATAGGAGTTCACTGAAGCAGGAAGCGGGGAGTATTAAAAAGTCTCGCACAGAGGAAATAGCATGGGAAAAGGCGAGAATGAGCATTACCTGTTTGGAAAAGAGGAAAGTAGTTCATTAGGTCTGAAACACAGAATATAAGGGGGGAGGGATGAAGGATGAGGAACGTTGAAAAAGTTTTTAGCCAAAAGCAACAAGATGACATTGAAGGGCTTCAATAGGGGAAATACTTAGCTAGATAGACATTTTCAAGATACTTCTCTGGCAACAATGTGGATAACAGATGGTGGGTGGGGCAGAGGGGATTTGGAGAGACCTAGGAAGACACTGTTCCTGTACTGGAGATGAGGTTGTAGTGGCTATGATGGTAGAGAGGGGATAAAGAGACGCAGATGGATCTGAAAGATATTTTAGAGGTAGAATGAGTAGGACTTGGTTGGGTGTGGGATTGAGAGGAAGGAGTCAAGGCCAGCTCCCAGCTTGTGATATTGGCAACAATACATTCACTGGGCCATGATTTACTATGGGCTGGGTCCCCATGCACTCTCTCAAGGACAGGACTTACACAGGGCTCTTCCTACACAGTGGGCCAAGCCTAATCTATCTCATCAGCTCTGTTTCAGTTCTCACATATCTGCCACTGGATGGATAAACAAATGGGCTTCTTTTGCAGATCTCTATTGGCTTTGTGGGAGGAGGTGATAGAAACCTGCTTAGGCTCCCAGGTCTGTCTTATACCCCAGGACAGCTAGCCAGAAAACCCTGCAAATGGTGGCAGAAATGGGGGCCAGTATGGAGAAGAAGGGGATGTGAGGTGCTTGTCCAACTATCACTAGAGTAGCATTTTGTTTCCATTCAGTGCTTAACCCTGGGGAATCAGGATCTCTCCATGGGGAATCCAAGAGGCACGAAGGAGTGAATGATGAAGACCAGGTTCCTAAGCCTTATTCTAAGCTCTTGTCTTTGTAACTCTAACATTGGCACATGGTAAACTCTAACATGAGCACATTGCCGGAATAAGCAATGAAGAAGGAAAGGTAAATACCCTTAAGCCACAGCAGAAAGATCTTCCCCAGTTTTCCCACTCAATCCTAAGAAGGGTTCCTACCCAGGGCCATTTTGAGCAGAATCCCTCTTGCAGCCTCCCAGAGAAAGTTCTAATTACACGGCTCCCTGGCTTCTATCTCTACAGAAGAATTCCTGATGAAGCCCTCAGGACTACATTCCTTGGATCCAATCCAAGCTCTTAGGAAAACTGGCACTTGGGGCAACCACTTAAAACTAGGAAGGCTGAGGGAGAAGTAGGTGGAAAGAAGGAGCACTGATTTGGAAGCCGACTACTGTGCCACACAACCCCAGCAGGCACTGTCTACACTGTATCTGTGTGAGAATAGCCCTTGGGTGTTGTGCGGTAGCCCAGGTGGAGAGTCAAGCAACCTGGTCCCACCTCTGAATGTTTAACCTGACTGCATCATTCCCCACACACACCACAAAACCTCAAGCCTTGCATTTATGACTCCAGCATACTTGATTCCTTTCACAGATTCCATATACCACCAATGTCCCATGCCTAAAACAATACACTGCTTCCCGGGCTTGAATTCACAACACGTATGTGATGTGTAATGAGAGGAAAAGTCCATAAGGAAAAAACAAATGTCAAAACTAAAGAGCCCAGGTAGTTTAATACCTAGGTGATGGGTTGACAGGGGCAGCAAACCACCATGGCACACATTTACCTATGTAACAAACTTGCACATCCTGCACATGTGCCCCAGAACTTAAAAAATAAATAAATAAAAATAAAATAAAATAAAATAAAAAAACTAAAGAACCCAGGCTTGACAAAGAAGCCAGAGAAAACCAGTGCAATGGCTGAGGGGATTTCCTGAAATACAAATGCACTCTGCTCTCCACCACATAGTCATAAACTCTGCCAGACCCAGGGCTTGGATGGCTCATCCCATCCCTCCCATAGTTAATGACTGTGTCCTCTGCTGAGTCTGCCAGGCCCCTACATGGCTCCTCCACTCCCCCGACCAGCGCTCCTTAATGACAAGCCCAGGCATCCTGGGCCCCTTTCCAGCCAGAGGGCTGCATTGTTGACATTTATCTTTGGACCACTCAATGACACGATTATAGCAGAAACAAAGAAAGCATACTTGTAGTAAACTTTGAACCAAAAAGGAGAAATTATTAAAAAGTTGGGTTTCTCTCCAGTGGCCTTAGCAGAAAGAAGCAAAAAGAAGGCGATATTTACGCATGGGCTTCAGTATATTTAATTCCCTCCCTGCCATCTCGCGGCTATGGACTTAATGGTGTCTCCCACAAAATTCATACATTGAATCCCTAACCTCCAATGCATTGGTATCTGAAGATGGGGACTTTGGGAGGTGATTAGGTCATGATGGTTGAGCATAAGAGACTTGAGAGAGATTATTTCTCTCTCAACACTGCATGAGGACGTAAGAGGAAGGCAGCATCTTTAAGCCAGGAAGCAAGCCCTCAACAGACACCAAATTTACCAGCACCTTGATCTTGGACTTCCCAACCTCCAGAACTGTGAGAAATAAATGTTTGGTTTTTTTTAAGCCATGCAGTCTATGGTATTTTGTTAAAGCAGCCCAAACTAACTATGACTCCCAACTCAGCCTGCTGGCCATGGACATGATGACTCTCCCCATCCCCCAGACTCCCAGGAGTTCCCTCATGCAGCCCCTATCTGAAGGACTCTAAGGCAAGAGAATTTTGAGACAAGTGGTAGGGGAATTAAATAAAAAGATAATCCAAGAAGAAAGGCTGGAGTGAAGCTGTTGCATAGCTTGTAGGTGCTGGTTAACAAGATTGGGCACCAATAGGTGTTATCTCCCCAGCAGAATGTTCACTCTGAGAAAAAAAGAACCATTCACTGTCTCATTCTCTGTAAAAACCCCAGTGCCCTGGTCAGTGTCTGGCACTATTTGTCAAATGAATAAATAAACGAGTGAATGAATCTCTTTCGGTCTCTATTGCAACCTTATAGAGGGTTGTTATACAGACTTGACAGATGAGAACACTGAGATTCTAGACGTCAGATAAATCCCAGGCAGAAAGTTGCAGACCTTGGACACAGATCTGACTCTATAGACACATAGGGAAGATGCAGATCATTGTCAATGTAATTCCATGAACTAGATCCATCAAAAAGAAAGCTCTTTTTCTTCAAAATGCTCAGGACACTTTGAGCTTGCTTTGTTTAGATTTTACTTCAAATATCTACTGTATTATATTTATAGCAATGTGAATCTCTTACTCTCTTTTTTGTCCCGTCATTTTACATGAGGTGTAGCACACTGATAGTATTTATTACACTTTACTGCAATAATTTTCTAACGCCTCATTAGACCATGAATTTTTATCTCAACATCTCCAGCACCTAGTAAAGTCCACTGCATGGATGGATGGATGGATGGATGAATACGTAAAACATCTTGCATTTTAAAATACTTTCATTTTCATTATCTCATGTAATCTTCATGTTATTTGAATTACTATTATTATTAACATTAAGTACACAAAATCCACTTAGAGGAAGAACAGTCTTTTGCAGGAAAATGCTTTGAGGTACTTGAGATAGTTGAGAATCACAAGAGCAGGAATGTTGATGCAGACGGCTTTAGGAAGGGGAAACTTTGCTACCTTGGGCAAGAGGCAAGGGGATGAATTTTCTGAGATCGGTGAAGAGTAGAGAAAATAGAGGATAAAGTAAGAGGATGCACAGATAGAGAAGGACTTAGACTTGATAAGGTGAGGAGACAGTGAGACTCTTCACGGTGGAGTGGAAAAAGGATATTTTATAGATGGTCTAATACCTTCTATCCTTCTGAAGCTGATCAAATGTCTGCCTTGTAAACCTCTCATCTCTCTTTCTCTTGACAAAACCAAGTGCCAAAAAAAGGCACTTTTGTCAATTCTACTAACCTTACCCTTGCTTCTTTACAAGTAGAACTCTCAAAAGGAACTGGGCTTCATGTGGGTTGACATGGTACAGAGCAGAGACTGCATTTGGAAACTGGAGAAGATTCATATATTTGGAGTATGTTTATGGGCTTTGGAAGGAGAGGGGATAGGTCTGAACTTCTTTTCCCACTATCTCACTGAAATGGAGGCCCTATTATCCATCTATTGTATACTCTGTGAAGAAACTGAGGCCTGGAGAGATTAAGTGCCTCGCCCAAGGTCACACAATTGGCAGTTGACAGAAATAGAACATAATTAAATTCAGGATACTTGACTTTAAATTCCTTGCTTCACTTGCATCTTGAGGCAATTTCACAAAGATTACTGTCACCATCAAAGGGGTGGGACATGAAGCTGGAATTATATTCAGGGAGCTTGTATTTTAGACAACATGAGCCAAGATTCAGCTCCCTGTTCTCCCTCATCACAGCAGACCCAGTTGCAGCTTTCCTGACTTCTATCTATAGACCCTGGAGAAAAGCAGTAAAATTCTGAGCCCACAGTCCCCTCAGTACAAGGGGAATGTGTCCCCAGAGCCCTCTAATGCCAGCTCTAACCTCAAAGAAATGCGAAGAAGGGGATGCCGGAAGGCTTGTTTGTGGCTTTGCAGACTATTCCCCAAGCGGGCCCAGAGTATGGCCAGTTGAGCAAACTTGGCAAACAGAGGCCTTCATTACATGTGTCAGAGGCACTCACACACATAG
Source organism: Homo sapiens (assembly GCF_000001405.40). Lineage (NCBI taxonomy): Eukaryota > Metazoa > Chordata > Mammalia > Primates > Hominidae > Homo > Homo sapiens. The sequence continues at coordinate 105,571,039 of NC_000012.12, read as the reverse complement.
GCTTTATTAGGGACAGGCCCTGGGTGAGAGCAGGCCGGGATAGCATAGGAGAGTGTTTACCCACCTGTCTACCCATCCTCTCCACACCTGGGGCTCACACTAGCCAGGGCACAGGCCATGCTCAAGGAAGTGGCCAAGCAACTGCAGACATCCAGACTGCCTTCTGTCTAGCCCAGTCGTTACCATGTAAGAACTGGCTGGCTAGGCCTCAGGAGATGAGCTGCTAAAATTCTGCCCAGACTCCGCCAGGGCCTTCCCAATGCTCCTCCAGCTCCAACAGCACGCATAGTAGGTGTAGTGCTCAGCAAGTTCTTTGAAAGACTGATGAATGAATGAATCTATTTGGCTCCAACATGGAGTGATTTAGGAATTCTCATTCCTCCCATCCTATCCTCTTTCTCCAGCAGGTGTCTGAAATGAAGTGACTCCTCATTAAGATTTAAATATCTCTTAACTGGGGAAACACTAAAAAAAAATTTTTAAAAGAAGTAACTTACAACTGGAATGTCATTTAATCTTTATTAAGGACCTACTGTATGCCAAGTTATATATACCATCTCTAATTCTCACTGTAGCCCTACAAAATGGTTTTCGTAAATGTAGTCAAAAAGAATCAGATTAAAGTTAACTTGGGAGGAAAGTATTTAAACCTATGGGCTCAAAACCCATGCTTGGTCCACTATATTGTGTAGTATTTAAGGGAAGATTTGATGTGGGCCAAGAAAAGGAGAATCTTTGTTTGCTACAGGCTTACAAGGTGACAGGGACCCCACCTAGAAGGGGAAAAGATGAAGAGCTAGACTCCAAGGCACTCTTCACTTTCGAAGTATTTGTTGAGAGTTCAGGGAGCCCTTGAACTTACGGAAAACTGCATCTTTATTTCTACTAACTCTAACTGAAGAGTAGTCAATTATGATGTGGACCACAAACCACAATAGCATAAGCAGTTCCTGTGATGTTGCATGAATAGAAACCATAGATTTTTTTTTTATCACTTTACAGTTGGCAGAGCATCTCAAAATATCATTTGGACTCATTGCAACATTGAAAGTGTAGTAGTTATTAGCCAGGCGCAGTGGCACATGCCTGTAATCCTAGCACTTTGGGAGGCCATGGCAAGCAGCTTATTTGTGCCCAGGAGTTTGAGACCATCTTGGGCAACATGATGAAATCTCACCTCTACAAAAAATACAAAAATTAGCCAGGCATGGTGGCATGTGTGTACAGTTCCAGCTACTCAGGAGGTTGAGGCAGGAGGATCACTTGAGCCTGGAAAGCAGGGGCTGCAGTGAGCTGAGATAGCACCACTATACCCTAGCCTGGGCAACAGAGCAAGACCCTGTCTCAAAAAAAAAAGAAAAGAAAAAAAGAAAGTATAGTAGTTATTAGACCAACTGCTAATTCTTGTTATGTTAATATAAGAAACACCTATAGTACTGTATCCAAAAGTTGGAGTTTTTAATGTTCTTATTGCTGTGTTTCTATATAATGAATTTTTCTTTGTAATCCTATGTATTTTTTAGGATTTGTATTCTATTCTAAGAAGGGTCTCTGGGCTGCAACAAACTGCCAAAGTACCCATGCATGAAAAAGCTAAGAACCTTTGGTTTAGAAGTCAAAGGTAATGGCTTGTCTATTTTACAATTTTACCTAACCCCCTACAATCTATGTTTTATTAAATGAAGTCTTTGGCCATTGATTAATTACCTGGGAGGCTTGTTCAAATACAGTTGTCCAGGTCCCACATCCAAATTACAAAAGTAGAATCTTGGGATTGGAACCTGGGAATCTTTCTTCATCTGGCTCCCAGTAAAGGTGTCCCATATGGTGCCCCTGAGTGGAAGTAGCCTCCTGGGCAGCGTGGCTTGGAGTGGACTGGACCCCCTTGGCCAGGTGGAACAACCTGCACAGCTTCACCTGGGGACTCTGATCCTTCAGGCGATTTCCAATGCTCTCTAAAGCTTCTCAATGAAGGAGAAGAGGATTAAAATTAAGGTAGAAACTGGCAGGACTTATTTTCTGGTCATAACCCTGTGGACCAAAACAGGATTTGGTCCAGACAGGTTAAAGTGAAAAAAAAAAAAAAAAAAAAAAAAACGGTACAAATCAGCAGATGGTGATGAAAGTGATCCCTAGCTCCCCTCATTGCTCATTAACATAAGACACTCCCACAGTTTACAAATGCCATAGCAATGACCCAGAAGTTATTGCCCCTTTCAGAGAAAGTTCTAAATAGTTTCCCTTAACTTGCATATAATTAAAAGTGGGTTTAAGTGAGTATAAATACAGTTGCCAAGAGCCCATTTGTCTTTTATTGTTGTTGTTTGTTTGTTTGTTTGTTTTTGAGATGGAGTCTCACTCTGTCACCCAGGCTGGAGTGCAGTGGCAGGATCTTGCCTCACTGCAACCTCCACCTCCTGAGTTCAAGCTATTCTCCTGCCTCAGCCTCCCAAGTAGCTAGGATTATAGGTGCCCGTCACCACACCTGGCTAATTTTTTGTATTTTTAGTAGAGACAGGGTTTCACCATGTTGGTCAGGTTGGTCTCAAACTCCTGACCTCAAGTGATCCTCCTGCCTCAACCTCCCAAATTGCTGGGATTACAGGTATGGGCCACCACACCTGGCCCCTCAAGACCCCATTTGTTGCCAACTCTGGGTGCACTGCCTATGAGTTAGCCCTGGTCTGTAGGGAGGAGTACTGTTTAATCAAAAGAACCCTCTCAGACAAAGTCCCAATTTTGGAGCTCACCTGCCCTGTATCGTCATCACTGATTTGGGTTTTTGAGTTCTAGTTACTTATAACTGTGGTAACAAATTATCACAAACTAAGATGGCTTAAAACAATAGGAATTTTCCCCTCACAGTTCTGGAGACCAGAAGTCCAAAATCAAAATGTCAGCAGTATTGGATCCTTCCAGTGGCTCTAAGGAGAGCTTCCATGCTTCTCTCCTATCTTCTAGAGGTCACTGGCAATCCTTGGGATGCCTTAGCTAGCAAATGCATCCCTACAATCTCTGTGTGCATCTTCACACGATGTTCTTCCCTATGTGGCTCTATGTGTGTCCAAATTTCCCTCTTTTTATAAGGACACCCATCATAACGGATTTGGGACCCACATTAATCCAGTATGACCTCAACTTCACCTGGTTACATCTGCAAAGACTCTATTTCCAAATAAAGTCACTTTCATAGGTTCCAGGTGCACACAAATTTTGGGTAAACACTATTCAACCCAGAATAGTATGCATCGCTGACCTCCATCCCATCCCCAGGAAAGAACTATTAGAGAAGTAAAGCATTGGTTCTCAAAATGTGGTGCCTGCAGCAGCCTCACCTGGGAACTTGTTAGAAATGCTAATGATCAGGAATCTAGTATCAGAATTTTGGAGGTGGAGCCCAGTGATATGCATTTTAACAAGTCCTCCAGAAAATTCTCATGCCTATTCAAATTTGAGAACCTTGAAAATATGGGCGATCTTCCCTTCCAGTCGAATCGTCCATTCATTCAACAAACGTAGAGGAGAGTGCATCAGCTGCTGGGAATGCAGCCAGGTTCAAGTCACAGTCTTTACCTACTCAGAACTTAAACTCCAGTGGAAAGATCAGAGCACAAGGATTCATATGTCCCTGGCAGTAATCCTTTGTGACCCACAAAAATGGCAATTTCACATGGCTTGCCCTAAACAAAGCACAAGGTTTCCAGGTGCACCACGGAAGTCTCCCAGAGAATGTGCTCACATGTCCTGAGATTGAAGAATGACTCAGGAAAGGCTCAATGAACAACTGAGGGAGGGAAATCCAGAAGAGGAAACCACACATGCAAACACTAGGATGTGTGGGAACCAGAGCCCAGGCTTCCACAGGCTCTGTAAATCCAGGCTGACCTTACCCTGGCTTCTGCCTTTGCCATGACTACTTCATAGTCACCTTAGTCTCATCTAGGGGAAGTTGCATCTAGACACCAAGATAGTGAAGCCCCCAAGCAGGTTCTGCCATAGTTATGATGTATCCTCTTAGTCCATGAGCACTGAGCTGACCTCTCCATCAGGCAGGTGGGCACAGTGCGTAGGGGCTCCCTTTCAGGGGCGCATGAAAATGTTCTCATTTCCTTAAAATCCAAAGGAAAGACAAATGAACTGATGAAGTTGAATAAAATGTTTTAATTTTATTTTTCAGAAAAAAAATGAAATGTTTAAGGCCCCCCAAAATCCATTAAATTATTTTCATATGCTTTTATGGAGGAAGGCGCCCATGAAGACAAATGCACCTCAAACTTACGGAAGTCATGATGTGGCTGTGAACAAGAAAGCTTCTGAACAGTTTGGGTGAGAGGCCAGGGTCCCTTGGGTCAGCTTCTGGGACTTCATGAATACTCAGCACAAAGGGTGGGGGGCCCCAAGAGATCCCTTCGTCCCAAGGCTTCCAAGGGTCTCCACCAACTAGATGTTCCAGCCCAATCTCTCCCATGCTCCCATGGGTCTCCTGGATACTTCTTTCCCACTGGAAATGGAGGAGGCAGCCATCAAAGAAGAAAGGTAGAGACAGGAGCAGAAAGAAGGGGTTCTGAAACCCTGAGGGTGGGGGGTTTCTGAGAAAGAGTCAGTCACCAGCAGCTTGAGAAGTGGGAAGGGAGCCTTGAAAAGTCCCCTAAACCTGAACAGAGTCCAAGCTCTGCCTCATGGGCACTGTGTCACCTGAGCAAGGTACTCCACTGCCCCAAAGCTCAGTCTTCTGTAAAATGCTGTGACTTCTCTGTTATCACCAAACACTTCTCATTAGGTATTAAATAAACTTCACCCAACTATTTATTGTGAGAATTCCGTGAGATATCACTAGTGCACATAGCTCAGGTCAAGTGCATAGTAGGTACACAGAAAGTAGGTACACAGAAAGAGTTCATTTCCTCTTCCATTGTCAATCTATATCAAGAGAATGTCACTTGGTTGCCTTCACCTTTTTATTTCAGAGGTATAGGAAGGCCCCTGAGCCTAAAGATTATCTTACTTTTTACTAAGCAGCACTTTGCCTGATATCAGCTATGTTTCTCCACTTATCATGATTAATATGGAATAGGCTCTCAGTAAAGACTGTCTCCCTTCTCCCTGCCACCACTGCAAGGTAGCAAAGTAAGGTGACCTCAAGCTATCCTTCAAGCTGACAAAAATTTCTGCCTCCAGTTTTATGAGGCCTCTGGAACAAATGGTTTTTGGCCTGTGAGCTCTGTGATTCAGGAACTTCATGTAGTTTCATAACTTGACATTGCAAATCAGACCATATCTCTGTCCCCCTCACCCCTGCCCAAGTTTTAAACTCACCAAACTTCTCATTCGCCCTAAAAAAGAATTTGAAATGTTGCCAGTCTAGGACACTCAACTGTCTTTCCTCGTCATCCCCCATCCCTACTGCTTGCTCCCACCACTGTAGCCACATCAGCCACTGATTGTTCAAGCTTGTCTTGGGCTTTTGCATGCCTGCATGGAATGCTCTTTTCCCTACTGTCCTCTGCCTCCCTGATTCAAGCCACTTGAGTCTTTTCTCAACTGTTGTTTCCTTAAACAGATCTTCTCTGACCTTCTCCCACCCATCCCCTCAACACACAAGGGTCATTCTCTATATCCTCACCACCATCACCTCCCATTTCACATACATGATGAAATAAGGGTATACTTGATGATGTGATTGCAAATCAAATCAGAGTATCCTAAATATGAGAGCGCAGCGACTTCTCTGTGCATCATTCACCAGTACTTAATATGCATCATAAATAGAGATCGCTCTCTTTTAATAGCAGGTCAGCTGAGTTCTTCCTGCAAATTCTTCGGTCCTTTTCATAAAGTTCCAGGTGGAAGAATTCCTTCAGGTATCAGGATATAGGCCTATACATACCACAAGGATATACTGGGTGCTGTTCTTTTTCTCATTTTCACTTCATACACTTTCCCTGGTCAATTTGAGCATCTCTAGCCTTGAGAAGAGATGGGACTGAGAAAACAAAAACCAGGCGATGTGTAACTTTTTTTATTTCCAAAATAGTTTCTTGAGATTCAAAAAGGAAGGTGTTAGGGCAGAAAAGTGCAGAGTTTAAGCTATAGCCATAAAAAACTGGAAAGAGCATGGGAGGAAAGACAAGCTCATTCCTGTGTCACCTGGCCTGACAGGGGAACAACTAGACCAGAGGTATGACGTTACAGGAGATGGGAATTGGGTGAGGAGCACTGGAATGAAGAGGGCCAAAGCTGGCTTAAATAGGGAGAGTGGGGAAGCCATAGGAATCTGCTGGTCAGTGCCTGGAAGGCTTCCAACCATATAAATGCAGGTTATAGTCTACCCCATATAAATGAGCACTCCAAGTCAACTGGGTAAAGAAGCCAGCTTAGCTATATATATCTATATATCACCTGCGACTTGCTCATAGATCATACAGAAGAAAGTCATCTGCTGTGACTTGAGATTTATCTAAGCCCCATCAAACTCTTCTTGTAGCATACCCCCATTTTCTCAGTGACCTGAGACACTTATAAACCTCACAGAAACCAAGGGTAGGATGGGAGAGAAAGCCCCCGAAATGGGCCCTAATAAAGGCTGGGCAATGGGGAAATACACTCTTGTTAAAACGTAGAAAATGTTCAAGTCACCCTATCTATTATAGTCAAGATTTTGGTATCCAGAGTGAGCAATACCAAATCTGCAGTCCTCCTGGTTACATCTTGACACCACTGAGTCACACACTGCACATGCCCAAGATGCATGCATGGGTCTACTATGGACATGCAACGTGAAGGCCAGTTGGCCTGGGCTGGTAAAGGAAGCTTGGTCTTCTCAGCCTCTCTGAAATCTCCGCCTTTTACAACTATCCAGTTAACCAAGTATTTTTGGATGCCTACTGGGTGCCCAGTTGCTGAGGATACAGAGATAAGCAAACTACAGCCCCTGTCCTCAAGGGTGGAGAAGCTATAGGCAACTTCACAGAGCTCACAGTCCTCCACAAATAGCCATGTTTTGAGAGCCAACTCCAGGTCGGGCTCCATGCTAAGTGCCTGACATGGGACATATCACTTAATCCTTAAAATATTCCAGTGAGAAACTGAGCCTCAGAGTGTGTCAGTAATTTGCTCAAGGTCACGCAGCTGGAGTGATGATAAGCTTATGGAGAAGTGGTTCGACCTCTTCTTGCCAGAGGAGATATAAAGAATTAAAAAGTCATTTTCTCCTTTTCTGAACCAATAGCCAAGGAAAACATTTAATATAACTTCTGTTTTTGTTTGATTGATTTGGTTTGGTGCTTTTCTTTCTTTTCTTGTCTTTGTTTCTTTTTCTTTCTCTCAGGAGAGGGGAGGTGGCTCTCACCTGTAAGGTGAAGTGTGGTGAGGTGCAGTGTCTCACCTGTAATCCCAGGACTTTGGGAGGCTGAGGTGGGAGGACCACTGGAGGCCAGGAGTTTGAGACAAGCCTGGGCAACAGAGTGAGACCCCATCTCTTAAAAAAAAATAAATTAGCCAGGCGTGGTGGCACGTGCCTATAGTCCCAGCTACCCAGGAGGCTGAGGTGAGCGGATCGCTTGAGCCCAGGAGGTTGAGGCTGCAGTGAACCAAGAATGCACCACTGCATTCCAGCGTGGGCAACAGAGCAAGACCCTGTCCTCAAATAAAAAATAAATAATACATAATTTAAAAAAAGAAAGACAGAGGAGAGGTGACTCAAACTGAGATGTTATGTGTTTTCCTTGAGATTGGGGAAGAAACCGTGGTTTAAAAGTCTCTGATAGTGGAGACCTACGGCACCAGATAGTGGATAATGAAGCTTGGGCCTAGGGATAACACAAGGTCACAAGCTGTGGGAGCCTCTTCCCAGACCCCCTGGCCCAGGGTTGGGATAGAGGAAGATGAGGAGCCCCTTCAAAATGGTACTTTGCAGGCAATGAGCAATTATTTCTTCATAGTGGACCCAAGGCCAGGAAGGTGCCTTTAGATCTTGCTGAATTACCTAATTCCCAGGGCTTCCTTATGCCCCCAAAAAAGAAAGAAAGAACCCCTCACTGCCCCCCCTGCCCCATCAAAAAAGACATAACTAAGAATGGGTTGCCTGCCAGCCCTGGCAGGTGGAGAACGAAGCCAGATTTATTTGCTTTAGAAAAATAAAGAAAACGTGACGCTGCTCACACCCAAGTGTCTCAGAGCAAATCCGCACAGGTTCCAGCTGGTGCTGGGAATTTCATGCACCCAACCTCCCTCAAAAGAACACAGGGCTTCGTGGGCCTCTGCCCCATTAAAGAACGACTCTTTCCCCACTAAAACCATCACTTCTGGCTCGGCATTGATGAAGGCACAACGCAGCTGGCGAAAGTACAATAATTAACTCGAGCGCTCCTGAAAGACGATCACAATAATTTATATTTCTCCACCGCCCTCCATCCCCCTACGAGCTTTCCAGATTTTATGGCCATGACTCACCTCCGCTACCGCTGTGGGGCAGCTCCAAGGGAGCGGGCTCACTCACACCACACCGCAGTTTAGGCAGAATATTAAAAAAAAAAAAAAAAAAAACCAGCTAATTACAAGTGAAATGCTCCCTGTCACAAGCAGGCCAGCTGACTTCATGCCTGGGCGGCAGAACGCAGAACTGCGATAAAACTCCCAAGTTGGTCCTTATATTTTTTAAAAGTCAGATTGCTCAGCCATGATCTCACAGCCCTGCACCCCAGCCAGTGGCCCTGAGCCAGTCTTTGAAATATGACCTCAGACAAGGCTGGTGACGGAGTGGCCCTTTCTGGCAGGGTTCATCTTAAGTCAGTTTTCCTATAAGGCCTCGTCCTTCTTGGGCTGCCTGAGAAGGCCCGTGTGCCCCCTCCATACTCCCCAGCACCAAATACTTGCTTGACCCAATGGCGAGGCCACCTACAGTCTGATGGCAGTGCCACACTTTCTCCCGGCAATCCACCCTTCTCTCTACTCCTGCACATTTCTGTCTGTACTAGACACTTGGCTCTTATCCACACTCACTCCTGTAGTGTGATTCAACTCCATTCAATCAGCAAATGTCTACTTGCAGGCATGATAGCATCGTGGCTGAGAACACAGCATTTGAATTAAGAAATAATATGGCTTTGTATTCCACATCTCTCCATTACTAGCTGCATGAACGTGGGCAAGTAATTTAATCTGAGCCTCATTTTCTCATTTGTAAAGAGAAGGAAAATGACATGTACCCCACGTGGCTCTTGATGTAGGAATCAATGCATGACACAATGGTGAAGGCCACAAATTGTAGATTACACCCTACCAGCAACAATGACGGTCTTCTGGGTGGAGTGGACATTCATGCAGGAATCCTTTACATTTCAAAGCAGTGCTCTGGTTCAGTGATCCAGATGACTAATGTTTTCTGATGCTTCCAGGCTTTAGGGTCCTGAAATTCCTTTGGAAGACATTCTGGGGACTCTTTCGTATCTGTACATGACCAAAATGTTCCATGAAGATAATGTAAGAAAGAAGAGAGAGTCCTAGCATCAGCTCATACTCTCAAATTATATCATTTTCCTTTGGGAGTTAATAGAGAGGGCACTGCAATCCAGCTTCCCAGATTCTCCCAGTTCAGCCTTACTTGATGTATAAGAACTCAGGAGTCTGCCTGGTATGGAAGACTGACCAAGCACTAGATTTGCAGCCAGGAACTCTGGATTTAAGTCCCAGCTCTGCCACTTTCTAACTGTGCGATCTTCAGGAAGTCATTCACCCTCTGTGAGTCCCATTTTCTTTCTCTGTATACAAAGTCTCTCATCCATGCTCACTGTGAGGATCATATATAAAAATGGGAGAAAGAGCACGTTATGTAATACTAAGTAGGAGAAACAAACTGTCTGGTAGCACGTACTCCCCTGCAAAGAAATCACCACCTGCCTCAGTATCTCTATTTAAATCAACAATTGCTGTGCTAGGCATCGAACCAGAGGAACTAAAAGGAAGGATTTTAGCATTCTTCCCCAAGAATCTCTCAGACAGGATGAGAAATCTATCCCAGATGCCATCTGGGTTCCCCCAAGCCACTCTGCAAAAGAAATGGCATTGAACTCATCAGAAACTACACTCGTCACCTTTCATGGGAACCAAGGCATCTCCACAGTCCCTGCAGGCAGCTGACAGGTGGGCTCTTCATGTTTCTTTGGCCCACCCACTCCTAGGTCACCTGGGATGCCACCGACCCATGAGTCAATGTTTTCTCTGGTTCTACAGAAATTCTTCTTGCTTCAAGAATTTTATCTTTACTGAAGATTTGGAGAATCCCAGGAAGAAGGAACATTAAGCGGGACACATCATATTTTGCCATCTCCCTGGTTGCTCCTCCATCCCCTGCCACTCAAGTGCAACCACAGACACCCACTTGGGTTGTGTCAGGTGTCCTCATCTCAGCTCTACCGGACTCAGCATCTGCTGCTGGAGAGAACTCACATTCTCGACAAACATGGCTGACATTCTCATGTCAGGGTCTAAAAAAGTAAAGCTCCCTCAGTAATATCACAAAAAAAATCAAGAACTCCTAGAGTATCAATCTGAATGTAAGTATCATGCAAAAGGTGTAAGATCAGGGGTACAAATTGCAGAGGTGATATCGAGTTCCCAGCTGATTGTGGCATCAGGGACTACCTCTTAACTGGGTGTTGAAGAGCAGGGCAAATCCAGCATCCTCAACAGCAGGAACAGCATGAGCAAAAGCTCAGAGGCAGGGAGACACCAGATACGTTCAGGGAGCAGTGAGTGGACAAGCTGGCTGCTGCCTGGCAGATGGAAGCTACGAAGGTAGAGAGGGCCAGTAGCAGAGAGCTCAAAATGCCAGCAAAAGGGGTCCGCACTATTTTCTCCTAGAGTCCTTCTATTTTTCAGCTGGATCTCTGAGTATGCCAGATGGAGTGTGAAGAGGAGAAGCAGGAGTCAGAGATACCGATGAGGAAGTTACACCAACCACCCCAAAATGCAAAGTAAGGACCTAGAACTGGAAGCGGGGCAGGAGTAAAGGAAAGAAAATGATGGGAGTTGGAGAAAACAAAACACAGGACCTGGGAGACCTGGCTTCTGAGTAGAGGAATAGGATAAGAAAAAGGAAAAGCAAAGGCAAACCTGGGGTTTCAAGCCTAAGTAGGGAGAGAAATGCGGACATTGGGAAGGTATCAGTTTGAGGAGAGAAAAGATGAATCCTGATATGTGGCAGTAGGAAGGCTGGAGAGAACCTTTCTCCCACATCCTCTGCTGACTCCTAAAGGCCTATGCTCAGGACCTTGATCAAGACCAAAACCAGTGGCCAAGACTCCCTTGAAGCTGACCAGGTGGCCAGGGCCATGGGTCCAATGCGCCTTGTGGATCCCCTGAGGCTGATCCTGGCTTTCTCACTAATCAGTACTTAGTCCATCACCCTCTTGTCATAGAAGATGGATCATCCCATTCTGTCCTCCACAACCCTTTGGAGTGGGCATTCTCACCTTCCTTGCCTTTCCCGGAAGGGAGGTGAGACTATGAAAGTCGAGACTCAGCGTAGGTCACACACCAGCAAGCAGCAGCCAGCTCAAACGCAGGCCCTGGGAGACCGCATTCACACCACTGCACACAAAGCACACAATGGGTGAAGTCCAAGGGCAAAAGGAGTGAAACCTGAGGCTGGTCCAGAGTTGAAAATCCTGAGTGTAATTGCTGTCCAGAAATCATGAAGTTTGTGTTGATTTCTTATGATGCTTAGATAAGGCTCTGGACCAGGCTCCTTGGAAGAAGCAAAGAAGTATTAGTGGAGATCTCTGCCCACGAAGCACTTGCAACTTCACAGGGCAGATGAGACTCACAGAAACAAACACTAGCATGATAAGTACATGATTCTCTTGTTTTATTTTCTTCATATCACCTATCACTAGCCTAATGTGCCCAATTTAGCTGTTTGTATGTTTATTGTGTCTTTCCCCATTGGGAACAAATGGCAGCTATTTGCTAATAAATCCCCAATGTCCGGAAAAGTACCCAACCCCTAAAAATCATGCATACCCAAATCCTTGTCTCAGGCTCTGCATCCAGGCAACCAGATCTAAACCAGACTCCAATGCCAAGTCAGCCAAGGGATCTGCCCCATCAATGTCCAGACCTCAATCTCAGGTCGTGCCAATTCAGGGTGAGAAAAAAAGTCCCACGTGCTGAGAGAAGCAGGAGAGACCAGTGGGCATTTAGGAAATATTTGTTGAATGAATGACAAGGAGTTGGGTCAGGCAGGAAAGTGGAAGAGAAGCTGATAGAAGCAAAAGACAACTGTGGGCTAAGACTTCCCAGAGAGGAGGGGTAGGAAGAATTTGATAGCCAAGAAGTGAGAGGTAGAGTAAAGGTGGCCTCTGGGAGGAGAGCACCACTTCACTTCTCCTTTTCTCTATCCATTCCCTACCAAGACTGCACTCAATCCCTTCTCATCCACCCTATTCCACCCACAAAGGGGAGAAACGCTTATGATAGATGAGATGGAGCATTCACTGGGCATGTCTAAAAGGCCAGGAATAAATAATGCATGTCTCTTCAACTCTCTTGCTTCCATAGTTGCTGGGGCCTAAAGACATGCTCTCCTGCATCTCTGGGCTATTGGTTTTCTTATGAACCTGGAGCCCAGCTCCATCAGAGAAGGTCATCTTTCTTTCTGTTTGACACTCTCCATCCCATTTTGATATACTTTTTTTCTTGAGCCTGCCAAGAGGCACAAGCCTGTGACTCTCTCCACCAGAGGAGCTCCAGCAAATCTGGATCAAGTAGTATAGAACAGCACTGTGGCAAGCGTCTGCTGCTGTAGTCTCTCCTGCTTCTCTCAGTGCATGGGATCTTTCCTCACCCTGCAGTGGCAAGACCTGAGACTGAGGTCTGGACATTGATGGGCAGATCCCTTGGCTGACTTGGCATTGGAGTCCGGTTTAGATCTGGTTCCCTGAATGCAGAGCCTGAGACAAGGATGTGGGTATGCATGATTTATTGTGGAAGTGAGGAAAGCAGGACAGGAAAGGGAGGAACTAGGCCAAAATGTGGTCCCAGCTGGGATCCAGCTTAAGCCTTATCCCACAGGGAGCTCCGGGGCATGGCTTGTATGGTCTGGTTTGCATGGCTTATATGACATGGCAAAGTTGGTCTGACTTTGAAACAAGGGGTGTCCTCTCATATCTCCTATTGGTTAGTCATTGGATGCAGGCTGCAGGGGACAGTTGTGAGGGGCATGTATGTTTCCAGTGAAGTGTCTCCTATTGCTGAAGAAGTCCTGTGGGTGAAATCTCTAGAGAAGGCAGGAGCTGTGAGTTTTTAGTAGGCCCCACTCAGAGCAGCAGGAGTGTGGGGGCACCGGCCCAGTAACAGGGTCTGGGTGGGGATGTCACCAGCATCCTCCCCAGACTCCTTCAGGGCCACTTAGCTTAAGAAAAGGAAATCTCCGTGAGATAGAGCCTGGATGTGCTGTAGTTTGCAGGACGGTTTGGAGTTAGGTCTCAGCTAATAATTCAAGGTTGCTTTGTCTTGTTTTGTTCCATAGACATTTATGTCCATAGAGACCTCTCCTGGATGCACTCAAATACACGTGGACCCTTGAACTGACGCGCTTAGTCTCATCCCCACCTTTGGCATCATTAGAAGCACCTCCTTTTGACATCACTTCTCTGAGAGATAATCCTGAAGAAGATAAAAGGACAAATATGTTCTCTACTGTTTATGAAATCCATTTTCATAAGACTGGAGTAGAAGTTGAATGGACTAGACAGGTTTTTCTCTGGGAGCCTTTTCCAGAATAGATCCTAAGCATAGGCGCATGTGGAGACCTCAATTACAATGAAAGAAAAGATGTACCAAATATTTTCCTTTGGGGAGGTTGATTTTTAAGTGAAAACTCCTTAACCTTTCAGCTAAACTCCATAAATTGATTGCAAATGCCCCATTCAAAAAAACACAAAAACCTATGGAGGGAACTGGCACATATTTCTATCCCCAGTATGCCGTTTCAGCCACCCTGTCAGGTCATGTTGGTCCAAATAAGGAGGAAAAAAAATGCAGCATCTTTGAAAAGAAAGCTGAGAAGGCGAAGGTGGCCTGGGAAAAAAAGGCTGAGGTAGAGGAAGGAAATGGGGGATAATTACAAATGACAGGAGTTTCCAAAGAAAGAGATTAAGATAGCAGAATTCTGTACAGGAGTGGGTGGGACACAGGGGCAAGGGAGAGGTGGGGAAGCCGAGGTGGCATGTGGGGAGTAGGAAGCGGGTACCTGGAGAAGGGAAGGGGTCCTGACCTGGAGGGAGGGAAGTCTGATAAAGATTATGCTGCCACTCCAGGGGTTCAAACGTAAATTGCAGGTTGGTGTAGAGAGCAAATGAGGCCACGTGGTGGCTCATGCCTGTAATCCCGGCATTTTGGGAGGCCGAGGTGTGCAGATCACTTGAGGTCAGGAGTTCGAGACCAACCTGGGCAATACGGTGAAACTCCATCTCTACTAAAAATACAAAAATTAGCCAGGCATGGTGGTGGGCACCCATAATCCCAGCTACTTGGGAGGCTGAGGCATGAGAATTGCTTGAACCCGGGAGGTGGAGGTTGTGGTGAGCCAAGATCATGCTACTGCACTCCAGCCTGGGTGACAGAGTGAGACCCTGTCTCAAAAAAAAAAAAAAAAAAAGAGCAAGTAAGGGAAAAGGGCATCTCAGAGGCTCTGATTTTTGTGTAATGCCTGGTGGTGAGAGAGATGCCTGGAAATATGGTGGCCAGATGCACGGGAGATGGGGACATTCCCACAGGGAGACGGGGAGCTGAAGACAGCTTCAGTCGCTGCGCTCTTCCCTGACCCCTAATCTGTGAGTCAGATTTCTAGCTCAGGCAGAGACGGGTTGATCCCTCTCCCATGGAGTGGGTTGTCTAAGTGCTCCCCTGGCCACCTGTGTTTAGGCCAGTGGCCATCTGGGAAGCATTCAGAGCCTTGAGGCCACTGAGAAATCTAGAATGCAAATCAGAGACCAAGCAAAGGGGATGGTTGTGGACAAGCAGCCCCCTGGCTCTTGCCCCCAGCAAGCCCTGACGCTGGGCTCCTGGGAGAGCAAGACTAGCTCCAAGGTCCACCTGCTGGAGCACTGCTTGGCCTGGCCCAGCCGGGCAGGGCAGAACATTCTAGGGAAAAATCCTCAGGGTCAGCCTCTGAACTGAGGGAAAGATGGGCCGGCTGCCAAACCTAGCAATCCTGCACACAGATTTCCCCCATGCGGCCAGACTTCTAGACACATTATCCTCTAGTTCACCTCATTCATTTATTCATTTATTCATTTACTTCATTATTCATTCAACAAATAGAGCAGAGTCTGCTGCACAACTCAGGCTCTGGAGTCAGGCAAAGCTGTGTTTGCACTGTAGCTGTACCACTTCCTAGCTGTGTGTCCTTGGACAATTACGCAACCTCTGTGTCTCAGTTTTCTCACCTGTTGCAGAGACACAATCATAAAATTATCTCAATGTGTTGTTGTGAAGATTAAATGAGGTAGGGGATTCTGCTCAGAACCTGAGCAAGTAAATACTTTGTAAATGATCACTTTTGTTCTTATTATTGTCATTACTGTTATTATTAGTAATATTATCATTAATTTTCAAAAGTGTGAAGGTAGAGGATGCTTCTTCCCCACTCATGACGATTTCTTCTATGTGGGAGAGGTCCCACTTCACTCCTGGTTTCTCTCTGTCCCCTGACTTACTCCCCCCAGGGAAGAAGTGGTTTTCTTATTCTGATAAATCTGGAAGGAGAAACTGGGTATGTGCAGCCCAGCCGCGTCTTTTCTCTTTCCCTTGGGAGTGAGGCTGCTATCAAGGAGTACGTTCTGCTGCCCCTCCATACACGTCCCACAAAGGCCTGTCCAGAGCTGCTGTGATTGGGAGGTAATATTTTTAGGTTGGGTATTCGATATCAAGAAATCTACCAATGCACAGATATAAGCTCCATTTTCCAGCACCCACTTTATCAGTAACAAAACGGATGCTCCATTTCCGTCTCCATCTGCCAAGTCTTTTGTTTTACTTTACGAACAGTTCAGAATTCTAGTGAAAAAAAATAGGTGCTATTTATTGGGTACCCTCTCAAATCCCAACAATTGTAAATAATGACATGCATACAAACAGCAGAGATTTGACCACCTGGGTTCAATGAGACAGTTCAAAGGAAGAATTGAATTCAAATCCACAGATTTTTTTTTCTTCTCTTGAATCCCACCAGGATCCTCATAAACATTCCAAATGCTTGATGATCCTGTGATTTCTAACAGAAATTTATAGTTTCATTATGTAAAAGACAAAAAAAGGGCTCCTTGCCCACTTACTCTTCTTGACCTGTGCCCCTCCCTGGAGCCAAGGTTAGCAGTTTTCATGAGTACTGCTTACTTTTTGTTTAGGTCATCCTTTCCTATTGAATTCCAGATCCTTATCCAGGCCCTCATGCAGGAAAGGGCTTCTTTTATGTGGGTTTTTGTTTTTTTTAATGGGCTTCAAGGGCTGAGCTACCTTTGGTAAACTACGTCTTTGGCTCCCTGGTGATCACGAAAAGTTTCATTCGTGTAGGCTGACTCTTGTTTGGAAATGGTGATTGCATGAAGCAGAGAGATTCTGAGATTAGGGGGGCTAGAGCATTCCAGCTCAATAAATCAATCCCTTTTTAATTGTGTCCCTGTCAGCCAACATTCTTCCAGAGACAAGAGGGAAGGGAGCTTGTTAGCAGAGTGATTCCTCACTCCCCTTTGTATGCTGATCTCATTGTAAATTAGATGGAGCAGCAGCAAGGAGAGCTGTGTTGCACCTCCCAGGTCTGTCCCAGTCACAAGAAAGAAGCCACTGGATCGTCAATATGCTTGACACAAACTCGGAACTTTTGAGAAATTTCAACCTGAGTGTCCATCTTTGCATAGAAAACTAAGTTCTAACCCCATTTGGTGAAACTGACCGCCTCACCCTGCATATTTCTAATCGCTTTAAGTTAAAGATCATTAAATCATCGGTTACATTTTCCAAGTTTCCTCCAAAAGTTGTTAAACAATTCAGTTTCTATTAGGCGTCTAAACTTACCTTTCCTCATTGATGTTCATAGCTCTGTTGTTCTAGAAACGGGCTGGGCTGACAGTAGATTTACCCTCACAAGATGAATGAAATCCCATGTTATTCACAAAACCCAGACATCTGGGCAGTGTTTGTCTTTAAATGTGAATGATCTAGAACCTTCATCTGCTCCTCAAATTTTAACATATATGGAAATCCCTGGGAATCCTGTGACCACGTAGATTCTAATTCAAGATTTCTTAGTGAGGGGCCCAACAGTCCGCATTCCTCACAAGCCCTCAGGTGATGCCAGTGCTGCCAGTCCATGGACGAGACTTTGAGTAGTAAGGATCTAGAATCCACTTATACTTTCACCTGAATAATGTTCAAAATCTGTAACACTGTCTCCTTTGTCTGGGCTCTGTAGTCTCACAGATCTGGACAAGTTACTTAAACCCCATAAGCCTACTTTCTTCATCTGTATCTCATGAGACAATGCATGAAAGTACTTATAATAGTGCCTCGCACAGAGTAGGCACTTAGCAAATGGTACTGTTTAACAGCATCAGAATCAGTATCACCTAGATCAGGGGAAGCTGCAGCCTGCAGCCACATCTGTCCTGCCACCTGTCTTTAGAAATCATTTTATCAGAACACGGCCATGCTCACTGATTTCCACATTGTCTCTGGCCATTTTTGCACTACAACGGCAGAGTTGAGAAGCTGCAACAGGGACCTCATGGAGCCCACAGCCTAACATACTTGCTACCTGGCCTCTTACAGAAAAAGTTTGCCAACCTTTGATCTATATCACTTATTCAACATGAAAATAACTATGGAGCACCTATTGTGTACTGGGCCCTGGAGATAATAAAAAATTCCTTCCCCTGAAAGATCTCAGCATCTAATAAATATTTAATTAATCCATGTGATATCCCCAACACACTCTTGCCTCCAGGCACCCATCTTTAAAATGAAGATCATTACAACACCCATTTCAGAGTGTTGCCACGTGGGCTTATTGAGTTAATGAATGTTAAATTCTTAGGATATTACCTAGAACATATTAACTGTTCAATATTAGCCTTTATTATCATTATCCTTATAGGTGTTTTCATGCAAATTTTATACCCACAAAAGAGGTTTATTACTGCTCTTAATAGATGTAGAAATTGTTAGCAGGCAGAATCTTGTTCTTATTAATCTGAAGCTGCCCCATGTAGTCAGACTACAGATACCTCCCCAGATACCTCCCCAGATACCTCAGTCCTCTCTGACAGTCTGGCTCAGGACAGTCCTTAAGTTCAATACAGTAATAATAAAAAAAGATCACCAGTAACTAATGCTTTCTGAGAGGCAGGTACAGGCACATGTGGAATATATTATTACAATAAATCGCAAGCTATGAGGTAGGCAACTGCTGTTTTCTGCACACACAGATACGGAAACAAAGCCTTCTATAGTCCTTGTAACACAGCTGATGAGTGATAGAGCCAGGATTTGAACCTAGTTGTATGTTAAGAATGGTCTTACTTCAAGACCCACAACACAACCCTTGTACTCTGCTGCAAACATCAGAAAGTGAGTGGGCTGGCAATAAACATCTAAGGTATCCTTGCAAATGGCAGGTATTATTCCAATGCTGAGCAACAAATTTCACACCCACATGAATTGGCAAAAACCTTCCCAGGCCTTTGGTTTGTTGGCAGCAGATAAGGCAGTCACACAATTGCATTGGCATCTGCTGCCAGGAGTGCAAACCAGAAACCAAAGGCAAAGAATGGTCAAAGCTATTCAACAGATGGAGTGGCCTGAGGTAAGAAGCACAGGCTTTGGGGTTTTAATCCTGGTTTGATGAACATACCTTTACCTAAAGCCTTAGTATTGGGCCTGGCCCTGGCCCTGTAAACCCACAGTGAGTGGTAGCTGTGCACATTTTATATAAGGTTATATGATGGGGAGCTTTGAAATCAGAGACCAGGGTTCAAACCCCAGCTCCAGTCATTACTAGCTGTGGTTCCTTGAAGCAAGTTCTTACAAAAGGGGACTCAATTCCTTTTCTGGACAATGTGGCCCATGACAGTGCCAACTTTGTAGAATCATTGTGAAGATCAGTTGACATAAGGAATGTCACATGTGTAGCAGGTACAGTACCACCAAGTAAGCCAACAATAAGTATCATTTGTTTTTGTGTTTATGACCCCACCCCAGTCCCAGGGTCTGGTAGGTCTCTACTAAATGTTACTTCCTTTCCCTTCTGTTTTTCCTGATATAAACCTGACTGCAGACATATCCAACAAGTCCTCCCAACCTTAAATCAACCCTTCACATATTTTTAATGAATTGCTTCCTCAAGCTCAAATTTATGGAAAGAGAAAGTAGATTTCTTCTAAGAGTAAGTAGATTTAAAATATGTCATTGCATGTAACATAAGTGCTTGGATCATCTTTTCTCCATTGACTTCCATATTCATTCAGACATGCTCTACTTTCATTGCTGATTGATCTGTATCCAGCCAGCAAATCTTTTTTGAGCACCTACTATGTGCCCAGTACTGTTGTCAGTGCCAAGATACAGAATCAAATAAGGCAGATAGCAGGCCACTCCCATGAAAGTGATGTTCTAATGGGAAGAGACAGACAAAAAGCACGTGAAGAAGGAGATCATGTAACTTCTTACTTTGCTCTAAAGCAAATAAAGCAGGATTGTGTGAAAGCACTGTGGGTAAGAGGGGAATCAGCTTCAGATTGTGTGGTCATGGAGACACTGAATAATGGGAGAGACAAGGCAGGCAAAGGTGGGAAAGAATATTCCAGGTAAGCAGAATGGCCAGTGCAAAGAGTGCAGAGTGGAGAAGAACCTGGCCTTTCCAGAAACATACAGACATCCAGGTGGCCAGAGCAGAGGAGGAGATTCGGCTGGGCGGGCTGAAAAGTGAGGGGCAGAAGCCTGGTCAAAGAAATTCACATGAGCTACGAGAAGGAGCATGAATCTCTTCCAGGAGTAATGAGAAGCCACTTGAAGGTTTAAAGTAGGGAAGGAATGTGATCTGATTTTACTTTTAGGGCAATCACTTTGGTTGTATGTGGAGAATCAGCTGGAAGAGGCTGAACAGAAGCAGAGAGACCAGTTAGAAGGCCACTAACTGGTCTCACTGCAGGCAAGAGGAGATGGTGACATGGACAATGGCAACAGATAGAAGCAGGCAGATTCTGGATATATGTTCCAAGTTGAGCTGACTTGCCTAGTTGAATGAGATTAAAGAGAGAAAGATAATCTTTCACTGGCAGTAGGCCTTAATGTTTCTACCAATCAGCCATTTGATCAAGACTTTGATCTGGCCCATGACAGCATCTGTTAACTCTGATCTTGACCTGAGTTAAGGGCCTTAGTAAAACCAGTTTTAAGTGCTCAGTGGTCACTTTAGCAGGAGTGGCATAAAGGGTAACTACTTATATCTGGAGATATTTATGGACACCAGTGCATCTAAATGCCACTCGACAGGTGCCAGTCAAGACTCCTGGTTGCTTCTTCATACTGAGAAGCCTGTCCCGCCGAGGGCAGCTCTTTCTGCCACTGATACAACAGAAAGAGCAAAAAGTTGGAGCCCAGAGGGTCCTGAGTTTTCACCTGAGGACTCCTCACCTGGCAGCTACAGGATTGTCGTCCAGGTGCTTAATTTCACTGAGCCCCAGGTTCCGATCTATAAAGCAGGGACCTCCAGAGGTAATGAACGGATCCCACCCAGCACATCATTATTGCTGTGTAAACTCTCACAACATCTCACATCTTTGCTCTTAGTAACCAGTGGTTTGGTTTGCTTTCCTGCATTTTCTCAGAGCTGCCACTCCCTGAGGCAGGTTTTGCTCAGTACGATAAGTGTCCTAGCCACCACATCCCTCCCACTTGACTTGCTGTGTTAGTCTGGGTCCTCCAACAAGCAGTCATTAAGGCAGGATTAAATGTGTGATGATTTTATTAGGGAAAATCCCTGTGAGAGAAAATTGGAAGAGAACCTTGTAAGGCTGGGAGTTGTCAGATCACATTGCAGGTCTGGCCTTGAGTGAATGGGAGAAGGAAGAAGGGTGAGTAGAAATGTTCTAGAGTTCCAAGCTATCTAAGAAGATTCTGGCAAGGTCATCTGAGTTCTCAAGGCAAAGTCGACCATCAGAGGAGGCTCGTGTCTTATGACTACTCTGCATTCTCTCCACCAGCCCTTCCTCTCTTCATGTCCTTCCTGTCCAACACAGACCCTGTATTAGTCCATTCTCACACTGCTATAAGGACAAACCAGAGATTGGGTAATTTATAAAGGAAAGAGATTGAATTGACTTACAGTTGCACATGGCTGGGGAGGCCTTAGGAAACTTACAATCGTGGCAGAAGTGGAAGCAAACATGTCCTTCTTCACATGGCAGCTGGGAAAAGAAGAATGAATATCCAGTGAATGGGGAAGCCCCTTGTAAAAACATCAGATCTCATGAGAACCAACTCACTATCACGAGAACAGGATGGGGGAAACCACCCCCATGATTCAATTATCTCCACCTGGTCCCTCCAACAACACGTGGGGATTCTGGGAACTACAATTCAAGATGAGATTTGGATGGGGACATAGCCAAACCATATCAGACCCCATGGTCCATCACTGGACTCAGGCACTGGCTGGAAGCTGTTTTTGTGAGGCACAACTTTGGCACAAAAACTATGACGAATTTCAGAGCCCAGCAGCAGAGCCCTCAGTCAATGACACACTATGCAATCAGGGATCTGTGAGGAGCATTCTCATTGATGTCATGCTTGCTGCATCCAAAACTGAGGACTTTACTGGTTCAAAAAAAATTGAAGAAATCATCCCGTAGATAACAGTGTTAGGGAGCTGTAAAATGCCAGACATCGCACCATGTTCCCATCCTCTAAGACCCTTCTCTTGAGGGCCCAACTCCCTCTCTACAGTGGCTTCTCTCCTACACTTTCAGAGTTTACAAGGAGCTTTTGTTCTTCTCTCACAGCTTGGTCCATAAAGTGGGAACTGCCTCAAACACTGTGGGTCACTCAGACAGCCATTCTCTTCACCTCCTCTCTTGTGCCTCCTCAGGGCAGGAGTGGTGACCTAATGCCATGGTGATCCGGGCAGAGCCTTTCATCCACTGAGCTGCATTAACCAGGGGTGGATCTCCGCATGAAGAGGCAGGCCTGGAGGCCACCACTCCCCTGCAATGGATGAGGCGTGGGGCAGGGCAGTTTCCTCCAGGATGCTGCTGATGGGGCAAGACTGGCTTTGCAGATTTAACTCACCTCATAAGGGATGAATCTAGGCACTAGATTTGGAGGAGCAGAAGTAGAAAGTCCAATTTGAGCTTCTGTTTTAAGCCCTATTCTCCAGTCCAACTCTGGGTAATAAATGTGGAATCTGAACCCTTATTTATCACTCATTTCTATTTCTCAGATTGATTAGACTCAATTGGAAGAAAGAAGTATGATCAACTGGCACCTGTGGCACCTCAAATCTCAATGATGTCACACCTGAGATACTTGGATTATTGACCAAGGATAGTTTCTGTTGACACCACTGTTTGTGTGGTGGGATGCATCAACACTTCTTGAGCCTCTTCTCTAGTCTCAACTCCAAGTGGCTTTCCAAGTGGGCCTTTTTCATCTATGGTCATGATTACGCTCTGTCAGCCTTTTGCACCACTTGCAGTCACTTGCTTGCCCCTCCCCTGCAAGCTTACAGCCTTAGAAATGCTGGGAAGAAAAAGGTTCCAGCAGATCCCGCTTTCTTCTTCTCAGCCACATACAGGCTCCTCCCACAGTACGGTTAGGCATTCACACACAAGAACCGTAGTTATTAGTTTGTAAAGTTTCCACCCTATCAGGGAGATCATCCTACAGCCCTCTGGTTCATGGAAGATTTGGCACATGGTGCTGAGTCCTTCCTCCCCTAAGTGTTGCCACCATCCTAGGTGACTATTACATGCACGAGGATAAACCACTACACCTTTTGACCTTGGTCTTTACCTCCATGCATTCCTGTCCCAATCATGCATTCCTGTGGCCACTCCTGGACCTGACTTCAGGAAGCACATCTCCACCTCTGAAGTCTTAAAATCAGACATCTTACTTTTTCCCCAAAGCCTCACATTTCAGAAGGTATTCATAAGTGGGGCAGAGACCCCTTGAATGATAACTTCCTGGGGTGTTCCTTAAATATGCCTATCCTAGACCCCACCTCAGACTTACTGAGTTAGACTCACTAAAGAGATACTCAGAAATATGCCTTGTTAGCAAGCCCCTAGATGATGCTTATGCCTGGTTGAGTTTGAGAACTACCATCTGTCAGTTCAGCCAGGTGGGGTGTTACCCTCACCACGCCTGTCCCTCAAATGCACAGAACCCTCACGTCCTTGACTCCTCTGCTTCCTCTCTACCAGCTCCTCCTCGCTTCACTTTCTTCCTGTCCAACAAAGACACCATGGTCCATCACTTTATCCCTCTTAGCAATTTCAATTTCCTGGCCTAACTGGGCTAGCTTTATCCAGCAAAACCCCAGGCCTTGGACAATCCAACTACTCACCTTTTCCATCAGGGCTCATTGACTCACTTATCCTTTCAGTAAAATTTTGCTCAATGCCCAAAGTATTCCAGTCATTATATAAAGTAATAGAGCAGTTTTGTTTTGTTCTTTAACTCATGATCATTTACCATTGAGGAGTTCATGGTTGAGTTGGGGAGAGCCACAAAATGATCATTTTGATATATTGTGCTAAGTTCAGGAATAGAAGTAAGTCCAGGGCACTGGGTTGGAGAGGTGCAGCAAGATCAGGAAAGCCCTCTTGGAGATGTCTCAGAAGAGTCTTAAAGAAATGATGGAAAGGAGGTAGACAGACAAAGAGGAGGGGGTGCATTCCAGTAACAGGTCAGTGTGGGCAAAGGCAGGATGTAAGAACAGCATAGCAGGTATGAGACATGAAAAGCAAGTCAGTACTGCTGAAGCGTGAAGTTCATGGCATGGAGAGGGGAGAATATTTTCCAAACAAAAACTCAGGATATATGACCCCAATGAGGTGAAATGTTCCAAATTAGGAATGTCTCAGAAAATACCAGAGATGATGTCACCAATATACTGGGTAGTTAGGGCTCAATCTGCCACCTCCTCTACATAATCCTGCCACTACAGACCCTCAACTCCCTACTAGAATACACCAAACAATAAAACCCACTGTGCAAGATTCTGGGAGACCCTTTTCATGTCAATCCCAGTGTTGTTATAACAGTGAAAGATAAAAATATCAACAGGGGATTGGTTAAATTTACTGCGGTATGTTCAATTACATCATGTGTCATCATATTAGACTTCATTTGCTAACAATAACATGAGAAAATCCTCACTTAAAATTATTTTAAATAAAGCAAGTATTTTCATATGTTAGGAGTGAACTCTACTTAAAAAAATAAATCTATGTATATCAGATAATATAATATCATCGTAGAACATATAAATGGAAATAATTGTTAGGTTCCCATTTTTTTCTAGTTCCACTCTATTCTCCATGCCACAGTCAGATTGATATTTCTAAAACACAATCTTAACCTGCCCAAAACCCCTCAAAATCCAAACTCCTTTATCATGGAGCCTGAAGCTCAATATCATCTGGCCCCTTTCCCACCCTCACCTTTGCTTGCCATCTGTCTCACTTCCAGGCCTTCACACATGCTGTTCCTTCTCCTGAAATGCCCTTCCTCATTCCCCTCACCCACTTGCCTGCTTGACCAGCTCTGCTCACCATTCAAGATGCAACTGGCCAGGTGCGGTGGCTCACACCTGTAATCCCACCACTTTGGGAGGCTGAGGCGGGTGGATCACTTGAGGTCAGGAGTTCGAGACCAGCTTAGCAAACATGCTGAAACCCTGTCTCTAATAAAAAATACAAAAATTAGCCAGGTGTGGTAGCGTATGCCTCTAATCTCAGCTACTCAGGAGGCTAAGGCAGGAGAATTGCCTGAACCCAGGCGGCAGAGGTTGCAGTGAGCAGAGATTGTGCCACTGCACTCCAGCCTGGGTGACAGAGCAAGACTTTGTCTAAAAAAAAAAGATGCACCTTAGATGTAACTGAGTACAGGAAGCCTCCTCTGACCATCACCTCTTTCGAGTTATACCCAGAGCCCCTTCTATGTTCTCCCATGGCACCCTGTGCTTTCCCATAGCACTTTCCACACTGTATTGGTATTGTCAGCTGACTCCTTCCTATGCTCCACTAGAATTTAATCTCCATGATTGCAGAAGCCATATTCATCTTGTACACACACACACACACACACACACACACACACACACACACACACACACACAATCTGTATTAGTTATCTATTGCTGCATAACAAATTATCCCAAAACTTAGTGGCTTAAACCAGCAAACATGTATTATCTCACCCAGTTTCTGAGAATCAGAAAACTAGGAACATCTTCATGGTGTGATTCTTGCTCAGGGTCTCTCAGGAAGTTGCAGTCAAGATGTTGGCCAAAGCTGCAGTCATCTGAAGGCTTGACTGGGGCTGGAGGATCCACTTCCAAGATGGCTCGCTCACATGGCTGTTGGCTGGAAGTCTCGGTTTTTCACCACATGCATGTGTTCCTGACAGGGCAGCTAGCTTCTCCAAAGGGAGAGCGAACCAAGAAAAAAAGCAAGGACATAACAGAGATTCAGTATCTATTTTAGTCCCATTTCATACACAAGGAAACACAGAGAAGAGAGGAACACAGGTAATGTGCTCAGGATCACACAGCTAGTTAGCATCAGAGGCAAGGTTTGAACCAGGCAGCCTGTCTCTAGAGCTATTGCTCTTAACCATCCTGTGATACTGCCTCTCTAAGCAAATCAGTATATATTTGCTAGATAATAGAAACTTCCATTTGTTAGGAGCCATGTGTTAATATATGTTTCCATAAATGAGCTTGTTTTTAGTTCATTCATACTATACGCCAAGCACTATGCTAGACACTTGAGATATCATTTCAGTTATACACACATCTATAATCCACATTGCACTGAAGGAAACTTACAATGTTCCAGAGCATCCATGGCTTGGAAAGGGAACGGCAGCCGATGGCAACCCTTGGCCTTGGAAAGCTGGCCTCAAGATCCAGCTCCTTGGGAAGGGCCAGGTCTCTCTGGGGAGGCTACCTGAGCTAAGCTCCCTCAGGCCAGCAGGCCCAGCATCACTGTGTCTAAGGCAGCCAGCTTGCCCCAAGCACCTCCTGCTGGGAGATTAGGATGGGGCCTGGGTGTGCAGGGTGAGGCTGGCAGCCATGATTTGGGCCAGATGATTTCACTGGAGAACCATTCTACAGCTGCCTTGCCCAGGCTATGAGAACGCTTGGAGGGAGACAGCCCAGCAGTGATATCACCACTGAGGTACCAGGCACAATGGCACCCTTGTAAGATGTAGCTTGTGATTTCATGGGTTCAAAATACTGAGCCATGATCCCTGCCCCAGCCCAACCCCACCTAGACATAGCACAGTGTAGCTTGCAATGCCCATGAGCTGGGATTAATCCTCTTCCCCAAACCTAGACTTGGGAATCCAGAAGAAGAAACCAGCAATATTTGCCATGGGCAAATTTTTCAACTCTCTTCTCATGCTTAAAATCATAAGAGAAGAACTTAAAGGTCCTTCCACTGAATTACTATTTGTTCTAGTTTAAGTATAGGTGTTGTTCACATTCCAATGCACCACACGTACTAAAGGACCATACTTTATTCTTTTATCAAACATTTTCCCCACCTTATTTAGAGAGGATTTAAGATTTAGATACACACAAAGCAGGAAGATCACATGAATTATGTTGGAGAGAAAGAAGAGAAATCAGTACTGGAACATTAAATGGAGTGATATGATTTGGCTGTGTCCTCACCCAAATCTCATCTTGAATTGTAGCTC
This sequence comes from Homo sapiens, assembly GCF_000001405.40. Lineage (NCBI taxonomy): Eukaryota > Metazoa > Chordata > Mammalia > Primates > Hominidae > Homo > Homo sapiens. Next base: position 105,544,051 of record NC_000012.12, on the reverse strand, counting down.
CCATAATTCCTTTCTATTGTGGGAGGGACCTGGTGGGAGATAATTGAATCATGGGGATAGGTTTTTCCCATGCTTATCTTGTGATAGTGAATAAGTCTCACAAGATCTGATGGTTTTAAAAAGGGGAGTTTCCCTGCACAAGCTCTCTTCTCTTGTCTGCTTGCCATGTGATACATGCCTTTCACCTTCTACCATGATTGTAAGGCCTCCCCAGCCACGTGGAGCTGTAAGTCCATTAAGCCTCTTTCTTTTGTCAATTGCCCAGTCTTGGGTATGCCTTTATCAGCAGTGTGAAAACTGACTAATACATGGAGCCAAGAACAAGGCAAATACTGGAAATATATACCATGGAGTCCTTCACACTTAGTATGGATGGCTCTACTTTGGCAGCCCTGAGCTCCCCAGCAGACAAAGTGAAGACAGAAACCCAATCAAATTCAAAAATCAGTGTTCAGCATCTTTTTTGTTTGTTTTTTTTAACTTGTATATATTGAAATATATTTTTCTTCGATAAATTTATTTTTTAAATATTATAATGTTCATGAGATTAAAACCAGCCAGCTGCTCAAGAAAAACACAGCTACCAGAAAAAAAAATTCCAAGATTTAGCATAAAGAGTATGTAAAGTGAGATCATAAGTAACATCCTTATAAAAATCTCTTGGTGCAGGCTAAGAGATTGAATTGGATTATGTTATACAGCAAAGATGATTGAATATCACTGCCTTGATTATGCTATTTTGTGTGGGACTCTGTCTTAGCAGACTGAAGAGAGAGACTCTTCTGATAGCCTTGAAAAAGCAAGCTGTTATTATGTGAACTCCCAATAGGGAGGGCCACAGGGCAGGGAACTGTGGGTGGCCTCTAGGAACTGAAGACCTCAATTCTACAGTCTCAAGGAGCTTAATTCTGCCAACAACCATATGAACTTGGATAGGACTTCTTCCCAACTCAAGCCTCCAGATAAGAATGCAGCCCAGCCACCCACTTGATAGCAACTTTATGAGACTCTGACCAGGGTACCCAGCTAAGTCATGTCTACTCCCTGGTCAACTGAAACCAATAAATGGATGTTGTTTCAAGCTGCTGGCCCTTTACAGAAAAAGTTTGCTAACTTCTGCACTAAAGCACAATTCATAAAATGATTCTATGAGGAGTATATTGGCTTTTGAAAGCACACACAGAGAGAAGTAATAAGAATGTTTCAAGGCCCTACTCTGGGCCAGCACCGAAAGAGCCACTAACATTGACATAAGAGAGTATATGACACAGCTAAGCAGGGCCCATGAAGGCAACTGAACCAGCTAGATTTCTTCGGTAGCAAACAACAGAAGTTGATTCTGACTAGTTTACCCAGGAAAGAAATATATCTGAAGCTTATCAGATAATTTGTGGAATCAAAGAAAAGACCAGTGACTTATTCTCAGGACAGGACAGAGACAAAGAGAGTTCTGGGGGTGTAAATAGCAGAAGTGACTAAGAGCTGCAGCAGGACTCTGTCACTGGAATGACTGCACCTTAATTCTGGGTTATATTTTTTGCATCACTGGGTTCAAAATTCAAAGTCCCAAGAAAGAGAGGATCTGACGTTCTGAGGCTAAGGAGAAGCAGGCACTTGTATTTAACCAATCATGACTGCACAAAAGAGGGAAGAGATTCTTTCCCTAAAGGAAATCAGGATATTAGAGCTGCAAAATGGGGGGAAGGTGCTGAGCAGCCATCAGTGGTCACCACTGCAGCCTGGCCTCCATCCCTGCATCCTCACATGCCTGCATCCCCGCATTCCCCTGTTCCCTGGAACTCATCCAGTCCAGCAGCCTTCCAGATGTCTCTCTGCAAGTTTTTGCCATGTTTGTTTTTACACAGTGATGTCCACCTGTCTGAAACATAAGCTTCAGGAGGACAGAAATGATGTTCACCTTCTTCACAGGCTTAACACCTGCCCAGTAGATAGAAAGTGCTCAAGAAATCTATGTCACATCAAATGAAAAGGCTTCTCCACAGCAAAGAAAACAATCAACAAAATGAATGAGTGACCTACGGGTTGGGAGAAAATATTTGCAAACCACATATCTGACAAGAGGTTAACATCCCAAGTATATAGAGCACTCACACAACTTAATAGAAAAAAACACATAACTCTATTGAAAAATGAGCAAAGGACTTGAGTAGCCATTTTTACAAAGAAGACATACAAATGGCCAACAGGTATATGAAAAAGAAATGCTTAAATCACTATCATCAGGGAAATGGAAATCAAAATCACAAGGAGCTATCACTTCACATCAATTAGGATGGCCATTATCAAAAAGACAAAAGATAACAAGTGTTGGAGAGGTGTGAAAAAAAGGGAACCCTTGTATACTATTGATAGGAATGTAAATTGGTACAACCACTGTGGAAAACAGTATGGAGATACCTCCAAAAATTAAACCTAGAGCTAGTGTAAGATCCAGCAATCCAATCCCACTTCTGGGTATATATCCAAAGGAAATGAAACCAGTATCTCGAACTGATACCTGCACTTCCATGTTCATTGCAGTATTATTCACAATAGCGGAGATAAGGAAACAACCTAAGTGTCCACTCACAGATGAATGGATAAAGAAATTGTGAGAAATATATATTTTATATATATATATATATACACATATACAAATACATGTGATGGAATATTATTCAGCTTTGAAAAAGAAAATTCTGCCACTTGTGATAACATAGATGAACCCAGAGGACATTTTGCCAAGTGAAATGAGCCAGACACATAAAGAAAATCCTGCAGCATCTTACTTATATGTGGAATCTAAAAAAATCAAACTCATGGAAGCAGAGAGTAGAATGGTGGGGAATATAGAAGGAGATGTTGGCCAAAAGGTACAAAGTCACAGCTATGTAAGATGAATAAATCTAGAGCTCCAATGCACAGCATGAGGACTTTAAGTAATAACTCTGTATGAGTTCATTTCACACTGCTATAAAGAAATACCCGAGATTGGGTAATTTATAAAGGAAAGAGGTTTAATTGGCTCACAGTTCCACATGGCTGGGGAGGCCTCTGGAAACACAATCATGGCCAAAGGGGAAGCAGGCACATATTACATGGTGACAGAAGAGAGAAAGAGTGTGAGTAGGAGGAACTGTCAAACACTTATAAAACCATTAGATCTTGTGAGAACTCACTATAACACGAACAACATGAGGGAAACTGCCCCCATGATCCAATCACCTCCCACCAGGTCCCGCCAAGACGCATGAGGATTATGAGGATTACAATTCAAAATAAGATTTGGGTGGGGACACAGAGCCAAACCATATCAAATACTATACTGTACACTAGAAATGTGCTAAAAGAATAGACTTCAGATGCTGTCACTACAAAAAAGAAACAAAATTTAACTATGTGAAGAAAAGGATATGTTAATTTACTTGACGATAATAATCATTGCACTAAGTATACATATATCAAAACATCATGTTGTATACCTTAAATGTACACGATTTTTATTTTAAAAAGTCATTAAAAGTAAACCGTGTTAAGTGGATGAATGGAGAAATGAGTGTTCAGACAAACTAATTTCTGAACCATTCCACCAAATCCCATGTGGACAAACCTATAGTATTTTTTCCTTCTACAAAAATAAAGTAGTGCCTTGCTTCTCTCTCTTCTTTATGTTCCTCTTGGCTTTCCCACCCTTTCCACCAGCTGTAGAGGAGTCCAGCAGACAGGTTATTTTCACAACCAACACCGGATAAGTGGCATTAGGAAAATAAATATCCATCGTACCAATTTTGCTGTGTTGCTCTCCTCCCGTGAAATGATTTGTGAAATGCTATAAACATATAGCAATGGTTCTTGCTGCCTCAAACAAGCGATGGTTTAAAGCTGGGGATGGAAGGGTGAAAGAAGAGAAGAGGAGCTGTTTCAAAGGGGCTCTTTGGGACACTGGGCGCTTCTTGAGTCTCCAGAAAGTCAGAGCCTTGCACAGCCATTAGTGAATGCAGACAGCCTTGCTCAGTGAGAAACCAAGGTTTATTATGCTCACATGTCTGCAGGTTGGCTGGGCAGCCCTGCTGCTCTTAGCTGGGCATAGTCATGTGTCTGTGGTCGCTGCGAGTAGAAAAAGCAGCTCTGTTATTCCAAGCTGGACTCTCTCATCTGTTTTGGAATCAGCTAACTGTCAACTGATCTTACATGGTTTCAAGTTGAACAAATGAGCTCTTCTCCACAGGCTCTCACATTCTCTGGCTCACTAGTCCAAGCCTATTTACCCAACAGAAGCAAAGTTCTAGGAAAGAGAAGATATGCACCCAATCTCCTGAGGCCTAGGTTCACAATTGGTACTGTCCCACTTCCTCACCTTCTACTGGCCAAATCAAGTCACAGTTGAGCCCAGATTCAAGGACAGGCAAACAGGCTCCACCTCTCGATGGAAGGAGCTGCAAAGTCTTTGTGTAAAGGGCATATTAATTACAACTGTGGAAGCAATCAATCAGTCACAACCACTTTGGAGCCCATCGGAGAGCCTCCTACAGGGCCTTGCTCTGGGCAGATGCTCACCTCCACCAGACCATCAGCTCTTGAGGGCAGAGACCTTACCTGGCTGGTTTACCTCTGGCTTTCTATCATCTTGCACATAGTAGGGGCTCAATAATTAAACATATTCATCAATTAAAGCAAACAGCTATGGGAAAGAAAGCATGTTCTTATCTCCTCTGGTGCATAATTCCACAAAAACACAACCTGCCGAGTCATTCTCCTCAGACCAAATCTCCATGAGTACTATGTGCAGAAAGGGGTTGTTAGCAGATGCTTCTCCCTGATGATGGTTTGAAAAATTCCTCAAACTTAATACCATCAAGGACTCCAGGATTTAAAAGAATCTCTCCACCGTCCAAGAGAACAAATAGTCTCTAGCCACGGTGCCCTCCGTTTTGTTGCCAGAGTGGTAACGTTTGGAGAGAGCAGAGCAGAGCAGATGGAGCACTTCACCTTTCTTTCCATGACATAGAGCGTCTAAGAATGTGCGGTTGCTCCAGCTGGGGGTGACGGCGCGTGAGCATGCAGCTGGGATGTCAGCCCCCAGCACATGCTGCTCTGCTCAGCTCCAGCACGGGCTTGTTGATGAAGCAGCACTGGGGGCTCCAGTGCACAAAGGGAAGAGGCTCCTTCATTGCACTGGAGCCCCCTGGTTGGCCTTGCCCCAACCAGGCTTGGCTGGCCTTGCCCCAACCAGGCTTGGCTGGCCTTGCCCCAAGCTTCCCTACCCAGCTGAGAATATGGGTCAGCTGGGATGTCTTGAGATGACCCAGTGTCTTGCCATGGTCTCTGAATACACAGGCACACACACGCATGCATGCACACTGACACACATGTATACATGTGCACACACACTCATACACACACACACTTATACACACATGCACACATACATACACACACATACACATATGCACACATGCATCCTCACACCCATGCATACACACACAGACACAACCTGAAACCAGCAAGTCTTTAGTGCCACCCAGACCACCCCCTTTTGCCCACTCTTCCTTGATCCCAGCCCATATTCCTTATGAGAGTTCTGACACTTTTAAGACTATTGAGGACATAGTCCAAAGAACCAAAGGACTCCATGTGGGATGCTGAGTTGCTGCCTCTTGGTTTCTGGTTTTGCTCCTCCTTTCAACCCCCAGTCCACATCCAGCTGCAGTTTCCCCCCTGGGGTTGATGCTTCCCCCCAGTTTCCCCACCAGACCCAGGTCTCAATCCCCTGACACTTCATCCAGAACCTTGTCCCTGGGGCTAAGTTGGATTCAGCACAAGCCACTCCATCTTCAGTTCACACAGCCTTAATTCCTCCCATCTAGAGGAAACAAAGACCTATCCTCAGCCATCCATTCCAGACTGACTAATGTGGCCTCCTTAGGGGGCATTTGCACTGTAAAAGATCCCCTCTTGGGACTGGTGGGAGGCACTGGCTGTGCTAAGGCCCCAGGGCACTTTTTAGAGAGATGGAAATGTTCTGTATCTCAGTTATGGTGGTGGTTACACAATTGTATACACTTCTCATAATTCATTGCACTGTAGGTCCAAAAAAAAAAGATGAATTTCATGATGTATAAAACATTCCTCAATAAATCTGACTTAAAAAATAATTTTTTTTTTAGAAAAAGAAGTTTCCATTTGTTCCGTGACTTTTCTGCCCACTCCAACCAACCCTTAACTGTGGTGGTGAGGAATATTTTAGAAAAACCATGCATCAAAGTGGTGCTTTAGGGGCACCATTCTGTCTTCCCCAAAGCTCCACCAGTCTTTATCTTGTGGTTGCCCTTCTCAGAAGTAGATGAGACTCTCCAGCAATGATACTTATCAACATGAGGGGTAGGGGAGAAGCAGGAGGACACTGGAAATATTACTTCCAGCCTGAGATGTACAAGATAAAGACAGGAACCCAGGAGAAGGTGGAGGGAATATGGAGGGAAGAGTAAAACTGAAGGAGAAAGGACTCCAGAAATCCAGGAAAGAGAGATTCAGCATTGTGTGAAAAATCTTCTGAGAAGGAAAGGAAACACTTGCAGTTTCCTCTGGACTCTGAGTGTGTTCTGAGCAGTTAAGATCCATGTGCTCTGGAATGGAGGTGTCTTTACATCTGGGGTTAAATGAGATGTCAAGGCTTCTACTGGAAAGGATCCTGATTAGCCAAAGAGAAGTCATCGTGGAGTTTGTCACTGTCACACCAAAGGGGGAGTGAGCTTCAGTGGAGAGCTCTTTCTGCCACTACCCAAATGCTACATCAGCCCAGGCTTAGCTCCTAGCCCCCAGTCGTAGGTAACAAATAGCCCCTTGCAAATGGGTTGATCACTTGCTGACCTTACTGATTCAAGTGCAGTAGGGGCCTGTGGGGAACTTTTAGTTCCAGGAAGCAAATGATTGATATGTTTGTAAACTCATCCCTGAAACCCATTCGTCTGGAAGTAAGAAATTATGAAAAAGTGCAAAGCCAAGAAGGAGGAAGAAAGGGAGTGGACAGGTAGAACAAGCCTAACTGGATCCCAGCCTGGAAGACTCTCCAGGGCTGAGATCAGAACATCTCAGCAGGCACCACAAAAGAGACCTCACACCTCCAGATACCCCTGTCCCTATAAATTCTTTCCATGTATTATGACAGCCAATTTGATTCCACCTATTTTTGAGAATCTTCATGGCCCATAAACACTTTGTGAAAAAAAGACTAAGATGAAGTCCAGAACTCTGAGGAACTCCTCATCCAAAATGGAGGGAAAGGTTCCCCCATACTACATGAAATTTTGCATTTTTTCTAATTTGGCAACTATGTATTTGACAAAACATATGATGCAGCTTTGCAGCAATTGCGGTCCTGGTTATAAACCCAGGAGAAATCAGTGTGTATGACATGCAAAAGAATGTTCATAGAAACAATATATGTTATAACTCAAAACTGAAAATAACCCAGCTTTCTATCAATAGTACAAAGATAAATAAATTGTGGTACATTCAGACAATAGACTGCAATATAGCAATGAAAACAAAACTATCAGGACATGCACAAAATGGATAGATCTCACACATAATGTTGAGCAAAAAGAAGCTAGACAGGAGAGTACGTGTCTACAATTTCATTTATAGAAAGCTCCAGAACAACCAAAATTAATCTCAGATGGGAAAAATCCAAACAATTTTTGCCTTTTGGGAATGACTAGAACAAGAGAGGCTTCTGAGTGTTCTTATCTCTTTCTTGATTTGGGTGTTTGTAACATGGAAATTTTCATCTCTAAAAAAGTTATCCAGCTAAATATTTTGTGTGTGATATGGTTTGGCTCTGTGTCCCCCCCAAATCTCATCTTGAATTGTACCCCCATGTGTCAAGGGAGGGACCTGTAATCCCCACGTGTCAAGGGAGAGAAGTGACTGGATTATGGGGGCGGTTTCCCACATGCTGTTCTTGTAATAGTGAGTGAGTTCTTACAAGATCTCATGGTTTTATAAATGGTAGTTTTTCATGTGCTCTCACACACGCTCTATCTCACCTGCCACCATGTAAAACGTGCCTGCTTCCCCTTCCACCATGATTGTAAGTTTCCTGAGGACTCCCTGGCCATGCAGAACTGTGAGTCAATTAAACCTCTTTCCTTTATAAATTACTCAGTTTGGGGTAGTATCTTTATAGCAGTGTGAGAACTAATACAGTATATTGGTACTGCAGAGAGTAGGGTACTGCTATAAAGATACCTGAAAACTGAAAGTGACCTTGGAACTGGGTAATAGGCAGAGGTTGGAACTGTTTGGAGGGCTCAGGAGAAGACAGGACAATGTAGGAAAGTTTGAAACTTCCTAGAGACTTGTTGAATGGGTTAAACCAAAATGCTGATAGGGATATGGGCAATGAAGTTCCAGCTGTGGTGGTCTCAGATGGAGGTGAGGAACTTCTTGGGAACTGGAGTAAAGGTGACTCTTGCTATGCTTTAGCAAAGAGACTGGCAGCATTTTGTCCCTGCTCTAGAGATCTGTGGAACTTTGAACTTGAGAGAAATTATCTGAAATTGGAACTTATGTTTAAAAGAAAAGCAGACCATTCAAGTTTGGAAAATTTGCAGCCTGATGATGCAATAGAAAAGAAAAATCCATTTTCTGGGGAGAAATTCAAGCCTTCTGCAGAAATTTGCATAAATAACAAGGAGCCACATGTTAATCACCAAGACAATGGGGAAAATGTTTCCAGGGTATGTCAGAGATTTTGGCAGCAGCTGCTCCCACAGGCCCAGAGGCCTAGGAGTCAAAAATGGTTTCACGGGCCAGCTGGCTCCTGTGTGCAGTCTTAGGACTTAGTACCCTGTGTCCAGCTATGGCTAAAAGTGGCCAAGGTACAGCTCGGGCCGTTGCTTCAGAGGGTGCAAGCCCCAAGCCTTGGTGGCTTCCATGTGGTATTGGGCCTGTGAGTACACAGAAGTCAAGAACTGAGGTTTGGGAACCTCCACCCAGATTTCAGAGGATGTAAGGAAATGCCTGAATGTACAGGCAGAAGTTTGCTGCTTGGGTGGAGCCCTCATGGAGAACCTCTGCTAAGGCAATGCAGATGGGAAATGTGGAGCTGGAGCCCCCACACAGAGTCCCTACTAGGATACTGCCTAGTAGAACTGTGAGAAGAGGGCCACTGTCCTCTAGACCCCAGAATGAGAGCCAATGATAGCTTGCATTGTGTGCCTGGAACAAAGCCACAGACACTCAAGGCCAGCCAGTGAAAGTAGCCAGGAGGGGAGCTGTACCCTACAAAGCCACAGGAGTAGAGCTGCCCAAGACTGTGGGAGCCCACCTCTTGCATCAGTGAGACCTGAATGTGAGATATGGAGTCAAAGGAGATTATTTTGGAGCTTTAAGACTTAATAACTGCCCTGCTGGGTTTTGGACTTGCATGGGGCCTTTATCCCCTTTGTTTTGGCCAATTTCTCCCATTTGGAATGGGAGCATTTACGCAATGCCTGCATCTCCATTATATCTTGGAAGTAACTAACTTGCTTTTGGTTTTGCAGGCTCTTAGGCAGAAGGGACTTCACTTGTCTCAGAAGAGACTTTGGACTTGGGCTTTTAAGTTAATGCTGAAATGAGTTAGGACTTTGGGAATTTGTTGGGAAGGCATGATTGGTTTTGAGATGTATAAAAGACATGAGATTTGGGAAGGGCCGGGGCGAAATAATATGGTTAGGCTCTGTGTCCCCACCCAAATCTCATCTTGAATTTCAATCCACGTGTGTCAAGGGAGGAATCTGTAATCTCCATGTGTTGAGGGAGGGAAGTGATTGGATTATGGGCGTGGTTCCCACATTCTGTTCTCATGGTAGTGAGTGAATTCTCACAGGATCTGATGGTTTTATAAATGGTAGTTGTTCCTGCAGTCACACACATTCTCTCTCACCTGCTGCCATGTAAGATGTGCCTGCTTCCCTTTCTGCCATGATTGTAAGTTTCCTGAGGCCTCCCAATCCATGAGAAACTGTGAATCAATTAAACCTCTTTCCTTTATAAATTACCCAGTTTCAGGTAGTATCTTTATAGCAGTTTCAGAACAGACTAATATAGTGTGCTTTACATATATTGTATTTTAATAAGATATACATATATATAGTATATCCATTTTTCTACCTATGTGTATCTATATATGTGTGTGTATGCATGTCTTTATAATTGTGTGAGCCAACTCATATATATATATATATATATATATATATATATAGAGAGAGAGAGAGAGAGAGAGAGGATATATGTGTATGCCAAGCACTAGGAATTTAACACCTTAAAAATGCACAATTCATGCCCTCATGGAACTTATGAGCTAGTGGAGGGAATAACATTAAGTAAACAGTCACCCAAAAGAATAAAGAATAACAAACCATGGAATGTGCTGTAAGAAGAAAGTGGGAAAGCTAGTAATATGAGTTTGATTTTGACCTAACATCAGAAAAGGCTTTCTTTGAGGAATGACATTTCCTCAGAGTGGGCAGGAGTTAGTTGATGTGATGGTTAATTTTAGGTGTCAGCTTGACTGGGTTAAGGGCTGCCCAGATAGCTGATATAGTGTTATATCTGGGTGTGTTTGTGAGAGTGTTTCTGGAAGAGATTGGCTTTTGAATCAGTGGACTGAATAAGGAACATTTGCCCTCACTAGTGTAGGTGGACATCATCCAATCTGTTGAGAAACTGGATAGAACAAAAAGGCAAAGGAAAGGCAAATTTTAACTCTCCTCTGGATCTGGGACATCTATCTTCTTCTGCCCTTGGACATCAGAGCTTCAGGTTCTCAGGCCTTCAGCCTCAAGGACTTATACCAGCAGTCTCCCCAGTTCTCTGACCTTTGCTCTTAAATGGAGAGTTAGAGCACCAGCTTCCTCTTTTTTTTTTTTTTTTTTTTGAGACAGAGTCTCGCTCTGTCACCCAGGCTGGAGTGTAGTGGTGCGATCTCGGCTCACTGCAAGCTCTGCCTCCTGGGTTCACACCATTCTCCTGCCTCAGCCTCTCAAGTAGCTGGGACCACAGGCGCCTGCCACCATGCCCAGCTAATTTTTTTTGTATTTTTAGTAGAGATGGGGTTTCACCGTGTTAGCCAGGATGGTCTCAATCTCCTGACCTCGTGATCTGCCCGCCTCAGCCTCCCAAAGTGCTGGGATTACAGGCATGAGCCACTGCACCAGGAGCACCAGCTTCTTTAATGCTATAGCCTGCACACAGAAGATCATGGGACTTCTCAGTGTGAGTCCATTTCCATAATAAATCCCCTCTTAAATATCTGTACATCTCTTGGTTCTGTTTTTCTGGAGAACACTGACTCATACAGTCAGTGAACCTTCAGACAGAGAAAGGCAAAGAGCAAAGGTCCTGAGAAGAATGGGCTTGGCCTCAAGAGGGACTGACAGACAGAATGAGGGACAATGGTACACCATGAGGCCAGAAAGGAGGCACAACAGGGAAGAGTCAGACAATGTTATGTATTTGGGGTCTTATTCTGAGGACAGTGGGGAACTTTTAGAGTCTTTTCAGCAGAGAGCAACATAATTCAATCTGCATCTGTTAAAGATATCTGTCACTTGTGTATGGCTACAATTGCAAAAAAGCAAAGCAATACATGCGGAAACCAGCTATGAGTCAACTGCAGTAGCCCAGGCAATGGACTGCAGGGCTGCTGATGGAAAAGGCTTTACAGAGTTCAGTTATTAAAAATGTAATTTAACACCAGTTCTGGTGAGAAAAAAAACCCCACTGCATTAAATGTCAGTAGAAAACAGTAGCAACAAATAAAAACTTCATTGGCTAACAATAGCACTCATTTATTCATATGCTTAAATACACCTTGTTTCATCAATACCGTGTTTAACATTAACCCCTAAAGCATCTTTAAATTCAGAATGTAAAATTATTTTAATCACTTTTGGCCATGGACAGTGATATAGTTTGGATACTGTCCTTACCCAAATCTCATGTTGAAATGTAATTCCCAATGTTGGCAGTGGGGCCTGGTGGGAGGTGACTAGATCATAGGAGCAGGTTTCTCATGAATGGTTTAGTACCATCCCATTGGTACTATCCTCACAATAGTGAGTAAGTTTTCATGAGATCTGGTCATTTAAAAGTGTGTGGCATCTCTCTCTCTCTCTTGCTCATACTCTGGCCATGTGATATGCCTGCTCCCCCTTCACCTTCCACCATGATTGTAAGTTTCCTGAGGCCTCCCCAGAAGCTGAGCAGATGCCAGCACCATGCTTCCTATACAGCCTGCAGAACCAGGAGCCAATTAAACCTTTCTTTATAAATTACTCAGGCTCAGGGATTTATTTATAGCAATATGAGAATGAACTAATATAGACCATCAGACAAAACATTAGGCGTAATATCGAAAGCACTGTGCTGCTTGTCCTGATATCTAACCTTTATTGAGCACTCATCCTTTGCCAAGTATTTCTTAGTGTTTACCTGTACTGACTCATTTAATCCTCATGAAACCTCCATTAGGTAGATGCTATTATTATCCCCATGTACACATGAGGACGTTAAGGTAGAGAGGGGTGCCCAAGATTCCCAAGCAATTGAGCATCAAAGCAAAGGTTTAAACCCACGCAGCATGGTGCTAAATCTGCATTTGAACAAATAGGCTATAGTTCTTCTCAGGATCAAATAATTGATTTTGACTCTTTTGGAACCTTTTGCCTAACAGCGTTATTTCCAGGCATGTCAAAGAACGCTGGAGTTCATTTGAATTTTCGACTTGGTTAAATTCATTGTTCTGTTTTCCCTTTATTGAAATATACATTCCTGGAAGTTAAATAGCTTCTCTTAAAAGTCAGCCAGAAGCTTTTGACATTTAGATGTTGGGTGCTTGATGTCCTTCATGATACAGGAATCGGTCACATCAGCTACTGTTGGCTTCAAAAAGTCTATGCTGTATTCCAAAATAAATTGACAATTTCAACTGCATTGATGGTATTTCCTTCAGGATGGAAAACCAATGAATTCAAGTTCTTATTTCAGTGCTAAATCCTAGTGTAACTTTTTTAAAGAAGTGTTATGTAGGGGCAGCAATAAGTTATAATCAACCCTGTAAGGTGCTACCAAATCAAATAAATCAACTGAAATGGCCATCAGATGCAGAGAGGAAGGTCGCACATGTGCTGGCCATGACAACTTTGCTGCAGTTGACTCTGGTGCTAGGCAGCTGATGAGTTTCTTTTGACATCTATTGTAAGATGCAGCCCTTTTTTAAAAACACAAAAGTAAGAAAACTGACTTCCAGATTTGGAATGTATGATATTTATGAACTATAAATAACATATCTCTTCTATTTAGGCAAGAGGTCAATCTCCTGCATGGCGGGAGTCTACCCCTTCACTCGACTAGTCTGGCTGTCCTGCATCCCATACTAAATCTCCAAAGAGTTTCCCCTGCCAACAGTTTTAGCCCTCCTTGTTCTTCTAGCCCAATGACATCAACTACAATGATAAATGTAGTCTAAATACCTTTTGAATATTGTGTGTGTGGCCTCTGGTATCAGGCAGCTTTGTCTCATATTTTATTATGGTCATCAATTAGCTCTGTGAATATGAGCAGGTTACTATGAATTCAGTTTCTCATCTAAAGAATGAAGATAGTAGTACCTACCTCCTGGGTTCTTAGAAGGATAAATGAAACAATACATATAAATAATTTAACAGAGAATCTGGTACCTCATGACTTATCAATGGATGTTTAGCTGCTACTTACTATTAATATGATCATCATGGTAGCAGATGTCTTATCTCTTGTCAACCAAGACTCTTAGTCAATGGGTTAATTCAAAAATTCAGTTCAAGTGAGAAGTTAATAAAAAAGATATATTCAGATATCTACTACCTATATTGAGTAACTTACAGCAGACCAATGTTTATGCCAAGAAAAAAGCAGAAAAGCCGACTAAAATACAAAAATATGTCTATTTGAAGGCATCAGAGAGTTGCTAAAGCATCCAATACTTGAGAAGTCAAGATCCTGGAGAGAAGAGAACCACAGAGGTGAGCCATTTTCCTCTAGTGGCATTTTCAAAGAATCCAGACAGAGGACAACTGTTAAGAGCCAAGATGTCAGCAAAAACTGCAATGATCTTGGAGAGTTGGGGACATAAAAATTATAGTTCAGAGCTTTCAGGGCAGCCAGGAATTGAGGGACCAAGATTCTTGAGAGAAGAGAGGCATAGAGGACTGAGCCCAACCCTCTTTTTCCCTCAGAGCAGAAGGATAAGAGACCAAGCAGAAATGTGCTGAAAACTCTCACCTTGGAATTCCTTGTCTAGTGACTGTTTAGGGTTCCAATGCTGCAGCTGAATAAACAAGTTTTTTTGTTTGATTGTTTGTTTGTTTGTTTGCATTTAAAATTTATCTTTAAAAAGACTAAAGAGTAGAAAAGTGCCAGAGTTCACATTTTTAACCACTGGGCCAGAGAGGACCTGGACACTATGCTTTGATCTTGACTTCTTTACCACCTTTTGGCTTAACCATGTATTTTTAGGAACATCAAAGAATCCTAGAGTTTTTCCTGAAAATTTAGAAGAAATGGAGAAATTCCTTTAAAAAAGAAAAGAAAAGGAGAAAAGAGAAGAAGCAAAACTTTGAAAAACTGGCACAGGATTTTTAAAAAAAGAAAAAGTCCTCTAATTTAAAAATTGAATTTGTAATTAAATGCCTCCACAAAGAAATCTTCAGGTCCAGATGGCTTCCCAGGTGAAATCCTCTAAATATTTAAAGATGAAATAGCACTAAGCTTAAACAATTTCCTCTAAATAAAAGTAAAAAAAATACTGCAAACTTCCCAATTTATCTATAATGTCCAGCATTGCTTTGAAAACAAAGCCTGATGAGAACATAAGAATTGAAAATTATTAGTCATGTCTCTCATAAACCTATATGAAAACATTATAACCAAATATTATCTAACCATATATAAAAAGAATAATATATGACAACCAAGTTGGGTTTTTTCCAATAATGCAGAATTGCATTTTACATTCAAAATTAATCAATCAATATAATTCACCTCATTAATACAATATGGGAGCAAAATCATAAGATCAGTTCAGTAAGTTCAAAAGCATTTATAAAGCCAACATCCATTCATGATTTTTAAAAATAATAGCAAAGTAGGCCTAGAATAGAAGTTTTAAAATCTGTAAGAGTATATATATATATTTAAAAACTATAGAAAACATTAATATTTAATAATGGAATCTTGATAGCTTTTCATCTGAGATCAGAAATGAGACAAAAGTATCTACTAACAGTACTTTAGTCAAAATTGCACTGGTCATAACCAGTGTAATAAGAAAAGAAAAAATAAAAAGGTAGATAGATTGAAAAAGAGGAAAAAAAGAACATAGAAAAGCCAAAAGATTCTACAGACAAATAATTAAATTAAGAAGGGAAGCTGCCAGGCACGGTGGCTCACGCCTGTAATCTCAGCACTTTGGGAGGCTGAGGCGGGCAGATCACAAGGTCAGGAGTTCGAGACCAGCGTGTCCAAAACGGTGAAACCCCGTCTCTACTAAAAATACACAAATTAGCCGTGCGTAGTGGCTGCACCTGTAATCCCAGCTACTCAGGAGGCTGAGGCAGGAGAATCGCTTGAACCCAGGAAGTGGAGATTTCAGTGAGCTGAGATCACACAACTGCACTCCAGCCTGGGTGACAAAAAAAAAAAAAAAAAAAAAAAAGAAGGGAAGCTAACATCAATATATTTTTAAATAATATTTTAAATACACTGTCAATAAACAATTACAAGTGAAAAATGTAAAGCTACCTCAAAAAATAACATTAAAATGTCAATACTTAAAATGAAAACAAAATATAAATAAGACTTTTATCCTAAAAACTGAAAAGCATTCTTCGGATAAATTTTAAAACGCCTGAATAAGTGGAGGAATTTGCTATATTTTCATGGAGAAGAAGACTTGATCATTTAAAGGTGTCAGTTCTCCCAAAATTGATCTATAAATTCAACGAAATCTCAATAAAATTCCTAGTAGGTAGGGTGTGTGTATGTGTGTGTGTGTGCCAGAGAAAATTCACCTGTTTTAACATTTATATAAAAATGAGAAGTGCCAAGGATGCCCAAAATAATATTGAAGAACTTTAAAAACTGAGAATTTATACTACCAGATATTAAAACTTTTATAAAACTACAGTAATTAAAATAGTGTAGTATTGGTGAAAGGATAGACAAATAGACCTACAGAACTGAACAGAGTTCAGAAACAAAGATGAAAACGCCTGCAGTGAAGATGGGATGGTCTTTTCAATAAACGGGAGCAGTCAGTTGGATATGGAAAAAAAAACCTCATCTTAACCCCTCCCTACACTACACACAATAATCAATTCCAGGTGTATTTTATTATCTAAACATAAAACAATACAACTTTTAGAAGATAACATAGGAAAACATTCTAATAATTATTAACAGAATCATAAAAGGAAAAAGTGACTAATTGTACCGTGATAATATGAAGAATGTCCTTTTCAAAGACACTAGTATTAGAATGAAAAGACAAGCCACAGGGTGGAAGAAGATATTTATAATGCATATATTTAATGAAGGAACTAAAATCCAGAATACATAAAAAAGGAAATAATGTCTGAATTAATAAGTAAACAATATAGACATTCCAGTAAAAAAAATAGGCAAATGACTTGAATAAACACCTTGCTAAAAGAAATATAAAAATGCCCAATAAACATTTGGAAAGGTGACACTCTTCATGGAAAATGCAAATGAAAGCCACAATGAGACACCACGCACTGAGATCTTGATTTCTAAATCCTATTCTCCAATAAAAGAAATCAGGGCTTCTTAAAGAAATGGGTGAGGCTGGGGCAGGGAAAATGTAATATAAACCTGGAGTATCTTGTAGTACCAGAAAGTAAGAAAGTACTTTAAAAGCAAAAGGATTGTGGGGATGGCACATTAAAGGAACATAGGAGTCACCCTGAAAGAGCTCCCAATTGCCAGAGATGAAAAAATGTGAGCAACAAATAAATAATGTAGTATTAGATTACAACCCAAAGATTATAATTAACTCATGTTAATTAACATTAATTAACATGAGTTCTTACGGATATGAACGAATGAGATTAAACAAATCTTCCTTGCAGAAAAAATCTAAATAATATACCTAGATATTCCACCTTCCAAAAGGTAGAACTTAAGTCTCCCTCTCCTCCCAACTTGAGGTGGGCTAGGCATAGTGATTCACTGCCAAAATATAGGATTGAGAAAAGGAGAAATAGTGACTTCACAGTGGAGAAATCTGGGGAGAACATTACCTTCATCAAGTGATGAGAGTTAACATCATCAATGATCCCATGTGGCTGTCATGTACTCTTTAATTTTGGTGTAATGAGAAAAACACTTTACCTCTGTAACATTATTTCCAAAAACTCTTACTTCCATTCTGGCCATAAGAAAAACATCAAACAGACCCAGAATGGGGGACTTGCTATAGGAGGGCTTGCCAGTATCACTCAAGACTATCAAGGTCATAAAAAACAAAGGAAAGACTGAGATACTATCACAGACCAGAAGACACTAGGGAGGCATGACAACCGAATGCAATGTGGTACCCTGGAAGAAGGGTTGCTATAACAGAAAGAGGATAAAACTGGAAAAAACTGATGAAATCTAAATAAAATCTGGAGTTTACTTAATAGCAACCTACCAATATCAGTTTCTTCACTTTGACAAAGATGCTACAGTAATGGAAGATGTTCACAAATGGGGAAAATTGAGTGAGGGCTATACAGGAACTCTTCGCATTGTCTTTGCAACTTTCCTGTAAATCTAAAATTATCCTATAATAAAAGATTTATTAAAAGCAAACAAAAATATTAGATATCACTTTACCCCCACAAGAACAGCTATAATTAGAAACAATAACATAGACAATATCAAGTGTTGGCAAGAATGCGGAAGCCATTAGAACTTTCTTACTCCACAAACAGAAGCAGAATGGACACAACCACTTTGAAAAACTCTTCCTCAGTATCTATTAAACCTGAATATATGTACAACTTAGGACCTGGCAATTTTTCTCTTAGATATATACTCAAAAGAAATGCCTGCGTGTGTTCATCAAAAGATCTGTATAAAAGTGTCTATAGTAGCACTATTCATAATAGCTAGTCACTAGGAACAACATATATATTCTTCAGGGTAGACTGAATAGATAAACTGGGGGTATTCAACACTTCCAGAGCACCATTCAAATTCAGATGGTGGACAGCTGTCCAGGTGTTGTCTTACTAAAGGTCACTCACATCTCTATTTGACTATCATTTACTGAGTGCTTACTGTGTACCAACACATAGCTCAAAGAATACTATACAACGAGGTTGAGCAAATTATTTCAACACTAAACAACATGGAGGGCTTTTACAAACATAATGCCAAGCAAAACAAGTTAAGCTCCAAGCAAAAAAAAAAAAAAAAATTCTGATTTATTTAATAGGTGAATAGGTGAAATTCATTAATGCTGATAAAAGTCAGAGTAGTGGCTACATTTGAGATGGGAGTGTGTAATGCTTGGAATAAGGCATGAGGAAAGATTTGGGGGTGCTGGCAAAGTTCTGGTCCTTGATCTGGTTGCTGGTTATGCTGGGTGTTCACTTTACAAAAACATATCCCACTATAATCTTAGATCTGTGAGCTTTTTTCAATGTATGTTATACTTCAATAAAAACTTTACTTAAAGCTAAAAAATGATACGTACATACTCCAAACCTGTTTAATTTTAACTTAAAACATATAAATGCACATTCATTCACCACTCTTTTGATGTGGAGCCAAGGCTTTTCTTTGAGAATGGGTCTGCTGACTGCAGCTCCTTGTCATCTTTCTTACATACACCACACCCTTTAATGCATCATCTACAATTTCCAGCATCAGTTTCTTTGAAGTTGAGAGAGACCTTAAAGACCCTTGTAAAGCAATCTGAGTAAAGAATCTTGCTAGAATTTTATGATTTTCCCGATCCTTTCATTGTCTCATCCACACCCAATTCCATAGTAAGTTTTAGCAGTTCTTAGTCTGCCTTTACAAAGCTTTCAACTCAGCATTGATAGAAACAGTTCCCTTTTTTTGGCACAATTTATTTTATTTTGGGGTTAATACTGGATTAAGTAATTAATAACTAAGAATGACATAAATGGGCTTGGAACCAAACACAAATGCTCCTTAATGGACATGCAATTCTGCTGACAGGACCAGACATATATAGGTTTGCTAGATACTAACCCTCATTTGCAGATACTCCCCATAATGCGAGCATGCATTCATCAATGAGCTTTGCAGAGGAAATAAGCTTCACTTCATCCCCTATGTGTGTCAAGTGGACATCTCATGTATGTCTCTAAACTCCCAGCTGCTATCACTGGTCATTCCTGGATCATCTTTTACCTGGGCCACCATGGAGGCCCCTTAATGACTTTCCACATAGGAATTTTTTTTTCTAAAGTAAAACTCATGCACCTGTTTCCTGCTTAAAATTATTTACATGTAGAATGCCTGGCATACTGTGAGTGCTCAATAAATATACACTAAATGAGCAAGTGGCTAAACGATTGGACAGAGGAGTCTTCAGTTCCTCCAGGACAAAGTTCCAGCTCTTAGGTCTGTCCCACGAGGCTCTTTACCATCAGGTCCTGCTCGCCTTTCCAGTCATCTCATCTCCTATCCCCTCAGTGTATCCTGTGCTGCAGCTCCACTAAGCCCATTGCACCTGCCGGCCCACAGACCATCGCCCATGCTGCTTCTCTGCTTGAAGTGCCCTTTTTCCATCGCCTTCCCTACATAACACCCAACTATTCCCTCCTCTTTGATTGCTGGCCCTGCCACATTCCAGTGGAGCTTATCCATAGTTCTGATCTCCTGCTTTACAAACCCCGTTATTATAATTCCTTGTCATATGCCTGTCGCTCCCATAGACAGTTCAACAGAGAGACTTAAGGGCTAAGATTCAGCCCCTTTATTTGGCTTCACAATCTCGATGTCTAACTCGACCTTGGCATACAGTTGGTGCTCAACACAGGCGTGAAGGCAGAAGCCTGCTGGCCAGAGTTCAAATCCTGGCTCGGCCACTTGATAGCTGTGAAGCCTTAGGCAGATTCTTTCTCCAACACTCAGTTTCCTGTAAAACAGGAGCAATGCTGCTCACTTCACAGTGCTACTGTGAAGACTAAGTGAGATCCCTGATGTAAAGAGCCTGGCACACAAAAAGCACTCAATCAACAGAATCTAAAAGCACGTGGGAGTGTTCACTCTCAGGGTCTAGACAACTGTTCACCTGTGTCCACCCAGTTCAAATGGAAGTCTGGGTGTGATGAGAACCCCAGTATCTGCACATAGCAGATACTTAATATGTATTTGCGAATGAATGGGTGATGTTCCCTGTCCTCCCTGTCCTTTGTCTCACTCTCCTCTCTGCCCTTAGCACCATATTCTCCATATCCAGCCCCATCTCTGTGGGTAATTTGAAATTAAAATCCCAAAGTTATTTTTCATAAGCGAGAACAATCACTCTTGAGTCTGCTGGCACAGCATCCTGACAGGGGGCTGGCAATGGCCGGTTCACAGTGAGCCCTGCCAGGGGACTGCGCACATGCTTCTAAGAATAACTCAGTGTCCAAGAATTCCGCCTGTTCTATCGCAAGCTGGGGCCGGCCGGCAGCTGGTTTGCATTAGCGTGGAGGGCGATGGCATTCCACTTTACTACAGTGAGGCTGCTGCCCCTCCCTCCCTCCCTCCCTCCCTCTGTTCCCACTTGGGGCTGTCATTGAGCAGGCAGAATCTTCATTTCGCAGCCTTGAAAGCACCAGGAAAGGGTCTGGTTAGAGGTAAACTGAAGAGCAGATGATGTTTGCCTTCTGGGTCCTTTGTCTCACATCTGGGTCATCACACTTCTATTTGGGCATTGTCCTAAGTCCCCAGTGATCTAAGTAATCCAAGGCCACAGGAATATCCCATCTAAACCTGCCTTTACAAAAGCAGTCTGTGCCTGCAATTAGTCCTGACCATTCATCCATTCATTCATTTCTACACAGAATTATTGACAACTAAACCTAAAGGGGGTTTAGGAAATCACTCAAGGAGGCAATTTGATCTATAGTGGTATTATTCCTCTAGGGAAATTTGGAAATGTCTGAGAGTATTTACTTTGGGGGTGTCAAGAAGAGAAAGAGCACTCCTGGCATTTACTGGGCAAAAACTAAGGATACAAAATATCCTGTCATGCACAGAACATTCCCACATGATAAAAAAAATTGTCCAGGAGAAGTATGTCAATAGTATCTCCCTTGAGAAGCGCAACTGGAGTGGAATGTGTCATCCTGTGTCCACCCATTCCTTTCTTACTCCATACCATATTGGGTATGAGCACTGGCTTCCTCATTCCTGGCTTCTACATATCTTATCATCAAATATTTGAAATAGATTTGTTTTGTGGTAAAGTGAGAAAAAAAGACCACGGCCATGGAGTCAAAAAGACCAGGGCAAATATTACGTTTCTGCAAATCTAGCTATGGAAACTTGACAGAGTTAATGCTTCTTGGAAGCCCACACTCCTCACCTGTACAATAGTACTCATGATATCTGTGTTACATGATGGTTATGAACATGGGCGCCATATTGCACAACTCCTGAAATTGAGTAACATGGTCCAGCAGTAAGAATTAAATAAGAACTTGCATAGCATGCTGGATGCATAGTGGGCATTAAGTATACTGTAGATGTTACATGTAAAGTGCCTTGTACTCTGCCTGGCATGCAACAGAGGCTCTATAAATTTCAATCCCATCCCCTTCTCCATTCTATCTCCTCCCTCCTCCCAAGATGTCATGTAACTCACTAAAGGTCCTCTATAATTCATTGATTAAGGGCTATATGGTTGGTTCCACGCTGGATTGTTGTGAGGGGACAGAAAGGGTACTTATGAAAAAGCCATGGTCCCTACTGTCATAGAACTTAAAAATTGAGGGTTCTAATAAGACCTATATGTATACATGTGTTTGTACAGATGAGTGTAAGATGGATACAAAAATATATTAAACTATAAAGATTTGCAGTCTACCTCCTCTGCATTCTACCTCCCGTTATTCCAAAAGGAAGTATCTCTTGATCATTTGGTTCATTACCAGGTCTTTATCGTGCTTACAGAGAAGGAAGATAAAAGGATGAGAGAAGCCAAATTGCTGTAAATAAGACAGGATAAAACAAGAGCGGGAAAGGAATAGGGAGGAGACATCATAGAAAGTGAGAAAGAATGAAGAAGAAAGAACAAAGAAAGAATGAGAAGTAGCTTTCTGGAGGAGTGGGACCTTGGGACTATAATCAGAGAAGCCCCATTGTGAGCCCCTGAGATATGGTTACAATCAACTAGAACTCCTCAAAGATTCTTCCCAAAGATTTCGCCAAAGTCTGGGTGCAGTCATTATGTCCAGCCTCTTGCTTTTCTTCGCCCATGCTTTCATATTCACACTCTGTCAACCCAGCTATAAAACCCAGCTCATTCTTCAATTCCCTGCAAAAAACCTGCCAGCTCAAGGCTCTTGTGAGAGTGTCAGACTTTCCTTGAGGTGTGGGGGAAGCAGAGAAAAGGAATGACATCAACAAAGCACAAGACAACTTCACAATGAATATCAGACACTCCCCCTTGTAAAGGCCCTTCGCCATGGGGAACTTGCTCTTCAGCTCTCAGAAGCCCCACCTCAGCTGATCTCACTGGTTCTTCCTTCTCCTCCCCACAACTCCTCCTCATCACCTCTCTTCTTTTCTCTTCTCCCCACTACTCCCCCACCAGAGGCAGATAACCAATGATTCTTTTTTCCCTCAGTCGGAGCAACTGAACCATCTCCCTTTGTTCCTCTGAGCCCACCAAAACCCATGCCTTTTGAGTTTTCTTGTACCCTCAATGGACAAATCAAGGTGTGTTTAGTCAAAGCTGTTCCCTCTTTTAAAATAATGAAGTTAGATAATAGACCTTTCACCTCATTTTTCCTATCTGCAACTTAAATAAGTCCAAATTGTTGAGAGAAATAAAACATGATGGAAATTCAGCGTGCTAGTTGGGGAGGATTTCCTAGACAAGGTTGACTTTAGGCCCTTGAAGGATAGATGGGATTTGGACAGAATTTGAGAGGGAACCCAGTGGTATCACAACATAAATAAAAGTGTGGAGGCTGAATTGGCACAGAACCTACAAGGGAGAGTGAAGGTCTTGTTCTAGCTGAAGCCAATGACACACTGGCTAGTAGTAGAGGATAAAAATATGAGAGTTAAGGTAGGATTGTGCATGGAAGATTCTTGAGTGTGCCAGCTAGGAACCTGACCAAAACCTGATCTCACCTTTGGGATAAGCCAAACCATTTTTCAGGTTTTCTTTCTTTCCTTCTTTCTTTCTTCAAGAAAACCATATCAATGATTTTTTAGCTACATGTAAAAGTTAATTTTATGTGTCAACCTGACTGGGTCATGAGGTGCCCCTATAAACATTATTTAAACATTATTATTTAATACTAAATTTTAACATTATTAGTTAAGCGTTATTTCTATGTGCCTGTGACGGTGTTTCAGGAAGAGGTTCATATTTGGATTGGCATATTTGGATTGGCAGAATATACAGTTCATATTTGGATTGGTAAAGCAGATCTGCCCTCCCCAGTGTGGCCGGGCATCATCCAATCTGTAGAAGGCCTGAATAGGACAAAGAGATCAGGGATGAGCAAATTCTCTCTCTCCTTTAACAGGGACATCTATCTTCTCCTGCTTTCTCACACCAAGCTCTTTGGCCTTCAGAGTCCAGGACTTATATCAACACACCCTCCTACCCTCTAAGTTCTCAGGCCTTCAAACTTGGATTGAATTACCCCACTAGTTTTCCTGGATCTCCAGCTTGCAAATATCATACGGTGGAACTTCTCAGCCTTCATAACCATGTGAACCAATTCCCATAATTAATAAAATCAATCAGGTGGAGCCAAGATGGCCGAATAGGAACAGCTCCAGTCTACAGCTCCCAGCATGAGCGACGCAGAAGATGAAAGATTTCTGCATTTCCAACTGAGGTACCGGGTTCATCTCACTGGAGATTGTCAGACAGTGGGTGCAGGACAGTGGATGCAGTGCACCAAGCGTGAGCCAAAGCAGGGCAAGGCATCGCCTCACCCAGGAAGCACAAGGGGTCAGGGAATTCCCTTTCCTAGCCAAGGAAAGGAGTGACAGACATCACCTGGAAAATCAGGCCACTCCCACCCTAACACTGTGCTTTTCTGATGGTCTTAGCAAATGGCACACCAGGAGATTGTATCCTGCACCTGCCTCAGAGCGTCCTGTGCCCACGGAGCCTCGCTCATTGCTAGCACAGCAGTCTGCGATCAAACTGCAAGGCGGCAGTGAGGCTGGGGGAGGGGCGCCCGCCATTGCCGAGGCTTGAGTAGGTAAACAAAGTGGCTGGGAAGCCCAAACTGGGTGGAGCCCACCGCAGCTCAAGGAGGCCTGCCTGCCTCTGTAGACTTCACCTCTGGGGACAGGTCATAGCCAAACAAAAGGCAGCAGAAACCTCTGCAGACTTAAATGTCCCTGTCTGACAGCTTGGAAGACAGTAGTGGTTCTCCAAGCATGCAGCTGGAGATCTGAGAATGGACAGACTGCCTCCTCAAGTGGGTCCCTGACCCCGGAGTAGCCTAACTGGGAGGCACCCCCTAGTAGGGGCAGACTGACACCTCACATGGCCGGGTACTCCTCTGAGACAAAACCTCCAGAGAAACGATCAGGCAGCAACATCTGCTGTTCACCAATATCTGCTGTTCTGCAGCCTCCACTGCTGATACCCAGGCAAACAGGGTCTGGAGTGGACCTCCAGCAAACCCCAACAGACCTGCAGCTGAGGATCCTGACTGTTAGAAGGAAAACTAACAAACAGAAAGGACATCCACACCAAAAACCCATCTGTACGTCACCATCATCAAAGACCAAAGGTAGATAAAACCACAAAGATGGGGAAAAAACATAGCAGAAAAACTGAAAATTCTCAAAATCAGAGCACCTCTCCTCCTCCAAAGGAACGCAGCTCCTCACCAGCAACAGAACAAAGCTGGACGGAGAATGACTTTGACGAGTTGAGAGAAGAAAGCTTCAGATGATCAAACTACTCCGAGCTAAAGGAGGAAGTTCGAACCCATGGCAAAGAAGTTAAAAACCTTGAAAAAAGATGAGACGAATGGATAACGAGAATAACCAATGCAGAGAAGTCCTCAAAGGACCTGATGGAGCTGAAAACCAAGGCACGAGAACTACGTGAAGAATGCAGAAGCCTCAGCAGCCAATTCGACCAACTAGAAGAAAGGGTATCAGTGATGGAAGATCAACTAAATGAAATGAAACGAGGAGAGAAGTTTGGAGAAAAAAGAATAAAAAGAAATGAACAAAGCCTCCAAGAAATATGGGACTATGTGAAAAGACCAAATCTACATCTGACTGGTGTACCTGAAAGTGACGGGGAGAATGGAACCAAGCTGGAAAACACTCTGCAGGATATTATCCAGGAGAACTTCCCCAATCTAGCAAGGCAGGCCAACGTTCAGATTCAGGAAATACAGAGAACACCACAAAGATACTTCTCAAGAAGAGCAACTCTAAGACACATAATTGTCAGATTTACCAAAGTTGAAATGAAGGAAAAACTGTTAAGGGAAGCCAGAGAGAAAGGTTGGGTTACCCACAAAGGGAAGCTCATCAGACTAACAGATGATCTCTTGGCAGAAACTCTACAAGCCAGAAGACAGTGGGGGCCAATATTCAACACTGTTAAAGCAAAGAATTTTCAATCCAGAACTTCATATCCAGCCAAACTAAGCTTCATAAGTGAAGGAGAAATATAATACTTTACAGACAAGCAAATGCTGAGAGATTTTGTCACCACCAGGCCTGCCCTAAAAGAGCTCCTGAAGGAAGTGCTAAACATAGAAAGGAACAACTGGTACCAGCCACTGCAAAAACATGCCAAATTGTAAAGACCATCGAGGCTAGGAAGAAACTGCATCAACTAACGAGCAAAATAACCAGCTAACATCATAATGACAGGATCAAATTCACACATAACAATATTAACCTTAAATGTAAATGGGCTAAATGCTCCAAATAAAAGACACAGACTGGCAAACTGGATAAAAAGTCAAGACCCATCAGTGTGCTGTATTCAAGAAACCCATCTCACATGCAGAGACACACATAGGCTCAAAATAAAGGGATGGAGGAAGATCTACCACGCAAATGGAAAACAGAAAAAGGCAGGGGTTGCAATCCTAGTCTCTGATAAAACAGACTTTAAACCAACAAAGATCAAAAGAGACAAAGAAGGCCATTACATAATGGTAAAGGGATCAATTCAACAAGAAGAGCTAACTATCCTAAATATATAGGCACCCAATACAGGAGCACCCAGATTCATAAAACAAGTCCTTAGAGACCTAGAAAGAGACTTAGACTCCCACACAATAATAATGGGAGACTTTAACACCCCACTGTCAACATTAGACAGATTGAGACAGAAAGTTAACAAGGATATCCAGGAATTGAACTCAGCTCTGCACCAAGCAGACCTAATAGACATCTGCAGAACTCTCCACCCCAAATCAACAGAATATACATTCTTTTCAGCACCACACCACACCTATTCCAAAACTGACCACATAGTTGGAAGTAAAGCACTCCTCAGCAAATGTAAAAGAACAGAAATTATAATAAACTGTCTCTCAGACCACAGTGCAATCAAACTAGAACTCAGGATTAACAGTGCAATCAAACTAGAACTCACTCAAAACCGCTCAACTACATGGAAACTGAACAACCTGCTCCTCAATGACTACTGGGTACATAACGAAATGAAGACAGAAATAAAGATGTTCTTTGAAACCAATGAGAACAAAGACACAACATACCAGAATCTCTGGGACACATTCAAAGCAGTGTGTAGAGGGAAATTTATAGCACCAAATGCCCACAAGAGAAAGCAGGAAAGATCTAAAATTGACACCCTAACATCACAATTAAAAGAACTAGAGAAGCAAGACCAAACACATTCAAAAGCTAGCAGAAGGCAAGAAATACCTAAGATCAGAGCAGAACTGAAGGAAATAGAGACACAAAACACCCTTCAAAAAATCAATGAATCCAGGAGCTGGTTTTTTGAAAAGATCAGCACAATTGATAGACCGCTAGCAAGACTAATAAAGAAGAAAAGAGAGAAGAATCAACTAGATGCAATAAAAAATCATAAAGGGGTATCACCACTGATCCCCCAGAAATACAAACTACCATCAGAGAATACTATAAACACCTCTACGCAAATAAACTAGAAAATCTGGAGGAAATGGATAAATTCCTCAACACATACACCCTCCCAAGACTAAACCAGGAAGAAGTTGAATCTCTGAATAGACCAATAACAGCCTCTGAAATTGAGGCAATAATCAATAGCTTACCAACCAAAAAAAGTCCAGGACCAGATGGATTCACAGCCGAATTCTACCAGAGGTACAAGGAGGAGCTGGTACCATTCCTTCTGAAACTATTCCAATCAATAGAAAAAGAGAGAATCCTCCCTAACTCATTTGATGAGGCCAGCATCATCCTGATACCAAAGCCAGGCAGAGACACAACCAAAAAAGAGAATTTTAGACCAATATCCTTGATGAACATTGATGCAAAAATTCTCAATAAAATACTGGCAAACCGAATCCAGCAGCACACTAAAAGCATGTCCACCATGATCAAGTGGGCTTCATCCCTGGGATGCAAGGCTGGTTCAACATTCACAAATCAATAAATGTAATCCAGCATGTAAACAGAACCAAAGACAAAAACCACATGATTATCTCAATAGATGCAGAAAAGGCCTTTGACAAAATTCAACAACGCCTCATGCTAAAAACTCTCAATAAATTAGGTATTGATGGGACATATCTCAAAATAATAAGAGCTATCTATGACAAACCCACAGCCAATATCATACTGAATGGGCAAAAACTGGAAGCATTCCCTTTGAAAACTGGCACAAGACAGGGATGCCCTCTCTCACCACTCCTATTCAACATAGTGTTGGAAGTTCTGGCCAGGGCAATCAGGCAGGAGAAAGAAATAAAGGGTATTCAATTAGGAAAAGAGGAAGTCAAATTGTCCCTGTTTGCAGATGAAATGATTGTATATCTAGAAAATCCCATCGTCTCAGCCCAAAATCTCCTTAAGCTGATAAGCAACTTCAGAAAAGTCTCAGGACACAAAATCAATGTGCAAAAATCACAGGCATTCTTATACACCAATAACAGACAAAATCATGAGTGAACTCCCATTCACAATTGCTTCAAAGAGAGTAACATACCTAGGAATCCAACTTACTAGGGATGTGAAGGACCTCTTCAAGGAGAACTACAAACCACTGCTCAACGAAATAAAAGAGGATACAAACAAACGGAAGAATATTCCATGCTCATGGGTAGGAAGAATCAATATCGTGAAAATGGCCATACTGCCCAAGGTAATTTATAGATTCAATGCCATCCCCATCAAGCTACCAATGACTTTCTTCACAGAATTGGAAAAAACTACTTTAAAGTTCATATGGAACCAAAAAAGAGCCCGCATCGCCAAGTCAATCCTAAGCCAAAAGAACAAAGCTGGAGGCATCATGCTACCTGACTTCAAACTATACTACAAGGCTACAGTAACCAAAATAGCATGGTACTGGCACCAAAACAGAGATATAGAACAATGGAACAGAACAGAGCCCTCAGAAATAATGCCACAGATCTACAATTATCTGATCTTTGACAAACCTGACAAAAACAAGAAATGGGGAAAGGATTCCCTATTAATAAATGGTGCTGGGAAAACTGGCTAGCCATATGCAGAAAGCTGAAACTGGATCCCTTCCTTACACCTTATACAAAAATTAATTCAAGATGGATTAAAGACTTAAATCTTAGACCTAAAACCATAAAAACCCTAGAAGAACACCTAGGCAATCCCATTCAGGACATAGGCATGGGCAAGGACTTCATGTCTAAAACACCAAAAGCAATGGCAACAAAAGCCAAAATACACAAATGGGATCTAATTAAACTAAAGAGCTTCTGCACAGCAAAAGAAACTACCATCAGAGTGAACAGGCAACCTACAGAATGGGAGAAAATTTTTGCAATCTACTCATCTGACAAAGGGCTAACAGCCAGAATCTGCAATGAACCCAAACAAATTTACAAGAAAAAAACAAACAACCCCATCAAAAAGTGGGCGAAGGATATGAACAGACACTTCTCAAAAGAAGACATTTATGCAGCCAAAAGACACATGAAAAAATGCTCATCATCACTGGCCATCAGAGAAATGCAAATCAAAACCACAATGAGATACCATCTCACACCAGTTAGAGTGGCAATCATTAAAAAGTCAGGAAACAACAGGTGCTGGAGAGGATGTGGAGAAATAGGAACACTTTTACACTGTTGGTAGGACTGTAAACTAGTTCAACCATTGTGGAAGTCAGTGTGGTGATTCCTCAGGAATCTAGAACTAGAAATACCATTTGACCCAGCCATCCCATTACTGGGTATATACCCAAAGGATTATAAATCATGCTGCTATAAAGACACATGCACACATACGTTTATTGCAGCACTATTCACAATAGCAAAGACTTGGAACCAACCCAAATGTCCAACAATGATAGACTGGATTAAGAAAATGTGGCACGTATAAACCATGGAATACTAGGCAGCCATAAAAATGATGAGTTCATGTCCTTTGTAGGGACATGGATGAAACTGGAAACCATCATTCTCAGCAAACTATCACAAGGACAAAAAAACCAAACACTGCCTGTTCTCATTCATGGGTGGGAATTGAACAATGAAAACACATGGACACAGGAAGGAGAACATCACCCAGGCCTGTTGTGGGGTGGGGGGAGGGGGGAGGGATAGCATTAGGAGATATACCTAATGTTAAATGACGAGTTAATGGGTGCAGCACACGAACATGGCACATGTATACTTACGTAACAAACCTGCAAGTTGTGCACATGTACCCTAAAACTTAAAGTATAAGAATAAAAAAAAGAATTACCCATAGTATAATTAGTTTATAAAATTCTTACCAGAATTTTTTCCTCAGTGAAATTACAAGTTAATTAATTTACAAATGTCTTACCAGAGATGGATTCATGAATTCTTCTAAATACACCCGACACAGTTTGCAATCCCCGTCATCTGTGATGTGGCCTCCATACATGATCTCATCAAAGAGATAACGGACATCTTCCCACGGGACCTGTGGAGAAAACCACACAAATATTCACTGCTGGGTGCAGAGTCTGCCTCAGAGTAGCCAACCAGTGGCACGTGCCCCTCTAACACAATGCCCTCCAAGCCTCCGTCAATAGGAGGATTTAAAGGTGGTTCAGAAATTGTCTAAGTTTCTGCAGAGAATTTCTTGGCAGAATTATTTTCAGTGTCTTCTAATATAGTCAGTGAAAATTCACTAACATTGAGCTGTTTATGAAGTTTTTTTCTTTAAGAGATGAGGTCTGGCTTTGTTGCCTAAGCTGGAGTGCAGTAGCACAATTACAGCTCACTGAAACCTTGAACTCTGGGGCCCCAGCAATCCTCTCGCCTCCGCCTCTCAAGCAACTAGAACTACAGGCACAGAGCACTACATCTGGCAAATTTTTAAAAAATTTTGTAGAGACGGGGGTCTCACTATGGTGTCCAGGTTGGTCTCGAATTCCTGGCCTCAAGCCATCCTTCCTCCTTGGCCTCTCAAAGTACTGGGATTTACAGGCTTGAGCTGCCACGCCCAGCCTTACACAGATTTTAAAAGAAACTGAGTCATCCCTAGAACATGTTTGCAGGGAAAGTTTATACATTCAAAATCTCATCTAAAAATTGTGAAAGGATGTTGGTTCACAAGGCCTTTGAAGTATGACGTTTTTATTATCTGCTTTATATCAACTTGTATTATCTGATTCAGGAAAAGAAAGCAACACCCACACAATTTGAATTTGGGGTGTAATTAGAATCCTAGTATTTTCCAAAAGTCCAGGCAAACAAATCCCCTTGCCACAGATGGAGCTGAGGGCTTGACTTATGGCATGACTGGCCTAATGACTGTTCTAAGGGTTGTAACTAATGACTATACCATGCTTTATTCAAGAAAAAAATAAAATAAAATCAATCAATAAGTAAATCTATTGATTCTGTTTCTCTGGAGAACACTAACTAGTACAATATGCAAAAGTAAAGCAAGAACATCTGGAGAAAGTCAGGAATCCGATAGATTAAATACATCTAATTTAGACAAACAAGCTCAATACCTGTTTGGTTATGCTCAGAGCCTCCTAAAGCTATGTCTCTGTGAACACTATTGCCTTTGGGGGTAAAAAAGTTTCTTTTCTGTGAGGATTTCATCGACTACCATAGCTAAACATTTTTTTATTCTTTCAGAGTTGGGTATGTTCCATTTCAAAAGATAGTTTGCAGGAGGATCAGAAATCAAATAGACAGGTGCTTGGAAGGAAATGTTAAAGGTCCCCATCTGTTCCCCTCACAGAGGACGAGACAAGGAAGAGAAGCAGGACTGCGTTTGGTGCATCTCAGCATGGACCTGTTGCTGCTATACCACTGTGCTGTTATTTAAGACTGAAAAACACACATTTTGGGAAATGGATTGCTATATGGACTTATATATTATGTATTAGTGACTTTGTGACTTACGTATTAGTGACCTTGATCTACTGAAGGCTAAAGAGTAAAGTTGTGTGTAGCGACAAGAAGCAGGTCTTCCCTGAAGGGAATGAATATTCGTATTTTTAACTATGCTGGGACGAAGTAGGTGCTGAGATAGGAAATTAAAGCCTTAGCCCGGGATGAGTGAGGCATGACTTACTCCTTCATGTCTCTGAGCCCTGCGCTCACTGGGACCTGGACATAGAGACACAGACACACTAGAGGACGCTTCTGTTGGAGCAGATGAGATGGACAAGAGTAAGAGAGAACCCTTCAGAGAGCCCCAGGAAAGGAACCTCTGAGCCCAATTCTATCTGGTAGTAAGTGTAGGTTTCTCTCATCCTTGTAGTTCTCTCCCAAAATATCCAGTAGAACCCTGTCAAAAAACTCAGCCCAATCTTTGCCATTACTATAGGAAACAGGACGGTCCTGGATTCTATACAGGAAGGAATGGCAGCAGCTTCAAAAAGAGCTTTCCTGTGTCAGCTGAAAGTCAACCAGGGGCAAGCAGCAGCACATGGAAAGAAGACAGCAGCAGTCCTGGAGCCAGCAGAGGCAGGCAGCAACTAGATGGGTGTGTGGAATGGGCAAGGATTCCCACAGGGATGCCCAGACTCACCTGGGGAGGGAAACCTGCAGGAGCTGCAGTCATCGTGGCAGGTATTTCAAAGGAAGGATGACCTCAGACATGGGTGCATTCTGACATTTGGGCTCCTCAGAGAAAAGGAGATGACTGTCATTCACCACCTCAATTTGCAATTTTGAGGTTCATCAAAAAAAGCTTTATTGTTCCCACAGCCTGGCTTCACAGTGCTTAATGTAATATAGCATTGAACTTGAAAAACACATTATTCCTAAAAAATACTGCTAGTATTCCTTTATTTTAATATTTGAAGGCTCCTCATAAAAAGTGTGTGGCTGCTGGAACATGGAAAGCAGTCAATGTATTTTGTCTGAATGGTTTAACAATGAACTGATGAAATGGCTCAGCAGTAGAAATGGGACATAAATTGGTCCAATAAGAGATAATCCTAGAAGTACTGCTGGTGTGATCAAGAAAGAGTCATTCATTTGTGAGAACATAAACCTAGAGCTGCCAGTGACCACCTCAACAGTAAACCCCCACACATCCTAAAAATGAATTCAATGCCAAGGAAGGCAGAGGCAGAGAGAGAAGCAACTTCCTGATAAAATCATGTTAAACACCTGGATCCAGCCATGACTAAAGTCAGTAACCCTGAACTTTTTACCATTAGATGTGTATCATTAGGACTCTTAATTATCAGAACACAGGCGTGCTTGTTGACCTAGGAAAAAATGGTGGTGGCTGTGTTGTACTCTTCTCAAACACTTTTCCTTAAAAGAAAGCAAGAAGAAACATTAGCACAACAATGATTTTCTGAAAGTCTGAGGGAACAACTCAAACCTTGTGGAACAAGTGCAGATTCAACAGGGCTATGGCCCTGTGCCCACAATCTGTCTCACTTCCATCACTGTGTTTTTTCAAAGAATGTGCAGAACTTCAGGATTTCTCCTCATGGCCGAGCATGGCATAAGAAGAAAGAGCACTGAACTCACTGCCAAAGGATCTGGGTCATAGGTCCTACTCTGTCATGGATGAGGACCATGGAACCGTTCATGTGTAGGGCCAGCATCTACCACCCACAGGCCATGTACAGATTCTGTGATGACTGGGTTCTTTTTGGGTTTTTTGTTGTTGTTGTTGTTGTTGTTCTGTTTTGTTTCGTTTTTGAAATGGAGTCTCGCTGTGTCACCAGGCTGGAGTGCAGTGGTGTGATCTCGGCTCACTGCAACCTTCACCTCCCAGGTTCAAACGATTCTCCTGCCTCAGCCTCCTGAGTAGCTGGGACTACAGGTGCATGCCACCACGTCCAGCTAATTTTTGTATTTTTAGTAGACACAGGGTTTCACCATGTTGACCAGGAAGGTCTCAATCTCTTGACCTCGTGATCCACCTGCCTTGGCCTCCCAAAGTGCTGGGATTACAGGCGTGAGCCACCACACCTGGCCTGACTGGGTTCTTGTAACTCATCTTGCTGAAAGTGACCAAAACATAGATGAACTAATTTAAGCCAAAGGGAGGACAAGGACATTTATGGACTCTGTGAATCTTCAGAAGTTTCCAGAAAGTCCAAGTTGCATGTAGCAAATGAGTGGATTTAGTAAGGGAAATGCTTCAGTAATTTCTTAAAAATCTAGAGAGCTTTAGAGAATGAAAGTTCTCTAAGCTATGGTCTTAAACATCAAGAGATGAACAACTCTTCACAAAACAGCATGTCTCATCCACACACACTTTCACTCACCTCTCCCTCCTGTACCCTGGGCTCCATGGTCTCTGCAGCCTGGACTGGGAAGGAGGAGTATAGAGGCCTCTTTGAGCAAAACATAGCCCAGGAGATATGGTCCAACCTCCTTTTGGATAGAAGTTTGAAATACAATGTTGGAGTCAGATTGTCAAGGAAGTTTGCTTTCATCTTACTTGAAATGAGGAATCATTAAGGGCAGACAATATTCATTCAACAATATGTGTTAAGTGCATAGCATGTACAAGGCCCTGTACTAAAGAAAAAAATAATAAATAATGTACAGCCCCTGATCTCAAGAGACAGGCAGTTGAAAAACAAATCTAGAAGCATCTAGAGAATCACTATCCAACAGAAATATAATGTGAACCACAAATGTAACTTTAAATTTTCTAGTAGCCACATTACAAAAAATAAAAAGAGATAGGTGAATTTCACTGAAGAATATATTTTATTTAACCCAATACAGTACATTGAAAATATTATTTTAACATGCAATTACTATAAGAAAAGTATTAATGAGGTATTTTACATCCCTTTTTTCATAATAAGTCTTCAAAATTCAATGTGTATTTGGACTCAATTTGGAGTAGTCCCATTTCAGCTGCTCCATACCCACATTATCATTAGTGGCTATCTGCTGGGCAACATAAACCTCAAAGATGTTTGTGGGAGAATCATTACATGGAGAAGAAGTAAAGTATCTGTCTTTCTGGGCACCCAGTGTCCATTTCAGCTCTTTTTCCTTAAATGTTATCCTGATTTTCCTCTCCTGTGTCATCTGTCCTCCGCTTAACTCATATGCATTTTGGAGGGAGTCGACACCATTTCAGATCCATAGGTCATTATATAGCTATAGACATGGTGAGACAGACAATATAACAGTGGTTGCCTCACCTCCAAGGGGAGAAAGGGAGAATGGAGAAATTGCCAATAGGTATATGGGTATAGGGTTTCTATTTGGGTTAATGAAAATTATCTGGATTTAGATAGTGGTGATGGATGCACACCTCTAAGAATATTCTAAAAACCACTGAAATGTACACTTTTAAAGGCTGAACTTTATAGTATGTGATTTATATCTTAATCAAACGGTTTCTTAAAAAACTCTTGACCTCAGTTCAAGGTCAGGGTTCAAGGCAGAGTTCCTCAAAAAGGTACTCTAAAATCCATCTTAGTAGGGAAAAAATTTTATAATAAACCAATGTACATTTGATTAAAAAAATTCCATGTAAGCTTACAAAGCATTAAAGTTAAAGTATTATAGAAATCCAAAAAATTAGTATATATGCACTCTGGAAGCTTACACCCTAGTTGGGAACACACTGGCAGGAAATAATATAGGTTACTTAGAATTTGCTACGTTTCTACCATATCAAGCCTTTTACCTATATATTATTGTATTTTAAATCTCACAACATCCTCATTTTTGAAAACTAAAAATTTGAAACTCAGAAAGGTTGGTTGAATTTCCAAAGACCATCTTGCTACTAGATAAAACATCTGGAGTTTGAACCAAGGTCTGCCACACCATGTAACCAAATAAACGGTATCAGGTATCATGAGTCTTGGGTGATTCATTTTATGATTTCTCTTACCTGGTTTTGGCCTGCAGCTTCACTGAGCCTTTCCCTGGGATATCTGGGAGACCATAGCAGAGCCCAAACTGTCCTAGTGGGTTGTGTGGTGAGCTTCAGGAAAAACGGCCCAATCCATTCCAGAACATAACGTATCAAACCCTTTCTCCCTGACACATGGGTATACTTGGTCCCCTCTTGTATAAATGGCTTATTTCTTCTTCAATATAATTGTGTGTTCTTGTATACCTACAACCTTTGTGTTTCCAGCAGAGGAATTATGCCTTCAGATTCCGATCCCGTTTCAGATGTGAGTCAAGGGATCCCGGCTGGTGTTCAGCACACTAAACAGTAACCAACATAAATATCCTGGAAGCCAGAATCCTAAGGTTGTCTCCCACTCAGGAGGTTGTGAGGTTTCCGTTGTCAGTGTATGCTTCGCTTTCAAGACAAGGCAAGCTATGTGTGTGCTAAATAGGAATGTTACATGATCCACCACCCCCACTGGTGCTAAAAGGAAAATATGGGTTGAATGTAAGAGGAAAAAAACGGCGCCAGAAAGAAAGAAGAGCCAAACTAAATTTGGCATTTCACCTTTCATTTCCCCCCAAATGCTGCCTATCCACAACCCCAACTCAGTGTCAGATGTTTCAAATGTTTTCATTGTTCCTCCCCCTAACCCCGCTCCAAATCCCAGAAAGAAAGGAGGAGGGGGAAATCAATGCCATACAGATGTGTTTATCCCCTCTTGCCTGGATAAAAGGCTTCTTTCAAGTATTGTGCATATCTTCCAGGCTGAGGCTCTGCGCACTTAGGAATGCCACATGGCAGTTAGGTCAAGGCTGCTTCTCTGCTGTCCTTTTCATGTCAAACCCAAGCTTTTGTTCTCCAATGCTAAGGTTGACAGATGTGTTTTCAGGCAGCCATACGCTGAAAACACATGGCAGACTGAAGCCCCTGGGCTCCTGGACCAAAGCATGGCAATGACACTGGGGAGACAATTCTACAATTTCCCAAGAGAATCCAGAGGCTCCAGGATACCACTGGGGTGGAAATAGGTGAGATAAGGATGATGTAGGCTGGGACCACACTCAGGAGAGAGGGAAGGGAGTAGGAACTTCAGTAAGACCTCATCTCTTCCTAGAATCTGGTCTGTTTGGAGATCCTGGGTCATGATATTAAGTTGTAGCAGAGGCTTGCCACACCTTGTGTTACTCATCTGTGTTTCTCATGCACACATGCAGGTAAACACACCTCTCCCTCCCTTTCTTCTTTCTTCCTTCCATTATTTCTCCATTCTCTTCTTCCTTCTTTTTCCCTCTTTCTTCTTC
Source organism: Homo sapiens (assembly GCF_000001405.40). Lineage (NCBI taxonomy): Eukaryota > Metazoa > Chordata > Mammalia > Primates > Hominidae > Homo > Homo sapiens. The sequence goes on along the minus strand of NC_000012.12, from coordinate 105,506,969 downwards.
CCGTTTTCCTTTTATTCTTTCCTTCCTTTCCTTCTCCCTTCCTTTCTCCCTCTTTCTCTATTTTTCTGCCTTTCTTTCTTTTCTACTTTCTCTCAAATGCTTTTTTCTTTCATCTTTCATTCTCTCCTCTTTTATAATAACTTTCCCATCTTCATCTCTAATCTCTCTCATGTCTCTCTCTTCCCACCTCTCTCTCTCTCTGTCTCTCCCTCTCTCTCTCTGTCTCTCCCTCTCTCTCTCTCTGATTTCCTCATCATGTATAGTAGAGATCTGTTGTTTTCACCTGCCCAGTATCTACTCCACTTTCTTTTAGTAACAGCATACTGATTTTCCTTGGGAAACCAATCTCCTCCTTTCTTAATCCATCTGGTTTGGCTGGTCCTGACATCCCCCTATCCTGGTCAGGACACTCAAAGTTGGCCAATCTGTGTCAATGAAATCCAAGTCCAAAACTTTGGTTGTAACTATTAGAAAAAGGAAAAACGAAAAGCACCTGTCCTTCAGGGATCCTGAGAAAATAGGAATACGTCTGGAGTTGCTGGCAGCCTTTTTGCTGCTTCTATTCTTTCTGTTAATTTTTTTTTCTTAAACCAGTTTTAGTTGCTTACTGTCACTTGCAATTGAAAGCAGCCTGATTATACCATATCTCTCTCCTATTTCTTCTTTTTTTTTCTCCTCTTCTATCTTTCCTTACTATGTCTCCCCTCCCGCTCCCTTCACCCCACCCCTGCCACTGTCTGTCTCTCCTTGTCTCTCCTCTGTCTTTCCTCTTTTTCTCTCTCTCTCTCTCTCTCTCTCCTCTCTTTCTCCTTTTCTCTCTCACACCCACCTCTCTGTCATGTGTTCTTACCAAGTCTCAGAGCCTGAAACACACTGAAGTCTCCGTATCCCTCTGCTTTATTAATTCTGGGTTCAGGCCCTCTTCCGATGGCTTTGCCCAGAGTTCTGGGGCACTGTTTTAGGGGACTAGGACTGCTTTGGCTGCCTGCTGAAGCTTGAGCTACTCACCCATCTTAGCAGCACATCACCTTACATCCCAGGTTAGGTGGAATTTTTACAAGTATCTGAGTTTTCCCAGAAGCTCTCGTTCTTTTCTCTTAGCACAGCTCAATCTCATTTCTCCCTGTTGCCTCAGTGGTGGACAGTATGGTTTCTCTGCCCTCCAAGGATCGACACAGTCTTCCTTAACATAAGGGGCCCAGTCTGACAGAGGCATCAGTGTGGCCTGGGTGCTCTCCCCACTGTATTCCCGCAAGCTCTCTGCCTGTGCTCCAGCCAACTTGCCTGGGTCGGGAACTTGCCAGGTGCCATCTTTGTGATCAGAATTTTCAAGAAATTTTATTAAGAACCTAAGGGAAATTTAATCTAGACTTGCAATGCAGTTGGACTCAGTGGCATGCACCTGTAGTCGCAGCTACTTGGGAGACTGAGGGAGGAGGAATGCTTGAGGCCAGGAGTTCAAGGCCAACCTGGGCAACATAGTGAAACCCTGTCTCTAAAAAAACAAAAAATGAATAAAAGTAGCTGGGCACAGTAGCGCACCTGTAGTCCCAGTACTCAGGAGGTTGAAGTAGGAGGATTGCTTGAGCCCAGGAGTTGGAGAGCAACTTGGCGATATATAACAGGACTTCATCTTAAAAAACATTTTTTTAATTTTTAAAAAAACCTTGCGAATGCTATAGAAAGAACACAGATTGAGGGGGTAAAGCAGTTGTGTCACCTGTGTGGCAGAGCCTTTTGATGGTCTCCTTAGATGCATTTTCCCTTCATTCCTCCATAATAGAACCTCCAAATCTTGATTGGGCACATAGCCACCAGAATAAATACTACATTCCCTGAGTTCCCTCGCTGTTAACTATGGATGTATATAACAAAGTTCTAACCAATAGAATATAAAAGGATATGACTTGTGTCATCCTTAGGTGTGTAAATCCTTATGTACTTATGATATGGCTTGTGTAACTTTCATGATGTATTCTTAAATGCAATGCTTCTTCCAATTTCTTTTCTTTTTCTCTTTCCTGTGAGCTGGACTGAAGTTATGATGGCTGGAGCTAGAGCCGCCACCCTGGACCACAAAGTAGAACTCTTGGATTAAGGAGGACAGGGCAACAAAATGGATAGAGCCTTCGTTCATTGCTGATCATGGGTCCATCATTTCAGCCCTAGGCTACCAATGTTTATATGAAAAAATAAACTTGTACCTTATTTAAACCACTGGTTTTGGCAGGGAAGCAGGGATGTTCTCTCACTCATTTTCCACCAACTCCAAATGGAGGAGATCAGAATCTACGATCACTAAGTCCATTTCTGGTCCGAAACACCAGTGGTTCTAGTTAAAGTCATAGATATGTTTACAGAGTGCAGATTTCTGAGTTTAGCTTCAAATTCAGCAGCATAGGCCGGAATAACTGGCACAGCCGAAGGAAGTGTAGGGCTCTGATTCCTTTTCTCCCCATCACTCTGTGTTTAGTGGCCAGGGGGCGCTAAGGACAGGCAGAGTGGAGCCAAAACAAAAGTAAAACTGGTATCACTTATGGAGTCCTTGCCTTGTGCTGAACTTCATTTAATCTTCACAACAGCCCAGGGAAGCAAGTGCTATTACTATCTCCTTTCATGGTCGAGGAAACCGAGGCTCATAGAGGCATGTCAGGAATTGCCAGGATCCAACCATGGTGTGTCTGACTTCAGAGCCGGCTGTCTCCCAAAACGACATCTCAACATGGGAAATCCAGAGATAAAAACCCACCTAGGTAAGCCAGTGTGTACATGCCTATGTGGAAGGGGGAATGGGTAGAAGCAAGGAGGCCAAAGAAGAAAAACTAGCCCATCACAAATCCTTCTTCCATGCCCAAAGCCAGAGACACCATATGCCCATACACCTTTGCTTGAGTATTATCCAGCTGGTGTAGTGGAAAATGACAGTTCCCTGGAACTGCATGGGAGATCTCAGGACAGGACAAAAACCTGGCCAGTGGGAGATACTGGGGCTGGGAAATGAGTCCCTGCCCCCTGGCACATTGAACAAAGGAGAGACACGCCTGGTTTGTCTATAGAGAGCAACTTGCTTTTTATTCCCTCTTAAAATCAATTCAACTCAACCCCATGCCTGCCAGAAATACATAAGGCATGACCCCACCCTCAAGGAGAACACAATACAATGAATATAGCTGAGATATTCATGCATCCTCAGTAGGGAAGGTTTTATTGTCCTCATCTTACCAACCAGGAAGCTAAAGATCAGAGAGATTGAGTGACTTGCAGAAAACATATGGTGGAGCCAGGATTTGAACTCTGTTCCAAAGGCCCCAAAACCTGTACAACTCCATGCTGAAAATTAGCCTCCTAAATGAGATTAGAGTCCTAATCTCAAAGCCAATGCCTCCTTCTAAGAGCAAAGTCCATTTAAAAAAAAAAAAAAGATCATCATTTCTTCCAGCTCTTGTTTGTAGACATCAGCGTAGAATCACCAACCCTCTTGTCTAGATGGTACCTTGGAGAATATCTAGACCAACAATCAACTTACAGTTGAAAAATATGAGTCCTGGAGTGATCACAACCTTACCAATGATCCCACAGCTCTCTTTGGCAGAGCCACCATCAAACAGAAGGTGCTGACTCCTGTACTGCACCAACCTGCTGCTTCTATACTGGAATGAGCCTACATAAACCCGTGGGTCAGCCTGTGAGTTCCAGAATCAGACAATCTTGGGTTCAAATCTTGGCCTTGCCACATTTGTACCATGTGACATTAGCCTCCCTATATCTCACTTTTCCTTAGGCACACTTGGGCATAATCATAGTAACTGTGATGAGAAGCAAAGAAGGCGATGCACAAAAATGATGTGCTTGGTGCCTGGCACACAGTAATTCCCTGGCAAACGCCACTGCGCAGGCCACTCCCCTCTCAACCAGCACATCCCAAACAAGGGCATCAGAGAAGGATACAATTAAATCAGCACATAAAACATGAGCATTTTCCCTCATCTCAAGCTGACAGATGAATACAGCCTGGAGATTATATATCATGTCTCAGAGAAATAATTCTAAACAAGGAGACACTGAGCCAGAGCACTGGAGCCTCCCACCCCCTTGGTTCACCTTCTTATCTGCTAAGGCATCATTCAGCCTGTGCCTTCACACCTCACCCAGGTGTAACAATCAGGTTCCAGTCTTCTCTCCTAAGTGAGTGTTAGGATTTCCAGAGATGAGTGTGAAAGGCATCTAAGCATCTAAATCCCTGGGAATGGAGAGAGAGTGAAGTCCCTTTCTTTCGCTCCCATTTCCTGCCACTCCCACGGCCTCACCCTCTGCACTCTCCCCCAGCCCTGAGCCTTCTCCAGCAACGAGCTTTTGGGAAGGGGGCGCTGTATGAGGAGGGAGAGACTGTTAAGCCACAAATCAGAAAGCAGCAGGGATGGTGCCTGCATATCTCTTACTCAAGCTTGAGAACAAATCCTAAGCACCCCAACCTCTTACAGATTTGGGAATGCTTGCAATACATATGTCAGCTGGCTAGGAGCTTCTGTTTAAAAAACAGTAAAAACCTGCCCCCATTTTGCCTTTGTCTATAGAACCTGCTGCACTTCCAGAGTGGAAGAACAGGAACATGAAGCAGTGATAGGGTGAAAAGCACAGGTGCTGAAGACAGAGAGGCTTTGGTTCGGCTCCCCCACCACTGGGAAGGTGGCCTTTAGGTAACCTACAGGAATTTTTTTTAAAGACAGCTTTGGTAAGATATAATTCACATACTATACAATTCACCCATTAAAAGTGTACAATCCAATGGTTTTTAGGATATTTGCAGAGTTTCGCAAACATCAATTTTAGAGCATTTTCATCACCTGAGAAAGACACTCCATAACCATTAGCAGTCACTCCCAATTTCTCTCCCTGCCTTAGCTATCCTCTCCCTCCCTCTCCCAGCCCCAGGCAATCACTGACTAACTTTCTGTCTCTATATATTGTCTATTCTGAATATTTTTTCCTCCTGTCTAACTATAAATGTCTCCCTATAAATATATCCCTTGACCAATATCTCCCCATCCACATGGATGGGGAACCTTCCCATACCAGAGGCTTGGATGGTTAGGGAGGGGGTCCCACTCACCACCCAAATACTTGTCCTTCTATGAGAACAGCATTTTTAGATTCCACATATAGTCATGTTGTAGTGTCTTTCTATGCCTGGCTTATTACACTTAACATAATATTCTCCAGGTTCATCCATGTTGTCCCAAATGACAGAATTTTGTTCTTTTTTGTGGCTGAATTGTATTCTATTGTGTATATGTAACACATTTTATTTATCCATTCACCCATTGATGGACATACAGGTTGGTTTGGTCCTGACATCCCCCCATGGTTCCGTGTCTTGGCTATTGTGAATATTGCTGTAATAAACATGGAAGTGCAGATATCACTTCTGCATACTAATTTTATTTCTTTTGGATATATACCCAAATTCACTGGGATCGCTGAATTCATATGGAAGCTCTATTTTTCATTTTTTGAGGAACATCCATACTGTTTTCCATAATGGCTGTACTAATTTACATTCCGACCAACAGTGTGTAAAAGTTCCCTTTCTCCACACCTTCACCAACATATACCTCTTTTTATTATATCTATTCTAACAGTAGTAGGATAAGATTGAGACGTGAAGCCAGCTGGGCTTCTGGGTCAGGTTGGGACTTGGAGAACTTTTCTGTCTAGCTAAAGGATTGTAAACACACAAATCAGCACTCTGTGTCTAGCTAAAGGTTTGTAAACGCACCAGTCAGCACTCTGTAAAAATGGACCAATCAGCACTCTGTAAAATGGACCAATCAGCGCTCTGTAAAATGGACCAATCAGCAGGACGTGGCGGGGCCAAATAAGGGAATAAAAGCTGGCCACCAAAGCCAGCAGTGGCAACACCCTCTGGTCCCCTTCCACCCTGTGGAAGCTTTGTTCTTTCGCTCTTCACAATAAATCTTGCTGCTGCTCACTCTTTGGGCCCGCACTACCTTTATGAGCTGCGAAGGTCTGCAGCTTCACTCCTGAAGTCAGCAAGACCACGAACCCACCCAGAGGAACAAACAACTCCAGATGCGCCACCCTTAAGAGCTGTAACACTCACTGCAAAGGTCTGCGGCTTCATTCCTGAAGTCAAGCGAGACCACAAACCCACGGGAAGGAAGAAACTCCGGACACATCTGAGTATCTGAAGGAACAAACTCCAGACACACCATCTTTAAGAACTGTAATACTCACCACGAGGGTCCGCGGCTTCATTCTTGAAGTCAGCAGGACCAAGAACCTACCAGAAAGAACCAATTCCGGACACAAGATCTCATTGTGGTTTTGATTTGTATTTCCCTGATGATTAGTGATGTTGACCATTTTTTCATATACGGCCATGTATTGCTTAATGGTGGGGATACATTCTGAGAAATCCGTCCTTAGGTAATTTCATCATTATGTGAACATCACAGAGTGTACTTATACAAACCTAGATGGGATAGCCTATCACACACCTAGTAGTCTTGCATGTCTTCTTTTGGAAAATGTCTATTCAAGAATCATTACCTAGGCTATATGGTAGAGCCTACCGTTCTTAGGCTACAAACCTGTACAGCATGTTACTGTACTGAACACTGTAGGCAACTGTAGCACAGTGTTAAGTATTTGTACATCTAAACATACAAAAGATACAGTAAAAATACAGTATAAAAGATTCAAAAATGGTACACCTGTATAGGGCACTTACCATGAATGGAGCTTGCAGAACTGGATGTTGCTCTGGGTGAGTGGGTGAGTGAGTGGTGAGTGAATGTGAAGGCCTAGGACATTACTGAACACTACTGTAGACTTTAAAAGCACTGCACACTTAGGCTATACTAGATTTATTTAAAAATATTTTCTTCCTTCAGTAATAAATTAACGTCAGTTTATTGTAACAGTTTTATTTTATAAACTTTTTAAATTTTTTAACTTTTTGACTCTTGTAATAACACTTTTTTTAACACTTAACTTTAAAGCACACATTGTCCAGCTGTATTAAAATATTTTCTGTATATCTATATGCTTTTATCTTTATTCTATACACTTTTTTCTATTTTTAAAATTTTTTACTTTTCTTAACTTTTTAAACTTTTTTGTTAAACCTAAGACACAAGCACATACATTAGCCTAGGCCTTACAGTGTTGAGATCATCAATATCACTGTCTTTCACCTCCACATCTTGCCTCACTGGAAGGTATTCAGGTCAATAACACCCATGGAGCTGTCATCTCCTGTAATAGCAATGCCTTCTTCTAGAATACCCCCTGAAGGACCTGCCTGGGGCTACTTTACAGTGAACTTTTTTTTAATAAGTAGAGGAAGTACCTGCTAAAATAATGATAAGAAAGTGTAGTACAATAAATACATAAACCAGTGAAAAACTCATTTATATCGAGTATTATGTACTGTGTATAACTGTATTTGCTATGCTTATATGATTAGCAGTGCAGTAGGTTTGTTTACACCAGTATCATCACAAACACATGAGTAATGCATTGCACTATGATGTTACCACAGCTACTGCACTCACTAGGCGATAGGAATTTTTCAGCTCTACAATAACCTTATGGGACCACCATCATATATGGAGTACTGTCACTAACTGAAACACTGTTCTGCAGTGCATGACTACACCTGTTGGCCATTTGTATATCTTGTTATGGGAAATGTTTATTCAAGTCTTTTGTCCCTTAATGGGGTAATGTATTTTCTTGCTATTGAGTTGTTTTAGTTCTTTATATATTAATATTTACTGTTGGTTGATATAGTTTGAAAATATTTTCTCCCATTCTATAGCTTGTCTCTCTGGAAAATGTTTATTCAAGTCTTGTCCATTCTTTAATGGGGTAATATATTTTCTTGCTATTGAGTTGTTTTAGTTTCTTATATATTGATATTAACGTTTGCTGAATGTATAGTTTGAAAATATTTTCTGCCATGCTATAGTATGTCTTTTCACTCTGTTAATTGTTTCCTTTGCTGTGCAGAAGCTTTTTCATGTGATGTTTTTGCTTTTGTTGCCTTTGCTTTTGAGGTTATATCGAAAGAATCATTGCCAAGATCAATGTCATGGAGAGTTTCCCCCATGTTTCTTCTAGTAGTTTCATAGTTTGGAGTCTTACATTTAAGTTTTTAATGCATTTTGAGTTGACTTTTGCATATGGTGCAAGACAAGAGTAACTTCATTCTTCTGGGGCTGGGCACAGTGGTTCACACTTGAAATGAGGAGACCATGAGTTTGATACCAGACTGAGCAACATATAGAAACCTCATCTCTACAAAAAAAAAAAAGTTGTCTTTAGCCAAGTGTGATGGTGTGCACCTGTAGTCTCAGCTACTCCAGAAGCTGAGGTGGGAGGATTGCTTGAGCCCAAGATTTCAAGGTCACAGTGAGCTGTGATTGTACCACTACCCTCCAGCCTGGGCAATAGAGTGAAACTCTGTGTCTAAAAACAAATTATATTTAAAAGAAAATGTTATTCTTCTGCATGTGGATATCTAGTTTTCTCAACACCATTTATTGAAGAAATTGTTCTTTCACCAGGTGTTCTTGGAATCTTTGTCAAAAATCAGTTGACTGTAAGTGTGTAGATTTATTTCTGAGCTCTCTGTTCTGTTTCATTGGTCTATGTGTCTGTTTTTATACCAGTACCATGCTGTTTCGGTTACTATAGTTTTGTAATATATTTTGAAGTTTGGTAGTATGACACCTCCCAGCTTTGCCCATTTTTGTTCAAGATTGCTTTGATAATTGAGGGTCTTTTGTGGATTTCATGCCAATTTTAGGGCTTTTTTTCTATTTCTATGAAGAATACTATTAGCATTTTGATACAGATTTCATTAAATCCATAGTTCGCTTTGGGTAGTATGGACGTTGATCTACCAAACAACAAGCAGGCTTTTTTCTTAAGGAAGATGACTTGTGTAACTGACAGTTTCCTTTTCAAAATGGCTGCTAGAAATTCAAGGGCCCAGTTTGGGGCCCTGGAAATAGGATGTCATTAGCCTGGACTTTTCAGTCTTTTTGCTGGCTCCACATTAATCTATATTCTTGTTTTGTTTTGTTTTTCCATAGTACCATTTTATGTATTTTAGATATACTCCTAAGCTTGTAAATCCTTTCTGAATTGAGGCAATAAAAGTAAATAATACAAAACAATGCCTGCAGAATCGTTTTCCGAATTACCAGTAATGTAGGTGAACTTCTCAATATTATCATTGAGTAATACTAAACAAATAGTAGATGTTATTATTTCTGTGGGTTTTCACAAGCATTATCTGGTTTGTTCTGAGGGAGTTGAGGCCAGATTTAACATGAAGAAACAGAAACTCAGATATGTAAAATAAGGAAGCTGATCCCCAAGCAAATCATCCCAAAGTGACGACTTTCCGATAATTTTTCAATTAAATTTGTGGACAGCATTGACTGTAGTTAAAGGTATAGCTAGTAACAACAAATTACTCTGTTGTTGAGAGTGCTGGTTTTTAAGTGACACAGTGTGAAAACAAAACCATGAACTACATTGTGGAAGTAGGTAAGGTCGGAGTTTATTGCCCCACTAAGTTTATTACTAATCAATGATGCAAATGAACCACCCCACTACCAACAACCTCACTCATTATGAAAATCACCACCACCACCTCCACTAAATCCTTCACCTCTACCACCATCACCATCACCACCACCACCTCACCATCACCGCCACCATCACAACCACTGCCACCATTACAACCACCACCACAACCACCATCACCACTGCCATTGCCACCACTGCCACCATTACAACCACCACCACAACCACCATCACCACTGCCGTCGCCACCACTGCCATCACCACCACAATCATTATCACCACCACCACCACCATCGCCACCACCATGACCACCACCATCACCACCACCACCTCCACCATCACCATTGCCACCACTACCACTACTACCACCTCTATCACTGCCATCATTACCACCCACACTACCACCTCTATCACTGCCACTGCCATCACCACCACAGCATCACCATCACCACCATTACCTGCACTGCCACCTCTACCACTACCATCATTACCGTCACTGTCACCATCACTCTGACCTCACTCACCAACTTATGCTCATGATATTAAAGCTCAGTTATGCTTTTTAAATACAAGCAAAACAGAAAGATGACTTTTGGTAAAGCAGACGAAGAGCCAGGAACTCTTTTAGCATAACATCAGTGTAAGTGATAGAAATACCTGGTAAACGCTCTATGAAAATCTAAAGGCAGGGAAAAGAGGAGAGAAGGTTAAAGAAAAAGACATTTTCATCATCAAAGTCGCCATGAGAAAGGACACCACTAGGGCAAGTGAAAGAAAGGGATCTATACCCATGGGAAGTTGGAGGATGAGCTAAAAAGAGAGGCAGAGTCACTCCCAAATCCCTCAATGCTACATGGACTCTGTGAGTGCTGAAAGATGGGACTCAAATGTTTAAAAAAGGGATCTTTTGTGCATTATTCTGAATTATCTGAGTGTGCTTTGCTGGTTAACAGTGGGTGAATTTAATAATAAACTCTGCCAGATCTACCCTCCATCAATAGGATTGTAGAAATAGGATTATGTTTTGGGGGTCTGTCTAGAGGAAAGAGTTCTTTCGATCTTTTAAGTGAAGCATTTTTCAGAAAAGCAGATTTTTCACACTGCCAAGATGGGATTCCTCTTCCTTGATTGGTTGGGATTGAGTTCCATTATCAAAGAATCCCTTTTCATATTCTTGTTTCTGAAGGGGCAGTGGGAAAAAAAAAAGTAAAACAAAAAACTAAAAAAAAAAAAAAGAAAGAAAAATGAAGGGGCAGTGAAGAAGGGGAAAACCCCCATCATATTGATAGGCCCTCAACTAGCTCCAGCTTCCAACTTCACAGATGCCATACCAGAGGGGCTCAGAAGAGAACAGGGCATTTTTCACTTCAAGGCAAGCTGGGTCGTGGATGAACTATATTATCTTAAATGAGTCACTCAATCTCACTCATATTCTTGAGCATGTATAAAAAGAGGGAGTCAGCCTAAATCATTGGGAAAGCCCTCTCCAGCTTTATTCTTCTTACTGAATGCGTCCTACCTTACACTTTCTATTGACCTGTCTTGCTGTCAGGTTACTTGGGCAAGTCATTTTACCACTCTTGGCTTAGTTTTCTCATTGCAGGTCAGAAGCACATACTGGGTTCCTATCACATGTCAAGTACTAGAGATACAAAGGTTAATGTGGTAGACTGCATTCTTGGTCCCAGTTTGCCCTTTGCCATGTGACTTTACACTTCTTTCCACTTAAGGGGCAGGGTACATTTTCCTGCTCCTTGAACTTGGGTTTGGCCATGCAACTTGCTTTGGCCAGTGGAATACAAGAAAAGTGAGGGAATGCTAGTTCCAAGCCTGGGCCTTTTAGGCCTGTGTGTTTTTCTGTTTTCCCTATAGCAGCTCTGCCATCATTGCAAGAAGAGCATCCCAAGCAAGGTTAGGCTGTTGGTCCAAGGAGAAAGGTCAGAGAAACATGGAGCAGAGCAGGGTCTTCCCACTGAGCCCAGGCTCCATCAGCAGCCCTTGGCCAACACCCAGCTGTTTGAGCTAAAAAGTGCTAACCATTGTATACCTCTGCGGTTGTATGCTTATTTGTTATGCAGCATGATTGTGGCAATAACTAACTGATACAGTGAGTTGTGAAGGAATGATTCATGAATGAAGAAACCAAAGGGCATTTAAACTGAGTCTCAAAAGGCATATAGAAATAAGCCAGATTTGGCAAGGAGAGATTCCAGGCATGGAGAGAACAAAGGCATGGAGATTCAAGAGAGCAAGGCAAGGCTGGGGAGTAACAAGGTGACCCCAAGAAGATCCAAGAATGCCTGTGGAGAAGACAGAACTTGAATGACCTAGTTATTTGAGAGAATTGTAATAGGCCCTTCCAGCTATACAATTCTACTTTCTATGATTCTGCTGGCTTCACTCAGTATGTCAGAACTTGACATGGAGCTTCCTACACTTTCATCATCAAAAGCCTTTAATTCTGTTTAGTTTATCAGAGCAAGATCAAAGCGAGGGGCTGCTGCTTCTCCAAGAGGTCCTACTGACAATCTTTCCAGGTTTTTGCACAGGCATTCCCTGGTCTGTCTCATTTGTCTTTTAGAGTACATCTTCCCCCAGCTTGCAGGTCTCTACCAGTGTTCTTAGCACCTTATCTTTTCCTCATTGTGGCATTTATCTCCCTGTTTTGTAATTGCCAGTTTACTTATTTTCCCCCACTAACGTTCAGCCTCTTAACCATAGGGACTAGTGTCTCATCCACTCTTGTAATGGAAGCCCCTTACACACACAGTGCCTGCACTGGAGCAAGAACTCCATACACATTTGTTGAAATGGTCTGGGTGGGCCTGAAGCTCCCACCGAGAGCAGCCTCTGATGTCGACCTGGGTTCATAGCATTATCTAGCCTGCTCCTTTTTTTTTTTTTTTTTTTGTGATGGAGTCTCGTTCTGTCACCTATGCTGGCATGCAGTGGCATGATCTCGGCTCACTGCAACCTCCACCTCGCAGATTCAAGCGATTCTCCTGCCTCAGCCTCCTGAGTAGCTGGGACTACAGGTGCACGCCACCACACCCAGCTAATTTTTGTATTTTTAGTGGAGATGGGGTTCCACCATGTTGGCCAGGATGGTCTCAATCTCTTGACCTCCTGATCCACCTGCCTCGGCCTCCCAAAGTGCTGGAATTACAGGCGTGAGCCACCGCACCCAGCCTAGCCTGCTCTTTAAATAGACCAAATATTTATTGCCCTTCTTAAATAGTTTTAAAACAATACAACTCAAAATAAAGTTTGACGGTGGTGGCTTCCCATAGGAAAGAAAACAATATTTTTCTAGAGAAATCCACAGATTATTAGTAGCATGAGCCAGGAGTTCATGTAATCTCCGCAAGGACCCTCTGAGATGTTGCTTGCCATTTTGACAGCCAAAAAACAGAGCCTCAGAAGAATCTGAGTAATCACCCAAGTCTCACTGCTAGTAAGTGGCAAAGCTGGGGTGCAACCAAGGCCCAAATCAGAAGCTTCCCATTTATTACTCTTAATGGCAAAACCATAATTACTTTTGCACCAACCTAGTATATGCCTCTGTCTTGGGGCTAATGGCCATGCTCACAGGATACCCTTGCCTGGAGAAGGAAGGCCTCAGTGAGAAAACTTCCTACTTATCTGGCCCTTAAAAACAATTTCGAGACCATCTCCCTCAATAGTTTCATTAAAGAAGGGGAGGAAAGCACATAGCAAATTGAAGAGTGGCAGGGTCTCTAAAAGTCAAATTTCTGCCATTCTTGCTTTGGGGGTTGTGAAATCCCTGGTGACCTATAGCAGATCCCTGCATTCCAGCAAGTGCGTAATGAAAACAGCCTGGTCTCTCTATGTGGGTCTACAAGAGTGCAGAGCTCTCCCCAAAGTCAAGAGTTATGTTATTTCTCAGCCACTCACAGAAAGTCAAATCAGGCTGCCTCCGGAAAAAGTGAGGGGCCACCATGGAGGACGTCCTTCCTTTGAGCCAGATTCCCATCCCGTGAAACTCCATGTGAGATGCCCTTGGGAATCATTCATTGTTTGGAATTTAAACATCTCATACTTTTCCTAGACGTGGAGAAAGTATTTTTTAGGTATGCCAAGAATTAACCAGCAAGGGCATCCATTTAATTGTATTTGAAACAGAAGCTAATGTTGTTAGCGCACCAGCCACGTTTGCCGATAGCATGAGGCAAAGAAGGACAGTCGGGGGAAATTATAAAAATATTTGAGAGGAGAACCTACTTTAAGCAGAAGTACCTGGGGACAAAAGTGCTAAAATGGTCATTGTTATACTGCATTCATCTTTTTGTTAGCAGGCAAGAAACCTCACTTTCTGTCTACATTCACTGTATTGTTGCGACACCTTTGATCTCCCAAATCAGCAAGAATCCCAAAGGGAAGCTAGCAGTGGTTTTGATTATTATCTTTAAAGTCTAAAATTCCTTAGGTGAAATTCAGTATGAAACGCATCCATGCAATGGGGAAGGTGAGTGGCTGTGTCAACATCTGGGTCTTATTAAGGAGCAGCTATTTTCACTAGGCAGTGAACTGGAGAAACCAAATTCCTTGATAAAGCTAGAAATTTCCAGGAACTGCTTGTAAAAGGCATTTCTTCTGTCTGGTTATTTTGTATAACACACAGCACTGTGAGTTCCTGCCCAGCCAAGCCTTGGGGATAAAAGGCATTATCTATTTGTCGAGTTGTCTCTAAAGCTTTAATGCTCTGGTTCACTGTTTGGTTTTGACCTTTGTAGAACACTATGCAATTTACAACACCTTTCCACATACCTCCTGCCTTTTGATCTCCATAGCAGCCCTGAGAAGGGGCAGAGGCAGATGCTGTCCTCATTTTACAGTTGGAGAAACTGAGGCCGAGAGAGATTCTGTGATTTGGGCAAAGCTGGTGAGACAGTGCTTACCTTCAGTGAGCAGGTGAATCATCTGGAGATCTAAGTAAGATGAAGATTCTGATCCAGTCAGTCTGGGGTGGAGCTCAGATCCTGTATTTCTAACAGCTCCCAAGTGAGGCTAAGGCTGTTGGTCCGTGGACCACACTTTAAGTAGCAAAAAGATGAGAGGCAGATTCAGGGCTCAAAATGGAGTCTTGAGTTTCCAAGCTATTATACTAAATCATGTTGCTTATGTAAATATTGAGGTGTAAGTTCTACAGAGCCTAACTCTCTGGGTTTAAAACCTACCACTGGCACCTGTTAGCCTTACGCAGTTGTCCTAATCTCTCTATGCATCCTTTTATCATCTGCAAAAAGGAGGTGGGGACAGGGAAATGGTAACAACATTCCACAGGATTGTTACTGAGAATTAAAGGCAATAATGCATTAAAACAGAACAGCATCTGGCACGTAGTACGAGCTTAGTAAACGTTACCTTTTTTTTATTACTTATTAACCAGGTTATAGTCAAGCCCTAATTGCAGAGTCTCTCTCAGAGCCTCAGTTTGCTAATCTGCAAAATAAGAAAAATAAAAGATAATTCCTAGGTTCCTCAGAAAACCAAGCAATCCCACTTTGGGGTGTATAATCCAAAAGAAAGGAACTTAATATGATAAAGAAATATCTACACTCCCACATTTATTTGGCTATTCACAATAGTCAAAATATGGAAGCAACCTACATGTCCATTATCAATGAATGGATTAAAAAAAAGTAATATGCTGACACAATTGAATTCTATGCAGCCTTTTAAAAGGAGGAAATTCTGTCATTTGTGAAAACACAGATGAACCTGGGGAACATCAGGCTAAGTGAAATAAACCAGACATAGAAAAATGAATACTGCATGATGTCCATCACTTACGTGTAGCATTTTAAAAAGTCAAATTCATAGAAGTATACAGAAGAATGGTGGTTACCAGGAGCTGGGGGACGAGGGCGAATGGAGAAAGGGGATATGTTGGTCAAAAGACACAGAATTTCAGTTAGACAGGAGGAATAAGCTTTCAGGATCTTTTGCACAGAATGGTGATTATAATAAATAATAATGTACTGTATATTTCAAAATTACTAAAATAGTAGATTTTAGATGTTTTCACCAAAAAAAGATATGTGAGGTGATGAAATTGTTAATTAGCTTGATTTAGTCATTTCATAATATAAACATATATCAAAACATCACATCATATCCCATAAATATATAGTACTTATAATTATTTGTCAATTAAAAATAAAATTTACAGGCTGGGCACAGTGGCTCACACCTATAATCCTTTGGGAGGCCAAGGTGGGAGGGTCACTTGAGGTCAGGAGTTTGAGACCAGCCTGGTCAACATGGCAAAACTCCATCTCTACTAAAAATAGAAAAATTAGCAGGGCATGGTGGCAGGTTCCTATAATCCCAGCTACTTGGGAGGCTGAGGCAGGAGAATCACTTGAACCCAGGAGGTGGAGGTTGCACTGAGCTGAGATCACACCACTGCACTCCAGCCTGGGCATCAGAGCAAGACTCCATCTCAAAAAAATAATAATAAAGTAAAATTTATAAAAGTCAGCTCCTAGGAGGTGTTGTGAAGAACAAAAAATATAATGAATATAAAGTTGTTTGTAATGATTCATGCCACATGCACACAAAAATTGTTGTTGTTGAATCTGCTCAGGCTCTTGTAGCCCAGAGTATCTAAGATGCCACTCACAGGGCAGGTTTGTGAGGTCACTGAACTTGCTAATAACTGTACAAAACCTGTTACCCTTTCCCCCACCCAAAGAGCTTCAGTTCCTTGAAGAGTCTTATGCCTCTTTGCAACCATGGTGTTTAGCATAAAACCTGGGGCAGAGGAGGTGCTCACTCAAAGCGTTTTGGTAATAGATTTGAAATAGCTGCCCACTTCCCCAAATCTACACCTGGGACCAAGGGAGGAAGGAGCTTTCATTTGGCCTATCCTGTTGGTGACAAAAATGGCTTTAAATACTTTTAGAGCTAAAGTCCTTTGTATTCTTTCATACCAAGGCTACAGAAACTCCCAATCTAATCTCAGATCCTCCAGACAAAATATGGAAAGGGGACTTTTCCATTGTCCTTTATAGATTCACTCTCCCTCTTTTCCTTCATCAGCGCTTTGAATTAACTCAAGGGAGAAAAAGAATCTGCTGACTTTCTGTTTTCTCCAAATGGAAATCTCAAAAAAAAAAAAAAAAAGAAGGGTAGGAAGAAAGATTGTCAACCAAGTGGAAACACAGTCACCATCAAAATTCTGTAACAAGAAATGCCTCAGCAGATGAGCTCTTTGTAAAATGAAGAGGCCTTCTACACCAAGATATGGATGTTTGAGATCTAGCTTCATATGCATTGCAAATCTGACACTCCTACATATATTTAGGCACAAAACAAGAGATTCCATTATATATAATCCAGTGTTAATCATTTGCCATATCAGAAAGGTAAAGGACAATTCATTCACGCATCCATTCATTTAACAATTATTAATTGAGCACTGTGCTAGCTGAACAATTCAGATTTGTTGCATGAACTCCCAGAAATTATAGTCTGTGGGAGATGTGAACTTATAATTAGGTAATTACAATAGACTGTGTAAGTACAATGATAGAGAAGTGCAGACTGCTACAAAGTTTAACCATTTTAATATAACAATACTAAACATGCACATATTTACTAAAATAATCTCAAATTATATAGATCAAAAATTAATAGAACTATGGGGAGAAAATCAGCAAAACCATCATCTCAATGATTGATTGATCAAGCAAATGAAAAAACAAAAAATGCAGAAAATCCTAACAATCCATTGACAAGCTTGATTTAAAGACATATTTAGAATCCTACTTCCAATAATTAGAAGATGTGTGTCTCAAACACACATAAAACATAAAACATTTACTTTAAAATTGCCATGCAGTACTTAAAGTCTCAATGAATTTTTAAAAATGAGTATCCTATAGTAGATATTTTTTAATTACAATGCAATTAAGTTAGACATCAATAAAAAATTTAAACACACTTGGAATTATAAAAATAAACTTATAAATCACTCATGGGGAAAAGAGAAGCCAAAACGGAAATTCAAAAGTACATAGAACTCAATTGTAACAATAATACTATATATTAATACTCACAGGGTGCAATGAAAATAATACTTCAAAACAGGTTTATACCCTGAAATGTTTATATTAGGAAAGAAGAAAGGCTTAAAATTAATGAGCTGAGCAACCAACTAAAAAAGTTATTAAAAGAATAGAATAATAATACCAACATAATATAAAACAAAAACATAGGGAAAAAGGTCAACAAAGCTGGAAGTTTGTTCTCTGAGAAGACTAAAGACACTGATAAACCAGTAGTGAGCCTGATCAAAAGCAAACAAACAAACATATAAGTAAGAAATATTAGGAATAAAAGAGGAATATAACTATCATACAGACTGAAAATAAGTGAATATTTAATATTAATACATTTAAATTTAATGTTAATAAATTTGACGTATAGATTAAAATATATAAATTCCTAGGAAAGCTAAATAACCAAAACTGACTCAAGGAGAAATCAAAACCCTGTATAATCTTATAACTGTTGAGGGAATTTAATCAGCAATATAAATCCTTCTGAAAAATAGCCAGCCCAAACTATTTCATAGAATACATTTCACAAACTTTCAAGGAACAAACCATTCAAATATTCAAATTCAAATATCTTTTCCAGGTAATTGAAAAGAAAGAACATTCTACAACTTATTTTGTGAGGCTAATATAATACTGACACCAAAAACAGACAAAGAAGGTTTAAAAAAGAAAAATTATACATCAGTCTTACTCATGAACACAGATGTGAAATTTCCAAACCAAATAGTATAATAAAAAAATTTTTTTAACTATAACTTTGTGACCAGGCTGAACTATCCAAGGAAATGCATGGGTAATTTAACATCAGAAACTTTATAAATGTAATTCAACACATAAATAGACTAAAAGAGAAAAAAAATTATATTCTGAATTCCCCAGAAACAAAGGATAAAGTGTGAGTACTTTTCTGAGGCATGAAAGCCAGAGAGCAAGAGTGAGCGGTAAGAAGAAAGGAGAGTCAGAGAGGAAAGAAAACTAACACCAAGACAAATTATCAAGCCGCTGCTGCATGAGTGACGCAAGCCCATGGGACTGCATGAATGGCCACGTAAAATGCATTTCAGCACTGTCTATACAGATAAATGACAAATCCTTTTTCTCAATGAATAAATTTTGGTGAGTGCCAAATGGTTCTCATACTGTTTCCCACTGCGCATCAACAGAGACAGGAAGAGGCATGCAGTGAGACCCAAAGGTTAATTGCTGTCAGGGTGCACCTGTGTGAAACTGATAAGTGCTCACACAAAATTGGTCACTGCATCAGTGGCTGAAATAAGAAAAAAATTAAGGCTGCGCAACTCTGAAGTCATACATGGGAAGTGCCCAAAGCACCATATAATCTTTTCAGTACAAACAGAAAAAGCCTTTGATAAAATTCAACAAATATTCATAATTAAACAACAATCAAAAAAATCTCTTAGCAAACCAGGATAACAACAGAACAAAGTTTCATAACCTCATATAGGATACCTATTAAACCTGTAATAAGCATTATTTTAATATTTGATATTTGTAAAATGTTAGAATTATTACAATTAGAATCAGGAAAAAGACAGATACCATTCTCACTACCTCTTTTTCACACTAAACTGGAAGACATCGTATAATCCTCCAGGAAAAATAAATAAAAGGCATAAGTATTAAAAAGAAAGAAACAAAACTCTGTTAGCTGATGATATGATTGTCTATGTAGAAGACCCCATTGAATCTGCAGACAAATCAGTATAAATGATGAGAGATTTACAAGGTTACTAGATCTTATGTCAATTTTCAAAAACCATTTTCATGTCTACACACTAGCAACAAAGTTAGAAAATTTAAATTTAAAGATATAGTTTACATTTACAGATGAAATAATATCATGTTTGGGATTTTCTTAATCATAATCTTGGGAAGGGTAGGAAGAGAACAGCTGTCTTCTCACATCATGCCACCACCACCACCTCCACATGGTCATCACTACCATCTTTACTAGCATCCTCAGGGCAAATCACTGCCACTTCTACCTGCTCTCACCATGATCACTGCCATTACACCATTACTGCTATCCTATCACAGTCATTGCTACCACTGCCACCATCACACTGTCACCATCATCTGTACCATCTCTAGTACCATCCTTTCTCAAAACATTAATACCACCATTGCCACCCTCACCATCACCATCACCACTGTATTGTTTACTACCATCTTGACTACAATCCTGTTACTGACATCTTGATTACCATTGTATGGCCACCATCACCACTATCAGCAGCAATGCCATCTTCACTACCATCCTCATGGTAAACCATCACCACTGTCACCACCATCATGGCCACCACTATCACCAATCTAAATGTCTCTGTCATCATTATGACATCATGCTGGAATCATTACTACCACAACCATCACCACCATCTCATAGTCCCCATCATTACTACCATCCTTACAAGCAAACCATTACCAGCATGACCAACATCCTCATCATCACCATCATTATTACTTCCATCGTGGTACACTTGGGCTATCACTACCACAACCACCATCAACTAGAGCTAGGTGTCCCTCCACTGTGCTCCCAAAGCCTGTTGCATGCATTGTTCACACTGCTTCATAAAACCTGTGTACATGTTGTCTCTCTCATTGAGTGGTGACCTCTTCAAGAGCAGGGACAAGAACTCATTTTATTACATAGTTCCTACACCAAACACAACACCTGGCACATAGAAAGTACCAAATCAGTATCAGTTGAGTAAAGGAATGAATGAATAAATGAAAGCTACTATAAATAATAATAACTAACAATCACGTAAGGCCTTCACGTAAAGCTCACAATAATCCTATGAAGTGGGTAGTACCACCCTTGTTTTTTTTTCAGACAGGGTCTCACTCTGTCACCCAGGCTGAAGTATAGTGGCTCAATCATAGTTCATAGCAGTCTCAAACTCCCAGGCTCAAGCAATCCTCCTGACTCAGACCCCTAAGTAGCTGGGACCACAGGTGCACACCATCACACACCCAGCTGATTTTAAAAAAATTTTTTATAGAGACGGGGTCTCATTATGTTGCCCAGGCTGGTCTCTAACTTCTGTGCTCAAGCAATCCACCCACCTCAGGATCCCAAAGTGCTGAGATTACAGACGTGAGTCACCCTCCCGGCCTACCCCTATTTAAGGATGAGGAATTTGAAGGTCAGTGACTTGCCCAAGGTCACATAATTAGTAAATGGCTAAGCCAGAACATGAGCCCATTTCATCTGGCTCCAGGGCCATTGTCACTACCTGCTGTATTATAGTTTGCCCCAGCTTTTCCTTATATTTCTAGCTGCAAGGTATAATCATGGAGGGAAAGCATTCATCTCATGGGAACCTCAAAATCCTTGGAATGTGGATTACCTAGAGCCTACTTGTCAGCTTAGCTACCGTGAGTTGGGCTGTGCCTCTGAATATGACTCCCTTGAAAAATATCCCCAATTCTCAGGGAACATTTTCAACTCTGGGTTGAAAGTTGATAGTTTGTGCTTGTTTCTAATGAGCTTCCTGTCTTAGAAGGGGAAAACAAAGGCTATCTAATAAACACAGCTGATTAGCAAGCCTTGAAATATCCCAAACTCCTAAGAGAGGAAAGCCAATTGTGTGTGAGGGTGTGCAAACTCACGCGGGGCAGTATAATTGAAGGAAGCTCTCAAGGAGTTGGTGTATTTCAGAGGAATGTATCATCCGCTGCCACAAAGCTGGGCTCCCTGACCCTGGCCTTGGTTTAGCTCCTGGAAACGCACTGCAACAGGACGGCATGTAACTATCAGTGGTGACACATTCAAAACATCCTCTGCACATTCCAGCACTGCTGGGGGTGGGGAGTGTCTACAAGAAACACCTGATTTATTAAGAAATCCCTACTCCTTTAAGCCAAGATATGCTAGCGAGGCTCCACAATGACTTGGCAGCACCACAACGACCTTGCACACTCACCCAGCTTTGCTTTCTGAGCGGGACTCCCAGAAGAACATGTTCCATGGTGCCCTCCTTGCTCAGAGACTCTACTTCGGCTCAGCTACAGTATGCAAGCCACAGCCAGCAGCATCGTGCTTACTTATTTGCTATTGGGTTAATTGGGTATCATGCATGGTACTATTTTTCTGCATTGTCTTAGCTGATATGACAACCCAATCAACCAGGTTGCCTTTGGATCGTTATTTTATAGACAAGGTAACCAAGTGTATTAGTCTGTTTTCACACTGCTGATAAAGACGTACCCCAGACTGGGAAGAAAAACAGGTTTAATGGACTTACAGGTCCACATGGCTGGGGAGGCCTCACAATCATGACAGAAGGCAAGGAGGAGCAAGTCACGTCTTATGTGGATGGCAGCAGGCAAAGAGAGAGAGCCAAGTGAAAGGGGTTTCTGCTTATAAAACCATCAGATTTCATGAGACTTATTCACTACCATGAGAACAGTATGGGAGAAATCGTCCCCATGATTCAATTATCTCCCACTGGGTCGCTCCACAACACAAGGGAATTATGGGAATTATAATTCAAGATGAGATTTGGGTGGGGACACAGCCAAACCATATCACCAAGGATAGAGAACTAAAGACTCCACCAGGGAGTTGTAGGTCGTCAGTGCTGCAGCCCAAATTTCAACCCAGGCCTTCGGACTCCAGAGACTGTGGTTGCAACCACTGTGCTGCACTGCCTCCCCAAAGACTTAATTAGAGGGCCCTTCAAGGGAAAGCTCCAAGTACATGTGAAAAGGGAACTCTTGCAGGCCTCCATTCTTCTGAACATGCACACGTTAAATGGAAGTGCAAACTTTCCAAGTAACTTCTACGCATTTCGTTTAAGGTTGGTGTGTGTGTGGCAGTTCTCCTTGATGGGTTGTAAATGCCCTCAAGGCAGGAACTGTACATGATATCTTTTGTGTCTCCCATACCTAGCCAAGTGCCTGGCATAGAGCAAGTGGTCTGGAAGTGTGTTTTTAAAGAGGGGAATGAAGATGATGATCCTAATGAAATGATGCTGCTCTCTGAGCCCTGTGGTTGTTTTCAGTCTGGCCTCCCACACTGTCCTGCAGGCAGCCTATACTCCAGCCCCATTGATCACCTCCCCTAGTCCCATAGACACACCCACGCTTTCACATCTCTGTGACTTTGCCTACGATGTGGCCTCCACCTGGAATACTGTTCTCTGCTCTCTCACCTTTCTTTAAAAGCCCATCTCAATGCCACTTTCTCAGGAGACTTCTATGGGTCCCTCCTGCAGCTAGAAATAATCCCTCATTCTGAACTCCCACAGTTCCTGTTAGTTCCTTCCTGTTCTTTCCCTACCCCTTTTCATCTCAGAGGGTTATTGTGATGCTGAACTGAGATCATGTTCAAGGAAGCTCTTTGTAAACCAGGAGGCACTGTCCAAACATGAGGGCTTATGAGGGCCCAGATCTCATCAACTAAAGAATGATATGGTCAACAGTGTCCAATTCTATGCTGCTCAATACAGTACTTCACACACTCAAGGAGCATTTGCTGAAAGCCTGGTGTTTCCCAAGCTGGTCTTGAACTTCCAAGCTCAAGCAATCTTCCTACTTCAGCCTCCCAAAGTGTTGGGATTACAGGCATAAGCTACCATGCTCAGCTCAAAAAACAAAACAAAACAAAACAAAACAAAACACACTTCTTGAATGACAGAATTGCACCACGGAAGAGAAGGAACAGAGTTTGGTGAGCAGGTAGCAAGCACCCCCTTCCCTCTGCCTCTCTCTGCACAGCATCCCCCAAGTATCCCCCAAACTTGCACACACCCACATACATAACACCACTCCCACTAAATAGACCCCAGACACCACAGCCTTCCAAAAACTTCTATTTTTTTCTATCCTTGCACATTCTGCTTCCATGTTCTTCAGCCCCTCCCAACAGCCCCCAAGCTTCGTGACTCTTCTAGCTCCACTAAACTATTTCCCTCTCCAAGTACTAAAATGCTAAGTATTTATTTTAGGATGGAAGAAAATTACAGCCTGTAATTAGCACATTTTTTGAACATATTGCCTAAACCACTGCTGTGTGGTGGAGCCAAGAACAAGCAGTAGTAAAATTAACAAGGTTTATTAAACAGAAGAAACCATTCAGAGCTGAGCTAATGCAACAATCACATGGAAGTCCCTCCTCTCTCCTGGGGCAGCTCTCTCGATCATCCCTTAAAGAGGAATGACACTCTCCTCTGAAAGCCAAACTATGCATGTCACAAACAGGGATCAGGGAAGAGAGCTGGATTTATAACTCAGCTCTAAGATCCATGAGCTGTGTGACCATAAGTTAGTCAAACAACCTCTCTGAGTCTGTTTCCCACCTACAAAATAACGAAAACCTGTCTGATATACCTGATAAGTAACAGGACTACTATCTTCACATCCATGCATTCAGGATCTAATACACTAATACATGCTAAAATGTTTTCTAAACTTGAAGGCCTATATCCTTTTAGGTTATTATTCAACATTTTTCTCTTTCTATCTTCTTTCTCTCTCCCCAACAACTCTCACACACTCCTCTCTCCAAGGCCTTGGTGTAGGACTGTGTCAGCTAAATAGGAGGGGTGACTTTCCCTAATTTGAACAAAGATGTCATATGGGTGAGTGGTCCTAATCTGGGATGCATGGAATGGAAAGCAACAGAATCACAGGGGAGTGCTAACAACATCACCTGGGGCAGATGGGAATGGCTTCTGGCAAAACGCACCATTTGAACGAATTACCTTTTGGAGAAGTCATTTGCCAGGGAGAGAAGGTAGGAAAGGGCCTTCCCATAAAAGGAAAACTCATTGAGGAAACACAGAAATATGAAAACCTACGGCCAGTTTGGGAAATGGCAAGTTGGTCCTTCCGGCTGAAGCCGTAGGAAGGTTGAATAATGCTGAATGCTGGGAATTTATTAGATGTCTAGTCATGCATTTCTTAAATATCTCATCTACTGAGTGTCAGGTCCTGGGTGCTAGGCCCTGAAAAGTTTTTAAAGGATTGTTGAGAGATATTATTCAGAAAGAAAGTAAATGTCCTTCTAATTGTGAATTCCAAGAGTCTTATTTCTCAATGCAACATCCAGCCATGCCCACTGGATCTAGGAATGTAGGTTGTGGCATGATGTCAACAATGAGGCTCCCCCAAACAATATGGGTTTCAGATTTTTCTCTGAGACTTCAACCAGTGAAATGTACAGACACTGTGGATTTCTAGGCGGTAACCACACATGGGAATAAGCCAAGAATCTTCTTTAATCCAGATAGATTGGATGTGACCTTAGGAAGGCAGACTGAAAGAGTTTAACATGTGGAAATTTTTGCTAGTGTGTTGTACCCAGTCTGGAGAAAGACTACGTAAAGAGCAGAGGATGATCAGATCAAAATCTACCCTACAGGGGCAAGAAGTTGGGCCATCCAAGTGCCACCCAGTGGAAAAGCGGTTCTATGCCTGCCACTCAGACACCAGTAGCATCAGCTGGGAGCTGGTTAGAAATGTGGAATTTCAGGCCCCTCCTCCCGACCCACCAAATCAGAATCTACTTTTTCATAAGCTTTCTGGAAAATCTGTATGCATATTGCATTTTAAGAATCACGACTCTAGACTTTTTCCTATAAAGCGTCAGAGATGAATATCTTAGGCTTAGCAGGCCTTACGGTCTCTGTCCCAACTACTCAGTGCTGCTGTTGCAGCATGAAAACAGCCACAGGCAAGATGTAAATGAACGAGTCTATTCACTTGAATGGCTCTATTTTAACAAAACTTTATTTATGGACACTGAAATTTGAATTTCTTATGATTTTTACATATTATAAAACAGCATTCTTTACTTTTTTTTCAGCCACTGAAAATGTATAAACCATTCTTAGCTCAGAGGCCATACAGAAACAGGTAGTGGGCCATATTTGCCCCCCAGGTCAGTTTGCCAACTCCTGCTTAGACCACAAACTTGAGTATCTATGCCAACGCAGTGCCCTAGGTAATTTCTCCAGTTCCAAAACTCTTCTAGTTCTCTTTGTATAATACATCCCTTAAATATGATGCTGGTTTGTACATCAGTCTCCTATGCACAGTTAATGTGAGTCAGCCCTGAGAAGCCACTTCTGCTGTACTGATAAATCAGGTATCCGAAGGACAGATAGAAGAATGTGGTAAATACACAAAGATGAAGTCCTCCCTATGAGGCTTGTGGGTGGAAAATTAGCTGCCTTCCCTGTCAGGAGCCCTCCACTGCCAAACACCTTGTATTTAAACCAGCACAAGAATGCCTGGGCTGCCTTACAGATCAACTCCCACCAAAGCAGAATTAGGGATGTTCTTTCATATACAACTAAATTACACAAATTTAAGTAGCCTTCAAATCCAAAATGTATCCTTAAAACAGTAGTTTTATAACTGAGATCTTTGTATATATTGTAGTTCCTTATAAATTACTTGGGGAAAAAAGTGTTCAGCTATCAACATGAAAACACTTTAGAAACCTCTGTTCTAGAATAATCCATCTCATTTCATTTCAGATTATCTCTCTTAGCACTCTGATGATGCCAGCTCAGGTAGAACTGTATTATTATGTGATTGTGACACTTTGAGGTTCAAACAAGCTTGCCATGGGGCCCTTTTCTTCCCTTTTAACCAAGCATAGCACAGAAAGCCTTTCAGCCTTTCACGGTGAAAGGGGCACAATCGGACCTAGGATTTTACAAGCTAATAAATGAGACTGCCACTGCAGAAGACACAAGACCTTTGGGTCAAAGACAAAGGATGTTATTACTCACAGCACAGCAAGCAGCATGAGCAATAGCAAGTTCATATCAGTCTCCCTGGCCCCCAAGTCCCATAGTGACAACATGTTAAGGCCCAGATGGATGCTTCACATACATTGAGTCTGCATCAAAGCTGAGGAACTCTGAGCTTAGGGAATCCCCCCACTTACATAGCAAGCAGTAAGCCGGCCTGCTCTTTATCGCAGAGGGAGTTCATCTCTTAAGGGTGCTCAATGCAAACATCACTCTGAGATTTGGCCTAGTTAAAGAAAGGTCAGGGCCTTGCATTCTTGGCATACCCACATACCCAGCAGACATGGGGAGCTTAATGATTCCTAGATTTATGTAGCCCAAAGAAACAAACAGCATAGAGTTTAGAAAATGCATTAAAGGAAGCTCTTTACATTCAAAACGCAATTTTTCCTGGATTAATTTGGATCTGCCTCCTGATTTGATTTGGATCTGCCTTCCAGAAAATGCAACAATTTACCTCCTTCACAGATTTCAGCCACAGAACTACAGTAGTCAATCTAATTATCCCTTGATAGTGCCCTCTACCCACTACATAGTAGCTCTATGAATACAGGGGCTGTGTCTTAGAATCTACTGTGATTCAGAGCACCTAACACAGTACCTAGGCTATACCAGGTGTGTAGCAATTGTTGAATTACTGACTTAAAGTGTCTTATTTGAGCAGGGATTCCCAAACCTTGGCAAACCCTGCTCCCTCTGTTACAACAACATTTAGCAAACAACCATCCCTGGCATCCCTAAGCATCTCTATAAGGACACCAGAGCAAATTTTGGGGAAACCTGAAGGCTTTTTAACCTTCTCTCAAAAACCACCCTATTAAAACAAGAGCTCGCCAATAGCCAGAGCATTTGCTCCACCGATCTCTGCTGCTTGTGCCAGATTAAAAAGTGCCTGGGAACTGAAAGAGGCATCTTGGGCAGGAAGAAAAACCAGCTACTCTTTGTGGGGAAAAGCAAGAGAGATCAGATTGTTACTGTGTCTGTATAGAAAGAAGTAGACATAGGAGACTCCATTTTGTTCTGTACTAAGAAAAATTCTTCTGCCTTGAGATTCTGTTAATCTATGACCTTACCCCCAACCCCGTGCTCTCTGGAACATGTGCTGTGTCAAACTCAGGGTTAAATGGATTAAGGGCGGTGCAAGATGTGCTTTGTTAAACAAATGCTTGAAGGCAGCATGCTCCTTAAGAGTCATCACCACTCCCTAATCTCAAGTACCCAGGGACACAAAAACTGCGAAGGCCGCAGGGACCTCTGCCTAGGAAAGCCAGGTATTGTCCAAGGTTTCTCCCCATGTGATAGTCTGAAATATGGCCTCGTGGGAAGGGAAAGACCTGACCGTCCCCCAGCCCGGCACCCATAAAGGGTCTGTGCTGAGGAGGATTAGTATAAGAGGAAGGCATGCCTCTTGCAGTTGAGACAAGAGGAAGGCATCTGTCTCCTACCCGTCCCTGGGCAATGGAATGTCTTGGTATAAAACCCGATTGTACGTTCCATCTACTGAGACAGGGGAAAAACCGCCTTAGGGCTGGAGGTGGGACCTGCGGGCAGCAATACTGCTTTGTAAAGCATTGAGATGTTTATGTGTATGCATATCTAAAAGCACAGCACTTGATTCTTTACCTTGTCTATGATGCAAAGACCTTTGTTCACGTGTTTGTCTGCTGACCCTCTCCCCACTATTGTCTTGTGACCCTGACACATCCCCCTCTCGGAGAAACACCCACGAATGATCAATAAATACTAAGGGAACTCAGAGGCTGGCAGGATCCTCCATATGCTCAACGCTGGTTCCCTGGGTCCCCTTATTTCTTTCTCTATACTTTGTCTCTGTGTCTTTTTCTTTTCCAAGTCTCTCGTTCCACCTTACGAGAAACACCCACAGGTGTGGAGGGGCAACCCACCCCTTCACTCTTTATCTCCAACACTGGCTATTCCCAACTGACCTGGGAGTTTTAGGAAAGCCTACCTGGTGTATCTGTTTCTTTATGCCTACAGAGAAAGATCATCTGGTTATTTTTCTAGAAAAAAAAAAGGCATGGTGGGGGGACGGTGGGCTAGAGTAAAGGACCTTATTTCTAGCAGCATTCCCCTCCATATAACTACATAATTTCAGCCTTGAGATTCTATTTTATCAAATGTCCCCAAAGACATATTCCAGAGAAATAGGATTGTTTAAAGTGGGCCCTCCTGGCCTTCCACAATCGGCTATTCTCCCAGGACATTACCCATGGCCCTTTTTCCCTCCCAGCAATATCTGTTCTCCTAATCTCACTAAGAAATCCAGGCCAGCTGGTGATTTCAGGCTCCTTTATCTGCTGCAATAATGAGTATCCCAGAGTGCCCCGGACTCTGCCAGCTCCCAGGCCACAATGCCAAGTTGAATAATAAATAGTTGCCATGAGGGGCTGTCTCGACACCTACAAAAAGGAAGAGCAAACACAATGGCTTAGCAACAATACTTACGTGCTTCAACTTGAGAGTACTCATTCCCAGGCCAGGCTCCAACATACTCACAATTCCCACTGATTTCAACGGAGGTGACGTAGGTGAATGGTCTTTCAGGCCAGGCCCTTAATTGTTTCTTCAATATCACTATTTTATTTTTATAAATCTGATGAATCTAGTGTCAACTCACTGTGATAGAAGGGGGCCCACTGCCACTAACTACAGAATAAAAGCATAAATTTTGAATCACAAGGATATGGTGTTAAATCTCCTTTTTAAAGGAAAAATTAAAATGAAATAATGTCTTTTGCAGCAACTTGGATGAAACTGAAGGCCATTATCCTAAGCGAAATAATTCAGGAACGGAAAACCAAATACCGCATGTTTTCACTTATAAGTGAGAGCTAAGCTATGGGTACACAAAAGCACACAGAGTGGTATAATGGACATTAGAGACTCAGAAAGGGGAAGGGTGGGAGGATGTGAGAAATGAAAAATCACCTTTTGGGTACAATGTACACTATTTGGGTGATGGGTACAGCAAAAGCCTGGACTTTACCACTATACAATCCATCCGCATAACCAAAAACCACTTGTACTCCTAAAGCTATTCAAATAAAAATAATTTTAAGTCCATTAGCATCAAAGAGAAATAAATGATAAATCTCCTTTTCCATTCTTATGAGGCAAGGGACTTTGTCAAAGTGCCTTATTTCTGAGCTTTGGTTTTATCACTCTAAAATGGGATGATAATATATACCGTTGGCCAGTTGTGGGGATTTAAATGGATAACTCATGAAAGGTATTCAATAAAAATTTGTTTCTTTTTCTAATGTTCTATGATTTGATAAGGGTCAGAAGCACCAGTAGACAGTGTTCCAAAACCTGGAAAAGTCACTAGCAGGGCTGAATTAAGAAAATGAAAAGACAACCCACAGAATTGGAGAAAATATTTGCAAATCATGATAAGGAACTTGTATCCAGAGTCTTTAAAGCACTCTTAGAACTCAGCAATAAAAAGACAATCTAATTTAAAAATGGGCAAAGGATATAAAATGACATTTCTCCAAAGAAGATATACAAATGGTCGATAAGAACGTGAAAAGATGTTCAACATCATTACTCATCAGGGAAATGCAAATCAAAACCACCAACCACCACTTTACAGCCACTAAGATAGATAGAATCAGAAAGGCAGATGATAGCAAGTGTTGGTAAGAATATGGAGAAATTGAAACTCTCATATGTGGCTGCTGGCAGTGTATGATAAAAATGGCACAGCTGCTGTGAAAAATAGTTTGGCAGTTCCTCAAAATGACCTAGCAATTTCATTCCTAGGTATACAACCAAGAAAAATGAAACCATAGGTTCATGCAAAAACTTGTTCACAAATGATCAGAGCAGCATTTTTCATAACAGTCAAAAGTAAAAATAACCCAAATGTCCTGTAATTGATAAACGGGTAAATAAAATATAGAATATCTACACAATGGAATAGTATTCAGCCATAAAAAGAAAAGAAGTACTGATACATGGTAAGACATGAATAGATCTTGAAAGCATTATGCTACATGAAAGAAGAGAGTCACCAAAGACCACACACATTGTATGATTCTATTTTTGTGAAATATCCAAAATAGACAAAGTTATAAAAACAAAAGATAGATTGCCTGTGGCTGCAGGGGAAGAGAAGAGAAATGGAGAGTGATTGCCAGTGAGTACAGGATTTCTTTTGGGGGTGATAAAAATGTTCTAAAATTCGGTGATGATGAGGGATGCACAACACTATGAACATACTAAAAATCACGGATACGTTCATTTTAGACAGATGAATTTCATGGTATGTAAATTATATCTCAATAAAGTTGTTTTTAAAAAATAGAACTCACCCAGTGGGACCAAACCTGCTTCTCCAGGGAAACCAGAACCACTGTCCAGAAAAAGATTTGCCATTCCTGAAACCTGGGAAAGTGGGGCGGGCACGGTAGCTCACGCCTGTAATCCCAGCACTGGGAGGCTGAGGCGGGCGGATCACGAGGCCAGGAAATCGAGACCATCTGGCTAACACGGTGAAACCCTGTCTCTACTAAAAAGACAAAAAATTAGCTGGGCGTGGTGGTGGGCGCCTGTAGTCCCAGCTACTCGGGAGGCTGAGGCAGGACAATCACTTGACCCTGGGAGGCGGAGGTTGCAGTGAGCCGAAATCGCGCCACTGCACTCCAGCCTGGGTGACAGAGCGAGACTCCATCTCAAAAGAAAAAAAAAGATACCTAGGAAAGTAACCTTAGTTCCTTTTGATTTGAACTCAAGGAGACAACCAGGTCCTGGACCCAAACTAACTACTGAGAAACAGAGAGGAGGGTTGTCTACAAAGCCGAGATGGTTTGTATGGAGAATGTACTTTGCAGTGTGAGCTCACGTGGGTCCAGCACACCTCCTCATGAGCAGCTCACAGCCAAGGGGAAGGCAGAGACCCCTTATGGGGATTTTCAGTCCCTTCATGGTTACAGGGAAGCACAGTGATACCCTAATAATCATTTTTTATTTTGTCATTATGAAGGTATATTTCTCAAGGCAGAAAGAATGAAGTTATTTTATTCAAAATTTTGTTAGCATAATTAAAATCTTTTTTTTAAGGCAGGCTGGAGTGCAGTGCCACGATCGTAGCTCAGTGCCACCTCAAATCCCTGAGTTCATGCAATTCTCCTGCCTCAACCTCCCAAGTAGCTGGAACTATAGGCACACACCAACGTGACCAGCTTTTTTGCTTTTTTTTTTTTTTTTTTTTTTTGGAAAGATGGGGCCTTGCTACGTTGCTCAGGCTGGTCTCCAAGTCCTTGCCTCAAGTTATCCTCCCACCCTGGCCTCCCAAAGTGCTGGGGATAACAGGTGTGAGTCACCATGCCCAGCCTAAAATCTCTTAAATATTTGGGGACTTCCATGTGCACCCTTGCCTATATGAGGGCAGGCCTATCTACTATGCAAATTGGTGGCTGAGCTGAATCAATAACTCAGAGGATGTGAAGGCCAGGCGAGATCATCTTCCACCCTAATTGCAAGCTTCCACCCTAGATCAAGTTCCCATGATCTGGCACCTAGATAATGACAACATCTTCCAAACTGGTCTTTCTACTTCCTCCTTTTCTGCCCTCGGTCTGTTCTCCACCAGCACCAACAGTGGTCCTTTTAAAACATTAGTCATGTATGACTCCTCTGCCCAAAACCCTGCGATGGCTAAAAGCCAGTGTCCTCATGGTGGTGTCAGAGGCCCTGGAGGCCTGGCTTTCCACAAGCCCTACCTGCTCACCACTCACTCCACACTAGCCTCCCTGACAGTCCTCGAACACCTTGGGCAGGTCCCTTTTTAAAGCCTCCACCCCAACTGTTCCCTTGGCTTTTAATGCACTTCCCCCAGATACCTGCATGGCATGCTTCCTCACTGCTTCCAAGTCTTTGCACAAATATCCCCTCAGGGAGAACTTCCCTAACCATCCTCCTTAGAATCAAAATCACTCCCTACTCTGGGCCCCCCTTCTCCTTGCCCACTTTTCTTTTCATACCACTGATTGCCACCTGTCACACCATATCACCCCCATTTGAATGGAAGTTCCATGAGATCAGGCATCTTGGTCTGGTCTGTTCACTGCTATATCCCCAGCACCTAGATCAGTGCCTGGCACATTGTAGGTGCTCAGTAAGCTTTGTTGAATGAATGAACAAATGAATTCATGATGCTTTGCCTCAGAGGTAGCAACCGCAACATTTGAAGGCTGGGCAGAGATTAAGGAACCAGCCAAACTGAGAAGAAGAGTTTCAGAGGCAAGTGAATGAAGAGATGATATACCAGAAGCCAAGGGGGCAGGAGGAGTGCCCAGCAGCTTCAAATGCCACAGAGAAGGGAAGCTGGATAAGGACGGAAAAGTGCAGGCTGAAAAGATAAAAAGATGAAGACAAGGAGCTTGCTGGAAGTTTTTTTTTTAAACATGCTACAAAAATATCAAATGATGTTTCGATTAATCATACTATTATTAATTTTCTCATAAGATCTGAGCAATCTTACACTATGAATAGCAATGAATAGTGTTATCCTGACATAGCTTTCATCTTTCTATGAACAGTTGCAGAATGCCCACGTTTATGGAGATGTCAGGAAGCAAACTCAATTTATAGGATGCATAGATGATCTTATTGTGGCTCTGTATAAATATTCGTCTATTATAGTCACTGCTAAGTGTGACAGGGAACATTAGAAAACACTGTTAGATATTTTGTTTCTACTGTCTCTGTAGTAGTGTAATGTCATGATTTAGGAAAGGGTTAACCTAGAGTCATACAGCACCTTGATTAAAAAATTATCAAACCATGATCAGAAAGCTTCTGTGTATCAGGCAATAATCTAGCTGCTTTCTGCTTTCACACAACAGATAATGTCGTCTGCAGAACAAGCTAGTGAGAAAATATTATGATTCCAATGCCCTGGTAAGAGCTCAGACCTTGAAGTCATATTGCCTGCGTTTTAATTCCTGCTATTTACCAGCATGTGGCCTTGAACATGCTTTTTAACCTTCTCTGGGTCCTATAATAATGGCATCTACCTCATAAGACTAGAGTGAGGATTTATGCAAAATAACATATATGTATGAAGTTCCCAACATAACAAGGAGTCCACGTTAAGCTCTTAGAAAATATTTTGTTACTACACGTAGTGAAAATTGAGCCTGAATGAATCTGGGTAAGTCATTTACCCCTTGTACTCTATCTAGTAAGTGAGAGTCAAGATTTGAATCCAGCTCTTCCATCTCCTTCTATGATTCTTTCCCCATCTCATCATAGATGTCTCACCACATTTTCTAGTAACAAGGATGCATAATGGAACATAAAAGTTACACAAATTGGGTGGCTCTTCTGCTTATCATGATGTCAGATGGGGCTGCAGTTGTCTGGGGGCTCTGTTGGACCTGTGCATCAAAAAAGGTTCACTCACAGATCTGGTACCTCAGCAGGGATAGTGGAATGCTAGACATAGCTGGGATACAGGGACAGATGGGTGACCAACACATGAAACTGGCAAGAAATTGGTTTCCAGAATATATTTTAAAATTATAAATCAATAAAAATGAGGCAAACAACTCAACAGACAAATTGGCAAAGTACGTAGTACATAATCATTACACAGAGAAAGAACGTGAAAGGCCAATAAACATTGGAAACATAAGAAAAATATTCAACCATAACAGTAATCAAGGAAATGCAAGTAACATTATATACTACTAGACTGGCAAAAATTAATAAGCTAACAATACCAAGTTTTGGAAAAGATACAGAACAAAGAAAACTCCATCTATTATAAATTGATGTAATCATTTTGGAAAACAAATTTTTTTATTTTGACTTTTTTCATTCAGTGTAGTTACTTTGAGATTTATCAATGTTAATTATGTGTATTAATAGTTCATTCCTTTTTATTGCTGAGTAGTATTCCCTTGTATGAATATAACACAATTTGTATATACATTCACTTACTAATGAACTTGTGTGTTGTTTTCCACTTTGGAACTATTACAAATAAAGCTGCTATGAATATTCGTGTGCAAGTCTTTACGTGGATCTATGCTTCTATTTCTCTTGGATAAATATATAGGAATAGAATAACTTGATTATAGGATAGGTGCCTGTTAAAGTTGAGGTTTATATATTCCAGTGGCCAGCAGTTTGATTTCTACAGACTAGGTGGTATGTATAAAAATGTTCTTAGCAGCAATATTCATTTAAAAAAAAACTAGAAACACCAGGCACGGTGGCTCACACCTGTAATCCCAGCACTTTGGGAGGTCGAGGCAGGCGGATCACGAGGTCAAGTGATCGAGACCATCCTGGTCAACACGGTGAAACCCCGTCTCTACTAAAAATACAAAAATTAGCCAGGCGTGGTGGCGCACACCTGTAGTCCCAGCTACTCGGGAGCCTGAGGCAGGAGAATTGCTTGAATCCAGGAGGTGGAGGTTGCAGTGAGCCGAGATCGTGCCACTGCACTCCAGCCTGCCAATAGAGTGAGACTCCGTCTCAAAAAAAAAAAAAAAAAAACTAGAAACAATCTAAATGTTCATTAGCTATAGAATGTATTAATACAGTGTGGCATTTTCACTCAAAGGACTATTATACGGCAATAAAAATTAACATGCTAAATCTGTAAGTACCAAAATGTCTGAATCTTGGGAACAATACCGAGTAAAAAAAGAAAAAAAGGCAAGTCACTAAATAGAACATCTGTATACAACATTTGCATGAAGTCAAAGTTTAAAATCAGGTATGACTAAACTACATATTACCTAGGGAACATTATACACAAAATTCAAGATGGTGGCCAACTCAGGACGGGCTTCAAAGGCAAATGCAATATTTCATTTCTTAAGCTGGGTAGCAGGTACATTGCTGTTTAGTTTATTTTTACCCTTTATACCTTACCCATATATTATTAAAACTCATCTATCTATTCAATAGTTAATAATGTAGCACATGTGAACTCTGAGTCATTATTAGTCCATTATGATCGACAGCACACAACATCTTAATGCAAATGCATTATCTTAAAATATTGGAGCCATGTTTTACCATAAAATGTAGTGCTAAGACACCAACTACTGACTCTTCAGGAAAAGTCCCATCTACAGAAGACATGCACATTTCCACCAGTACTCATGTTTGTTATATGGTAAGCACCTAAGATGTCAACTCCTTGAAATCAAGAACTAATCTGCCTTGTTCCCCGCTTGGCCCCAGAACTGTGCCTGGGACATGGCATGAGCTAAATAAATATCTGTGGATAAAGGTAAAAGAGGAAGGGAGGAAAGGAGAGAGGGAAGAATGAAATGAGAGAAGGAAGGAGGGATTGAGCAAGGTCTTCTCAGAAGTGTATGTTGGTATTAAAGAAGTAGAAGGTATTTCTTTGGACTGTGAAACTGTGCCTCCTGTGGGACCATTTTTCATGCAAACACAACCCAGAGACCACCTTCCTCCCCTGTTACCCCCAGAGACAGTAAAGGATGGTATTATATCTCCCATGTGACTAACAGGAACTGCCCTCTACCATACAACATCTGCCATTTTTCCAACTCTTCAATTAAAGCAGACAAGCACCAGAGCCCAGCCACTCACCACAGCCTGACCTTATCTGTCCCTATGGAATTCCCTCCCTATACTCGGACTCAATCACATCAGAAGCTCTGGAGGTAGCAGCTGGCATCAGTATTTCTTAAAGCTCATTAACTAATTCCAAGATACAGCCAAGAAGCCAAGATTGAGAATGAGAGCCACTGACCTAGAGGACAAAGAGCTCTTCATCAATACACACACAGTCACACACAGAAAGACATATACACGCATATACACACATACAGAGACATACACATATACAAACACACACAGAGACATATACCTGCACACAGACACATACACAGACACACACAGAGACATATATACACAGAGACACACGCAGAGACATATACATACACACAAACACACACAGAGAGACATCCATATACACACAGACACACACACACACACACACGCAGAGACATATACATACACACAGACACACAAAGAGACATCCACATACACACAGACACACACAGAAATATAAACACATACACATAGACACACAAAGAGACATATACACACACAGACATACACAGGCATACACACAGATACACAAAAACACATACATACACGGAGACATACACACACACACAGAGACATACACACAGACACAAACATACAGAGAGACATGCACATGTACACACAGAGGCATAACACATACACACACACATACACACATATACAAACTGCTCAAAACCTAGTTCTAAGAGCCACTGCATCAGAACTCCTCTTAGCATGTTGTAGCTGTGCACTTTCTTGCCCACTTTTTAATTTTAGTTAGATTTGTACTTATCTCTTCTGCCCGATTGTAAGTTTCTGGGATCTAGGATTTGGTCTTCTTCCCCCACCTCTCAGCGCCTGGTAGCCCCTGGTGAGCATCGGTGCCCCATCGTGGCTGACTGTGTGGGCAGCCTTGGAGGCAGCAGACATTAAGGAAGGCACTCCCAGCGGAGTAGCTAGGCTTGCAGTAAATCCTTCAAGGATGTGGCCTGTACAGGCTCTGCTTTTCTTTTCTGACTCACTTCTTCTTTTCCTCTGCTCTGGTCCAGACATTCCTACCCATTTCCTGGCTCTCTAGCAAAAGTGGGGAGACCCTGGCCAAAAACCCAACTTTTCAGCATTGGGCTGTGTCAACCCTGCTAAGAGGCTGCTGCTTTAAATAAATGCATCTAGGCATTTCAGATTCACAGCACAGACCCACTTCCATCCTTCCTAGAGCTTCAGATCACTTGAACTGGCTGAAGAGGGAACATGAAGGCCCAGACTCCCACCGAGAAGCAGCTAATAAGCTAAAGAAGGGAGAGGAGAATGTCTAACTGAATTGGGGGACCGTGGGGATCCTGGCCAAAATTCCCCATCAAAGACACAAAAATCAATTTTGAATGGATTTGGACAGATAGTCCTGCCAGGACATTCCAGCAGCGTCTAAATACCAGCAGCAGACAAGCAGAATATTTGCTGTTCTGCAGGATCACCCTGTGCACCCAGACTGCCAGGGAACTGGATAACTCCAGCTCAGCCACCTGTCCCCAGCCCCTGGCACTCGTCCTCCTCCATGAGACCCTCTAGCCTCCTGAGTCACCATCATGCATTGCTTAGTCCTCCCCGGGGAGCATGTCTATTGGTACCTTAAGGGTAGTGTGTTCCTTGCACTTTTTATTTCCTATTAAGCAGAGCAACTGAATGGAGATGCCACATTCATGCCCAGAGCAGGTGAAGCAGGTGAAGCTTTTGGCCTTAAAGTTAATCTACATGAAAGCTAAGAAAACAACTTTTTCTGCACTCTCCAGCTTCCATGTCTTCTTAGCTGCAGGTTGCTGAAGAAATGTCCCTACCCCCAGCCTCCTGCATGGATGACAGAAGCATCACTGAGGAAGGGATGGCAGATGTTTTTTCTCTCCATTGCAGGCTCCAATAGATTGATCATGCCTGCTGGGGTGCAGACCTGCCCCAAGATTCAGCAAAAAATCACCATTGATGAGTGATGTCTGCCACAGGCCTAGGAATGAAGCTTAGATGCTTGCCTTGTTTCTGTCAGCCTGTAGGGGAAGATCAAGGTTCCCTATTGAGCCAGAAAAGGGATTTTCATACAGATCAAGTACACAATGGTCAACACTGGGGCTGCTGGAGGAGGAGTGCAACTTTTGGTGGGCAGAGATAGTTTTCTTCCACGGGAGGGCTCTTCCTCTCTTTGCTTCCTAGTAACTGAGGAAACAAGATAATCTTCTTAGTCAGGAACATCTTGTATCTTAGAAGACAAAGACAGGAAGGAGGAAGAGGACAGGGCATGAGTGGCTCTTGGAAAATGAGCAAAAGGAACCTTCCAGACTCACATCCCAGCTGTCAAGTCAAAAGGAAGGTAAAGAACAAGGGCTGAAGCTCTGATTGCCCACAGTTTGCACTGCCACTCTTACCCCTCGCGCAGACCAACCTAGAATCCTACACAGGATACGGGTGGGGGCGCTGGGGCAAAGATTCAGGGGATATGGTCCTTGTTATGTCTCCTTCGTCACAATGCTGTCAGTGAGGAAGGGTCTTATTGCAAAGAAGGAGATGGAAAGAAATGGGCATCTTATCTGTGCTGTTGGAGGTGGGGAATGGGACAGGATTTTCTTGTTTATGCAGATCATTGATAAAAATGATGTACAACATACCAGCTGGAGGAAGCCTGGTTGTGTAGGAGTTCAACCAGAAAGGAAAAAAAAGAAAACTTCAGAGCCACAGTGAACCATAAGCTGGACCTGAATTTGCAAAACAGCTTCTGTTTTGTTTGTTGGTTGGCTTGTTCTTTGCTTTTTGTAAAACAAAAACAATAACAAAAAGACTGAACGACAGTAACTTTGATGCTATCTAATAGCTTTGGCCCTGCTCCTACCACCTCCCTGCTCCTCTGTGTCTGAGTGAAAATAAAATACAAATATGTTATCTGGGGTAGGGAGAAACACACACATTCCCATTATCACATTAGCAGATTAGCTGGGTTCCAAGAGCAGGGCCGGAGGAAGCCAAGACAGGATGTCCACATTTCAGCAGGGAAAGAAGAGGGTCAGAAAGGTCCTGAGTGGGAGGAAAGAGAGTCAGGTACCTTGGTGTGGGGTCTTCTGAAAACAGGGGCAAGCAAAGGGACAATGGATCGTAGGCTAGGTGAGGAAAGGCAAAACCGCCAAGAGCCCTGAAAGAAGGGCAGACTTGCCGTGAAGTGGCACCTATGTCTCCATCTCATTGAGAATCAGTGCCAGCAACCCCGTTCCCAGTTTGCCTCTGCCCCATCCCCATGGAATCCACTGCTATTGAAATTAGCCACTCTTGAGGGTGCCTGTTAAGATTTTCATTTACTGTTTCTTCATCAGAGATAAAAGAGTTTTCCTTATTTAAAAACACACACACACACACACACACACACCGAATTTGGCTCAGTGAGATCCCACAGAAAGACATCTTTGGGTAGCTAGAGTTTCAACCTGGGGCATTTGGGTTTAGACAGACTCCTGGGAGTTCTGATGGGACCTTTTCTGAGAATTTCCTTAGGGTTTTGGCAGGATTTTGTTTTCCTTCCATGAGGCGTTTCCTACCTTATGAAAGGAAAAATTCTTAGCTTCTGTATTCAGAAACTTAACACCCCAAAAAAACAAGGCCTTTTAAAACTCAGAAAACTGTCCTCAGGAGGCATCTCAGCTCTCAGTTCGGCCGGTCGGCAGGGTTTGTTGACCACGACTTTCTCTCTATACCATACTGAGCAAGACACATACAGAGAAGTTGAAGGCTTGCCCCCAAGGGAGACAAGCAAATTCCCTTCATTCAACAAAAATGCATTGAGTTCTTTTTACATTCAAGGCATTGTGCTTTTCTAAGAGGAGAAAGAAGTCTATTAGACAAAGCTCTATTTTGAGAAATATACGCAAATAACTACAGGAAATAAAAGAATGTGGCAGGAGTTATAAGAGAGGCTCAGATAAAGTCCTCAGGACTATGAGGAAAGAGAGGAATAAACTTCTAGCTGAGAGAGCCAAAAAAAAAGAAAAGAGAGAGAGAGAGACGCCATGGAAGACAAAGCAGTTGAGTTAGGCAGGGCAGAAGCGGCTCCTAGGAATAGGCTGCTCTCAGAAATGAGGCAAGTGGGTAACAGGGTGACAACATGAGCTCCAGAGCCAGGATGCCTGGCTTCCGGTACAGGCTCTACCACTGGTCAAGTGTGTGAAACTCTTTCCAAGTTGACTCATGTTTCTGAGCCTCAGTTTTTCTCATCTGTGAATGGGGCCAATAATATCTACCTCTTAGGGACCGTGGAAAGGATCACATTAGGTAATTAATGTTAGGCTCTTGGCATAATGCCTTGGCACATAGAAAGTACTCAAAAAATGTCACTTCTTAATTAGCTTTGAAAAAGATGGGAATCTGTGGGGACTGTGGAGGGTGGCTGAACAGGAAGTCTTGATTGGCCAGTTGGGAAATTCCAGGGCAGAGGTACGGGATGAGAAGGTTTGATCTGCTGCCAAAAGAACCATGCTGAATGAGATAATTCAGAAAGACCAATTCACAGAATCCAAGTAAAAGGGAAGAAAGACAGGACCAACAAGAGGGTCCTTTGGCCCAAACCTCACTATCACAAAATGCCCCAAGTTTAGATTTTTGCCATTACCTCCATCTGTGTTTATACATAAAATATACGGAGCCACTGCCAACCAATGTGAATTTATATAAACATTTAATTCCACCAATATTTGGGCATTTCTTCCTTTTCAATAAACTAGAGGCTTCAAAACATGGAAATGGCTCAGGCTCTGCTTGACCTCTGAGAGATCCTCTTAGCAGGGTTTAGGTAGACCCAGGTCTGAAATCGAGCCCAGCCTAACAGGGGGGCCTTTCTACTTGGAAACAGCAGCCATGCGCTATCTGACCTAAAGCAGCCATGCTCATAAACTGCATTATGGGATCTGGGCTTATGGTAATGGGACCAATCAGTTTACCTGGTAGAGGAAACAGCATGAGGAAAAGCTCAGAAGGAAGAAAGCAAAGTGTGGGCACAGGGACAGCACATCCTGAAGACTGGTCGAGTGTGGAGTCCAGGAGAGGAGGGGTGGGACCAGGGGCTGGAAACCCACATGGGAACCAGATTGTGGGGAATATGTAAGCCAAAGAGTCATGAAACCTTTGTATAATGCTGGCAATTTACACAACTAACAGCAGAGTGCAAGGCATTTCTCAGCATCACAGCATTTATCCCTTGTTCTGGGACAGCATTCTTTGCTTCCACCACCTCACAAAGCTCTGTCGTTCCTCAAAGTGGTCCTTCCTCTTCCCAGAAACTTCCCAGGAAGAGCATCAGTTGTTTCTTCCCATGCTCCAGGTGTGTTATTGACTCAGCTGTAAAAGAATAATATGCCCAAGGAGCAAAATTTGTCCGTGGCCACCAAGCCATTCATTGCAAAGGTGGTGTCTAGTTTAACTCCTTGGTCCTTCTTAAATGCATCAAACACCTTCTTGTCTATGTCGTCTGTTTGATGAAGGTCAAGTATTAGAGGCTGTTCTGTGATGAAAACCAAAATATAGAGACATGCATAGGAAAAGGAATTTTATCAGGAGAGGCAGTCTAAGAGATATTACTTGGAAGTAGAGAACCTTCTGGGATATTTAGATGGCTTGTGAAGATTATGAGCCAGAATGTTGAAATGGGATTCTCCTAGAAAACCTGGGATGAAAGGAATGGAAGAGACTGCCAGTTGCCTTCCAAATGTCCATTCTCCCTTCGGAGGGAGGAAGCAAGAGATTCCCAATTGTTAGTTTACCCATCCTCCTATCAGACTAAGTACTGGCCAATGTTAGCCAATGTGTTGGATTTCCAGAAAGAATCCATTAAAGAAGCTGATTCACATAGAGCATAAATCCGACTGCTCTTCGGTTTTTCATGCTTCTTCCAAGTAGGAATGCACATGTGACCATCAGAGTCCCAGTAGCCATCCTAGCCCATGAAGTGACCTTGAGCATGAAAGTTATACAATATGGATGATGGTGTAGAAAGAAAGTTGTTGGATCTTTGATGACCATGAAACCACCATGCTGGTCCTGGGCTACGTACCTCTGCATTTCTTTTACAAGAAAAATTTAAATTTTTTGAAAAATCCTTGTGTTTTAACCACTGTCTTTTCTTCCACATGCAGCTGTCTCTAATCCTAACTAATACAGAAAGCTGTTTAGGCCCAACCACAGGAGAACAGACACATCCAAAGCCCATCTCTCCATCTGTCAAATATCTTTGCCAATCTATCTCTGTAATAAATACCTAGCGCCAGCCAGACTCTGAAAGGAGGGATAAAAAAAACATGCAGACTGATCCAGATGGTGCCTGTCTTCTTGGCAAAGTTCATCTTTTAAACGCTACTCCTTCAGAAAAACTTTTGTTAACCCCTAATCCAAATAAAGTCTCTATGTGATTCTCTCCTTAAGCACCTACTATGTTACAATCACTTGTCTCAGGGCCAAAGTACAGTCAGAAAAAAAGAGGATCTTGAAGCCTCTCACAATCTGGTGGCGGGAAAAAGGCATATTAACAAACTATTTCAATATGACATGTGGGCGACAAGCTAGAGGGTCTGTTTGAGAGGATGTGAGAACTCAGAGAAGGGTACTTAGTACCACCCTGGCTGGGCTGTCTTGGGGAGATACCACCAGAGCTGAACCTTGAAGAAATGTAGTCTTAAGGGGCAGATTTCCTAAAAGGAAAGCCTGAGATGGAGATTCTTGTACGATTTATCAATGGAGTGATCATAGAAGAGTCCTGTAGGTGACTGAAGAAAAGTTGAAAGGACAAATGAAAAACAAAGATGAGGAAGTGGCCAGTCG
Organism: Homo sapiens; assembly: GCF_000001405.40. Lineage (NCBI taxonomy): Eukaryota > Metazoa > Chordata > Mammalia > Primates > Hominidae > Homo > Homo sapiens. The sequence continues at coordinate 105,464,026 of NC_000012.12, read as the reverse complement.
CAGTAGCTCATGCCTATAATCCCAGAACTTTGAGAGGCCACGGCAGGCTGATCGAGCTTGAGTACATGAGTTCAAGACCAGTCTGGGCAACATGGTGAAACTCCCCCTCTACAAAAAATTTAAACAATTAGCCAGGCCTGGTGGCGCATGCATGTATGCATGTAGCCCCAGCTACTCTGGATGTTAAGGTGGGAGGATTACTTAAGCTCAGGTGGTCAAGGCTGCAGTGAGCTGAGATTGTACCACTGCACTCCAGGCTGGGTGACAGAGTAAGACCCTGTCTCAAAACAAACAAAAAAACAAAATGTGGAACCACTGTATTCTAGTGTCAGCCTGATCTTACATGGAGCTCTGAGTGTGAGTAGTCCCACAGTTAAATGTCTCTCCTTGAAGAAGGCTAGGCCCTGGTAATTCCATTGCATTCAGTCAAGGGCTGCTGCCCGCCCCTGCAAAGATGCCTGGAGGGCATAACTTTCCAGGCATTTCCCCTCTGGGACCCTCCATAACTAAGGCTGATTCTCTGGAAAATAGTACAGCAATGAGCTATTAGCAACCAATATTCAAAGCAGCTGGCAGATGGGTGCACCAGGCCAGTCAAGAAGCCCAGTTGCATCTACTCAGGTGAGAAAGGTCATGTAAGCAGAAGGAACAGCCTGAGCAAAGGCTACCCAATTTCTGCTGGCTGTGTGTGGGTTGGGAGGTGGTAGAGGCATTCCTCTCTAGCTCATGTCGTATTGGGCCCTGAGAAGGGAGAGATGAGACAGAGCAATGGGCAGAAGCCAGAGAGATTCCTCTGCCATGCTATGAAGTCCAGATTCCATCCCATATTCATAATAATACCAACATGAATAATAATAGTGCAATATTTATTTCATGGTTAGTATGTGCTAATGTCTGAGGGCTTTCATTTGTTTTCTTTTTCACCCATGCAATATCACTGAGGCAAGTGGTATGATTCATTGCACTTTATAGATGAGGAAACTGAGGGTGAAAAAATAATGTAATTTGTCCAAGAGCATATGACTAACAGCTGGGACGAGAAGCCATTGTCTGTCTGAACGTATGCTCATCCCACAGTAATGCAAGTGGTTTTAAGCAAAGGAGTGATGCTGCTAGATTGATTTGCATTTTGAATATTGCATTGGGGCTGCCCATCCTCACCTTGCTAACTTCTCACTGACATACATTTCTGGGGGCTTCTTCCCTTGCATTTTTCAGCTGAAAACAAACAAACACAAAAAACTTGAATGCCCCTGACTCTGGCCATCTAAATCCCATTTCCGGCTGCTGAAGCCCCTCCAGCTGAGACCCCAACAACCATCCCTTTTGGTTCCCCCTCACCCCAACCAGGTTTCGTAAGCAAGTGCTCCTCCACGTCCCAGAAGAGCCTAGCTAGAGTCCCCACCCTTCCACTAACCAGCTGTCAGCCCCAACCCAGACAGATCTGACCCCTGGAATTTTTTTTTTTTTAGCACTGCCTGTCATGCGGCTTGTTCCTTGGCCTCTCCTACCCAAGGGCAAAGCAAAGGGGTTCCAGGGACCCCAAGTGAAGAAGACAGAACTCTGAAGGGATGGTCAGACAATACATCATGGACAGGGCTCTGATTGTCTGATGTCAGAAATTCTGCAGATGGAACTGCCTATGAGTACACTCTCAGGCTACAGTCAAAGCAGTTACTCCCAGGGCGGGCAGGCATAGGGAAGGAATGTGAGAGCTCTACAGAGGTAGATGGAAGCTGCTGTCCGTGTTCTATTTTTCATGCTGTGGTCTTATTTAAAATAAGTAAATTAGTACCTTAATAAAAAAAAATTAAAAGAGGCCTTGCCCATGGGCCAATAATGAAAGCATTTCATGGACCAAGTATTTGTATGAATCTAGTTTGCACTCCTAGGTCAGATATGCACATATCTCTACAAGGCAAAAATTACTACTTGATGAATGAGTCCCCACACGGAAAATGGCTCTTAAGTTATGACTGGAAGGGGACACAAGCAGGGGGGGATGGTTCCCTGCAGTGCTGATAGCATTCTTTTTCTACATCTGGGTGCTAGTTACTTGGATGTGCTCATTTTGTGAAAATTCAGGGAGGTATGATATGCTCTTTTTTCTTTATGCTTCAAAAAAGTAGCAAAGAACATTAAACATTTTTTAATTGCTCTACTTGATCTGGATCTGTATCTAAGAGCAGCAACCACTCCAGGACACAACTGGGAGGACCCCACAATACTGTCTTCCGGTGAATTCCTTCAAGGAATGGCTTATTAGCTTGTGCCATGCTGAGTCACACTGGAGCTAAAGAAAAAAAAAAAACAACAGTAAAACTGATCCTGGCTTTGGTTTAATGTGTGATATTTTGTTCATCATTGATCATTGATTGTCTACATTGACTGTGACTATTTTTTAAGGACGTTGTATTAAAATGTTATCTATCTTGATTACTAAGCTTTTTGGTACTCCCTTAAATTTTGCATCACTATTCCTGACCCTGCTTGTACCCCCCAACAGCTCATCGTTGAGCTTGACCATGAAAACCTCAAATTCCCTCTTCCCCACAGAAATGTCTGTACTACCACGAGCCCAAAAGATGACACTCCCAATGAGGCTCTTGAGCTCCTTAATGACAACAGTGGCCTTCCCAGTGACTTCAAGTTAATAAAGAGCATCCACATAATCTCATTTATCCTCAGTCAGCTTGTGGGAAGGCATGAGTAGTATCCCAATTTTCAGGTTAAAATATGAGGTTTTGTTTTGATAGTAAAGCGAGATTTCCAAGATGACTTTGAGCAGGGACAGTGTTTAATTAATCTCTCTATGACATACAGTGTTTAGCACAACTTCTTGCAGCTCAAGGATCAGCCTGTATATCTTCAAATCCTGGATCCACCATTTCCTGGCTTGCTGTGTGACCCTCAGCAAATTACTGAATTTCTTTCAGCCTCTGTTTTCTCTTCAGCAAAATGGAGATCAGAATAATTGATTTTTATTGAGGATTAAACAAGGTTATCCATGAAAAGCACTTAGCAGTGTGTTTGACACAGACCAGGTATTTAATAATATGAACTATGATTATTGCCCACAGGACAGGCTTGAAAATATTCATGGAAAGGAATCTGATGCCAGTTCAGGCTGTCAGGATCAACTTTTGCTATGAGGCACCTTTTAGCTGTCATCAAATCACCTGGGAAGAGAGCTTTCAAAGCAATCTATTAGCAGAAAAATTATCTGAACTCTAGAAATAGGTGAAGAAGATTACCGAGCATTCCTTCACTGTAGTGCTGAATTTGACTTTCTATTTCCTGGGCTATTTTACAACTCTGTAGAGGCAGAGGCTGGCTCATGGAATTTTGTCTAGTCCAGATGCAAATAATTTCAGTCTAGGGGAGAAGATATCCCATAGATTGCAATACATATTAAATTGCATATATATATACACACACATATATATACACACACACACGCCTGTGTGTGTGCGTGTGTGTGTGTGTGTGTGTGTATCTCAAGCATCTTACATGCTTTTTGGACAGGTTTTAACATATTACTCCTTCTCTAATAAATGAGTTGAATAAAAAATCTTTGACATGCATCCCTTTTGTTATTGCATGTCTTTTTTGGTTTTGTTTTTAGAGTCACATTTTTTTAACCTTTGGAAAATCATACTTTAACACCATGCACAGAGATAAGGCTTTCTCTGGGGGCCCAGAGGAGGCTTTTAGGGAAGCCACATGATTCCTTGCTGAACAAAAACATCCCAGCAATACCTTTCAGGTTGGATTGGCCACTGAGCAGCCCTGAACCTGGCCCCCACCCCCGCCGCAGACACAGAAGGGATTCCAGCTGTAGGACTTCACTCCCAAGTGAGGCCGGGGAGCACTGACAGCTTTCCTTCCCTGCCTCCAAATAAGGATCCAGGTCAGTGCAGAGGCTGGGCCGGCTCCCTGGGGTTTACCAATTATTTGGCAAAGTGCAGAGATAACATTCTGTGCAAATTTCCTCACATTGTTCTGCCTGGCTCTAGGTATTCCCAGATAGAATAATCTAGAGATAAGTGATGGGAAAAGAAGCTAGTACCTGGGCCTCTCCACAAACACGCCCAGTCATTCCCACCACTACGTCCTCCACTCAAGATGTCTGTGACCTCATCTCACCTTCTCATTCTGCTACTTTCTGGCAAAACCTTCAGAATCCCAGTGGAAATCCCCTCCTCCTGGAGTCAGAATAAAATTTTGGTGTGGCCCAGTGGAGCTTATGGTAATAGACACTGCCTTTGAGCATGACTTTCATGGTGTCTGGTGGTGCCCATCAAAGGAGGAGCCACATTCCAGTATCCTCTTCCCCTCAGCCCAGCCCTCAATTTGCTTCCAGGAGGGACCTTATTTCCTCCTCTTGCTTCCATCCTATTCCCAAGCCCCTTCCTGATTAAAAGAGAAAATGTCTGATAAAACCCATCTTAGCCTTAAACATCTCATTCATTCAAATGATATTTAGTGAACTCTTCATATTTGTTAGATTTTGTGGTGGGTGCTGGGGTGACAATAGACCCTGGTTGTTCTTGGCATTTACATTCTATAGATAAGGAGGAAGACAGTAAATCACTACATAAATGAGTAAACAGATTATGGTGGATGCTATAATCTAAATAATGGGGTGGTAGAATATCTCCCTTAGATACAGTTATTAGAAAAATGTTATCCAAGAAAGAGACATTTGAGCTGACATGTAGAAGATGAACAAGAGGCCAGATTTGTGAAAAGGTAGAGGGAAAGGAATCAGAAACAGAGAGACTAGCAACTGCAGTGGTCCTGGATGTGAAAGGTCTGGCATTTTTGAGAAATGCTTAAGGGTACCCAGCCCCCAAGATCCCCTCCAGTGATTCTCACCTCCTGCGATTCATGTCCTTAAGCACTCCCCTCCCCCTCTGGATAGAGCTGATTTATGTAACCAAGAAGACATTTCAAAAGTGAAGGAATGTGCCTTCCAAGCCCAGGTCATAAAAGACATTGCAAATTCAGTCTTGCTCTCTTGAATTACTCAATTTATGGGACATGAGCTGCCATGTTGTAAGGATACTCAAGCAACTCAGTGGAGCAATACACATGGCAAAGAACTGAGGCTTTCTGCCAACAGCCATGTGAATGAGACCATCCTGAAAACAGATCTTCCAGCCCCAGTCAAGCCTCCAGATTATTGCAGCCCATGCTGACCATAGCCTTATGAGATCCCTTGAGACAGAGCCACCCAGCTAATTTTTAATTCCTGATCTTTGACTGCAGCTTTATGAGATCCTCTGAGCAAAAATCACCCAGCTAACTTTTAATTCCTGACCCAAAGAAACTATGAGACATTAAATGCTTATTGCTCTTGTTTATGTTAGTCTGTGGTAATTTGTTATACAGTCATAGATAACAAATATAACCACTCAAATATGGTGAACCAGGCAGAGAGTGATAGAAGATGAAGCCAGAGAGGCTAGCAGTAGCCAGGTCACATGGCCAGTGGAGGCTGCAGTAGGAGCCTGGATTTTATTCCAGGTTAGATGGAAACTTATTGAAAAGTTTAAGCAGCAGAGTGGTGTGATCTCATTTACATTTTGTAAAGATCATAAGTATGGAGAATGAATTTTAGAGGGACAAGAGTAGAAACAAGGAGACCAACTGGGAAACTATTACGTTAGTCCAGGATGTCAAGAAAGGTGACTTGGACTAGGTAGGGAACAGCACAGAGGGAGGGAAGAGAATGGATTCAGCATATATTTTGAAGACAGTTATCATGACTTATAGATAGATTGGCTATGAGGGATGGTGGAAAGAAAGGAATCAAAATGATAGCTAGGTTTTTAGCTTAAGTAACAGAGTGCAAAATAGTGCCATTTACTGAAATGAAGAAGATTAGAAGGAGTGGATTTGGAGGTAAGAGAATCAAAAAGAAAGAGTACTTCATCTCCCACTTCCTATTACATTTGGAAGCCTTTGGTACAATATGGCCAAAATTATATGGATTATAATAATACAGATTATATTATTTGTATATATAATTATAGAAAATTATATATAATTTATACAATAATTAATTATATATTGGACATTAATTCATCTTAACCCAGTTTTATTTAGCAGTCCTCCTCAGCTACTAAAATCTTTGCATTTTGTAAGATCCATTTGCCTTTCACACACTGCAGCTAGGTGCAGCAGCTAAGAATCTCCTTGAGGTGGTTTTTTGTAACTGTCCACTTAACAGGTGTTAAATAGACAAGTCTGTGATGTACACGATACTGAGGGTGGCTTTCAAGTTGTGCAGTACATCTTGTCTTTATATTTATCTGTCTCCCACACAATGTTAGCTCTGGGGTTGGGACTGTGTCTGTTTCACACTTATATCCCCAAGATCCACCACATTGCCTAATATGTGGTAACCATGCAAAGAAAAAAGTGTGTTGAATTAATGAATGTCCATTGTATATAATCCTGCAAAGCAAAAAATAAAAATTAAAAAATTAAGAAAATCACGTCATTCTACTATACAGAGATAACCATTGCCAATGTTTTGATACAATTCCTTTAGTCTTTTTTCTGTTCATAAATATCTGTATCATCCATACGTACATTTGCACCCATATTTGTAACTTTTCCTCTACTTCTTTTGAAAGAAACAGCCAGCATTTACTGAAAGATCTGTGCTATGAAAGATCCATTGTAATAAGCCACACTTCTTGTTGGTTTAAGCTCCTGGGAACTTCTAGTCCAGAAATAGAATTGGAGTCATGGCTATCAAGGTACATCTGTCATGAGGCTCAGTATTTTGGAATTTATCCTGGCATTTTAAATATGAAGTGGGGAGAACAGTTGGTCCTAGCTCTGCCAGTAGGAGTGTGAAAGACCCTAGAGGAACCTGGCCCAGGAGGCTACCTTTACTGAGACTCTGACTACCAGTACAGTTCTCCACTTTATAAGAGCAATTCTTTCCTGAAAATCCCTCTTAATAGGGCAAATCATCCAAAGTTGAAAACAACACTGTATTATTTTCAGTGAGAAAATAATTTTGCACCTTAAGCATACAAATTTACCCCCATTCTACTAAAGAAAACCAAAATATTCAAGGACAAACAAGAAATAACCACCAAAACTCATTAAAAAGGACAAAACTACTTCAATTGTTAAGTTACATTAACCTAACAAAATATTGCCCCTTCATCAATTATTCCACGTAATACTGAGATTTACTCACTCTCAATCCATTACACAGAGCACAATGAAGACTCCGCTTTTGAATTTTAAAATGATGCTAAATTTTTTTTTTTTTTTTGAGACGGAGTCTCACTCTGTCGCCCAGGCTGGAGTGCCGTGGGGAGATCTCGGCTCACTGCAAGCTCCGTCTCCCGGGTTCACGCCATTCTCCTGTCTCAGCCTCCTGAGTAGCTGAGACTACAGGCGCCTGTCACCACGCCTGGCTAATTTTTGTATTTTTAATAGAGACGGGGTTTCACCGTGTTAGCCAGGATGGTCTCGATCTCCTGACCTCGTGATCCGCCCGCCTCGGCCTCCCAAAGTGCCGGGATTACAAGCGTGAGCCACCGTGCCCGGCCCCGATGCTAAATTTTTAAACAATATAATCTTTAGAACAAACAAGGAAAGAAGCCCAAACAAGGCAGTAGACACAAAAGAAATCAGTTAAAGCAAAGAATTATTTCACACTCCCTGAAGAGGTGGGTATCATTGGGAGCATACGATTGTTTTTTATAAACAAGCAAATCACTGGGATTCTCAAACACCTGTTAAGTGGCCAGTTACCAAAAACCACCTCAAGGAGACTCTTAGCTGCTGCACCTAGCTGCAGTGTGTGAAAGGCAAATGGATCTTACAAAATGCAAAGACTTTAGTAGCTGAAGGAGGACTGCTAAATAAAACTGGGTGGATAAGATGAATTAATGTCCTACATATAATTAATTATTGTATAAATTATATATAATTAATTTTGTATAATTATATTTAGAGCAATTATATTTAGAGCAATTCTTTCCTGATAACAGTTTTCCTGCAGGTGAAAGTACAGTGTCTCAAAAAAAGGTTGTCTTTTTTAAAGTCACACAAAATTGTCAAATGGGATAGCAGTGGCCTTGAGCAATTACAGTACCATATGATAAGTGCATTAATGAGGGGACAAAAGTTATCATTGTGAGCATATCTGAAGGTAGTCTTTAGGAGTAAGGGAAGGCTTCCCATAGGAAGTGACGTTTAAACCAAGCCTGAGAGGCAATAAGCACTTACTTTTGTAACTAAAATAAAACAAAGCATTTAAAATTAGTATTGGCAGTTATTAAACAATCAACTATTGAATACTGTAGGTAAATAAATAAACAAATGAATGTATATATGAAAAAATAAATATAAGATTTTTTTAAAAGCAGAAAGATCAAATGATTAGTCTGCTCTACCACCAATTTGAGGGAGAATCCCAAGTGGAAAAACAATCAGCCAACTCTCAGCCCTGAGCTCAAAGTGTGATCCACAGCCCAGAGCACCAGCATCACCTAGCGCTTGTTAGAAAAGCAGAATCTCAGACCCAGCCAAGACTCACCAAATCACAATCAGTATTTTAACACAGGTAATTTGTGTGCACATTGAAACTTGAGACGCGCTAGACCATGATTCACCATTTCAGCTGCACATTAGAATCACCTGGAAGTTTATGCAAACCTGATTGCCCAGTGCAGACTGGTGGTTAAAAGCACAGATCCTGTATCTAATTCCCAGGTTGCTTAGCTTATTAACTGTGGGATCTTTGGCCAAATCCATAAATTTTCGGTGCCTCAGTTTCTTCATCTTTGTGATAGACAGCTACTGACATGATTCCCAGAGGCTCCTGTCTCCTGGCATTCATACCCTTTTGTAATCTCCTCCACTTGTGTGTGGACTGGACCCAGTAAACTCCTTCTACTTAATAGAGTACAGCAAGAGCAACAGAGGGCTGCCTTCTCTGCTTTCAAGATAACATCTTGTTGCAGTGGTTTCCTGAGGGGAAGAACGCTGTGTCCTCACGTGGAAGAAGGGATGGAAGGGCAACAGAAGGCTCCCTTCAACCTCAAGCCATTTTATAAAGGTGCTAATCCCATTCATGACTTAATCACTTCCCAATGGCCACATCTCTTAATACTGTTGCATTGAGGATTCAGTTTCAACACAAATTTTGGGGGAGGCACTATCATTCAAACCATAGTATAACAGATGTCATTTCCAAGATTAAGTTATGAAAGACTGACTTAAATCTTGCCCACCATCTCTGTCTGACTCTTCTCACTTGCTCAATTGATGAGGCAAGCTGCCATGTTGTGAGCTGCCGTACGGAGATACTCAAGTGGCAAGGAGCTGAGATCCTGAGTCCAACAGCCACAAGGAACTGAATCCGACCATCGGTCAAACAACTTAGCTTGAAAGTGACCCCTCCCAGGCTAGCCCTGAGATGTATGTAGTCCTGCCTGACACCTTGATTACAGACTTAGGAAGGCTCTAACTCTAAGAACCAGCTAAGCCACATCTGGATGCTTGATCCACAATAATGGTAAGAACATAAATGTTTGTCATTTGAGGCCACTAAATTTTGGCTATGCAGTAATACATAACTAATACAATCTATAAAATGGTGATGATAGTAGCAGTCATTGCATATATTTAATACAAAATTAAATGATTCACATAAAATGCTTAGAACAGGGCCTGGCATGTAAGAATCATTATATACATTGTGCTATTAGCTATTTTACAAGGCATTAATGCCTTTGGTATCTGTATTAGTCCGTTTTCACACTGCTGATAAAGACATGCCTGAGACTGGGTAATTTGTAAAGAAAAAGAGTTTTAATGGACTCACAGTTCCACATGGCTGGGGAGGCCTCACAATCATGGTGGAAGATGAAAGGCATATCTCACATGCTGGCAGAGAAGAGAGAATGAGAATCAAGTGAAAGGGGTTTCTCCTCATAAAACCATCAGATCTCATGAGATTTATTCACTACCAAGAGAACAGTATGGGGGAAATCGCCCCCATGATTCAATTATCTCCCACCGAGTCCCTCCCACAACATGTGGGAATTATGGGAGCTACAATTCAAGATGAGATTCGGGTAGGGACGCAGCCAAACTGTATCAGTATCCGCCAAAGAATACAAACTATTTTGCTACCGCCAAAAGGCCCCAGCCTCCTCTGCCTGCTGAAAGCTTTCTTCTCTACCTTCCTTGTCAATTAATTGTCACTCCTAGTTGGCATCATTATGTCAACTCCTGGCTATTCCTCCTCATCCAGAAAAAAATTTTTTAAAAGCTGTTTCTAATTAGCTATAGACTGGGAAACTTGATAAACCAATATGTTATGATTGTGACTAAACTACAAGTAAGTAGGCTCTGATTTAGGGTCTGAGGAGTTCTCCTATGAGTACAATTAAGTATTTTTGTTTTAAAACAAGGGGTTTGTTCCATCAAAAAGGATGGCCCTGCTGCTTTCCATTTCTCAGCTATGTTCCAGTCAGTTGAGGTCACCAGATTTAGGAGGCATCTCTGAATGTCTACCATGAGATCAGCACATTCTACATCAACTGTAATTCATCACATCTCTGATTTTACTCATCCCTAAGTGCAATTCCCCTTGGCCCTATCCGGAGTTTGTTTGTATCAGCCAAAACATACACTTGTTTTTAATGCCTCCATATAATCAAGTTTAATTTCTTTCTTTTGTTATCAAGAGTTCACACTAAACAGGGATTAAAGGAGACTTCTCTGAGGAAGAGAAGATTAAATTAATTACCTAAAGGAGAAGTTGAATGTAAATGTGTGGAGGAGAAAAGAGGGGATTGGAAGATGGTTTAAGGCAGAAGGAACAACTTATGTGATTTCCCCAAGGTGGGAGGGAGCAAAAACAAAGTCAGTGTGGCTTGGCTGGACTCCCTGTGTGAGGGATAAGGTGCCCTGAATGGCGCAGGGGCCAAAGCGTGATGGTCTTACACATTGGTTAGGAGTTTAAGTTTCAATCTGAAGACACAGGCATGACACTAAAGGGTTTTAAGCAAGGGTTTGGCACACTACAGCCCTTTAGCCAAATCTGGTCCTTGGCCTATATTGGTAAACAAATTTATATTAGACTATAGCCACATCCACTCATTTACATATTATCTACAGTTCCTTTCATGCTACAAGGGCAGGGTTGAGTAGTTGTAACAGACACCACACAACCTGCAAAACCTGTAATATTTACTTTCTGACTCCTTATAGAAAAAGTTGTTTACTACCTCTGTTTTAGGCTCACGAGTTCCATGATCAGACCTGCCTTCTACATAGATTCTCGCTGCTGGTCAAGAATGTGCTGACACAGGGGCAGAGCTGCTGTTACTTTTTCCTTCCTTTACATACCAGCTGGAGCTGGAGCACCGTGAACTACCCTTGTGTAAGAGAGTGGGGAGACAGAGGTGAGGCCGGCGGTTTGGATCATCCACAGACAGGTAAATCAGATCCTACAGAGACTGGTTGCATTTTTAATAAACAAAGGGCATCTTGAAGAATAAGACAGATGATATACAGACACATTTTTTTTATTTTCATTGATGTATAAGAAAATATGGTGGCAGGTTAATACCAAAAAAAAAAAAAAAAAGACTAGCATGAGTTAGAAGTTTAAAAAATAAAAAACAAGCCATTCCTGCCAGCCTGCCATCTGTGTGTGGTGACTCTCTCCCCAGGATGAACCAGAGAATGGTGCAAATCTGAGATTGCTGTTCTCATGTGATCAATAGGAGGGAAGTCACAAAGATGTGAAAAGATAACACTGGTCCCCAGATGCACGGTTGCGTAGGTCCTTCCTGGGTTTACTTAGCAGCAATGTTTGCTTTAAAAAAAAAGTTATTATTCACCAAATTTGGTTGGGCCAGTGAGATAGAAAATGGGAAGCCAAGGGGAGTCATTTCTTCAGGACACTGGCAGAGGCCCAGAGTACAAAGTTGTCTACAAACTCTCAAATCAGTGTGAGACTTGAAAGAGAAGTACATGTTGCCAACGCGGGCTTGCCAGAGTAGAATTGAAACCATACCTCTACCTCATGCAGGCATCCTCCACTGGGAGGATGTTCTTATAAGTCCCGCCTTGGAGCCCATCTCATCTGCAACCCCCTCCCTGTTCCCCGTCTCTTTCACTCCCAAAACCAGAGGAACATAATAAAGACAGAAGGCATGCATCTCTCCAGAGCACCTCTGGGCTGAAAGAAGTGGAGAATCAAAAATCCACAAAGGATGAACATGAGCCCCCTGGTCCCTTGTGATCATGTTCCCAGGGACTTCGCCATTGTGGCCTATCTGACGCAGGCCCCACTGTGTGTTGCAAAGTCCATGGCTGCTGGGAGTAGACCCCACAGTGCCCATAGCAGCAGGAGACTCCAGATCTTGCTGTTTTTTGTTTTTCTTTTTTTCACCTGAGCTACTCCTCCCAGTATCTAGCCAAGGCATTCCAGGTTGATTTATGAAAATCTGACCTCAATCCAGAGAAACTCCCAAATGAGCCCAGTGGGAACACAACTAACTACAGCCTGGATTGCTGCACTTGCAATGAAAACCAAGGATGAATCACAGCCACAGAACTGGAGAAAAGAGTTTTTCGTTCTGGGACAGATTCCACTGTTTCCACCGGGAGGTCCTGAACTTGGTATTCAAGGACTCCCAGAATCTGACTCACTTCTCTCAACTTTCGCTTCCTACACAGACACTGTCAGATGGATTTTGTTCCCTGTTCACCCATGGGGTACCCCAGCCCCATCATTGCTCCAGCTAGAAGTCTTCACCCTCATCTGGCCCCTCCATATCCAGGAAAACACTTCAGTAAAAACCAGGAGGCACCTGTATACATGTAGAGAGGAAGGGTCCCTACACAAAGCTAGAACCAGTTTTCAACTGGTTCAGGCAACCAGGAATTTCATTTGGTTTTACAGTGAATTAGTTTTTGCCAAAGCATTTTTGCCCAATGTGTTATCTCAAAAGGAACATAGTGCTATGTCTTTTACTGAGTCCACAATATATACATTTATCTTCTCTCTGGTAATATCATTGTGCCACAACAGTACCAAAAGGAGGGCATTATTTCTAAAGTGTAGCTGTAAAGTCAAGATTCAGGACTATATTGCAGTTCACTCCAGGGTTGAAGGATAAATTGACTTCCTACATAAAAATTAAACTTTAGTTGTGAAGACACAGGTGATAAGCTACTTGGATTCTCTTCACCAAAAAGGAAAATAAGGCTGGGCATAGTGGCTCACACCTGCAATCCCAGCACTTTGGGAGACCGAGATTGGAGGATTGCTTGAGCTCAGGAGTTTGAGACTAGCCTGGGCAACAGGGCAAGATGCTGTGTCTACCAAGTTTAAAAATTAGCTGGGTATGGTGGCACACATCTGTAGCTCCAGCTCCCTGGGAGACTGAGGCAGGAGGGTCACTTGAGCCCAGGAGGTTGAGGCTGCAGTGAGCCATGTGCATGCAGCCACTGCACTGCAGCCTGGGTGTCAGAGTGACATGCTGTCTCAAAAAAAAAAAAAAGAAAAAAAAAGGAAAATGAAACTCCAGAAAATTTCTTTGCCAATTATATATGTTCTACTGAACTTTCTGCGAAGTTAACATTCTGCCTGGTGTTCTGGTTAAATTTTAATTGAAAAAAAACTAAAATAATTATATATTATTAGCCCTAGATTAGCAACATTAAAGGCCAATAATCAATAGTACTATAAGCAAGTACCTAGCGCTCTGGTGATCATTTGTAAGCACTGCTTTCTCCTTCCATCATGAAATGCACTCTTCTCTTGACTCCCACTTTCTGGAGTTCTTTCTACAATTCTGGGCTCTTTTCTCATTCCATTTTGTAGACTTGTCCACCATTATGCAACCATTAAATTATGCAGTTCTCCAGGTATCTGCTCTGGGCCTTCTATTCTTCTCCTCTACATTGTCTCTTGAGAAAATTGCGTGCATGCTCCAGGATTTGAGTGACATCTCTAAATTCATAGCACCTCCAGTAGATTGAGGAGTGGTCCCAAAAAGATGTGTCCAAATATGAACCATTGCCTGTTGATGTGACCTTATTTGGAAATAGGTTATTTGGAGATGAAATTAAGCTAAAGATCTCGAGATTAGATCCTCTTAGGTTTAGGATGGACCCTAAATCCAATAATGAGTGTTCCTGTAAGAGAAAGGAAAGGAGGAAATACTGACACACACAGAGCGGAAGGCCATGTGGAGATGAAGGCAGCAGACTGGAGTCAAGCAGCCCCAAGCCAAGGAATGCCAAGGGTTGCCAGGAGCCAACAGAAGCTAAGAGAGAGGTATGGCATGCATTCGCCCTTGCAACCTCCAGAGAGAACCAACTGCCAACACATTGATTTTGGACTGCTGGCCACCGGAACCGTGCAAGAATAAGTTTCTGTTGTTTTAAGCTGCCAAGTTTGTGGTAATTTGTCACAGCAGCCCTAAGAATCTAATACAGTACTCAAATGTGCATCTAAGTTCTGTGGCCTCTGAGTTCCAGACAAACATCTACAACTGCCAACGTTACATCTCAGAGGAATCTAAACTCATCGTGTCTCTGATTTAATCCAACATCTTGTCTGCCCAAGCCCATACCCCAACATGGCTTCATTCTGTCTCCCCAACTCAGTGGATGGTATCGCTATTCATCCAGTTCCATCAACGAGTTCTCTGGGTGTCACCCATGATGCTACCCTCTACTTTCTTCCCATAACCAGTCACCAAATCCAGGCAATTTTACCCCCTAAATGTCTCTTAAGTCTCTCCATTTATGTCTATTTTTACTGTCACACCTCAGTCCAGTGAGCATCAGCTCTTGCCTGGACTATTGCTGCAGCCTCCTAACCAGTCTGCCTACTTCAAATCTTGCCCTCTACAGTCAGTTCTCACCCCAGCAGCTAGAGTGATCTTATAAACATAAATCAAGTCACATCATAGTCCTTCGATGGCCTCACATAGCCCTAGGCCTGCAAGGCCCCCCATTGCCTGACCCCCCAACTACTTTTTGAGTCTTGGCTCACAAACTTTTTCCTCTAGCTCCCTGAGCTCCAGCCATTCTGGCTTTTTTTTCCTCCCCAGAAACCCTTGTAATATAGCAGGACCTCTGGTTTTAAATATCCTACAATTCAAATCCTGGCTTAGCCTCTTCTAGCTGTGTAACTTTGAGCAACTTACTTAATTTTTGTGTCTAGGTTAGGAGAAGCAAGCGGGGAAGCTAGGAAGTCCATTTCCCCATCTGGAAAATGGTAATAACAATAATTTTTACTTTACTGAATTGCTGTAAGTATTAAACGACCTGATTCACATCAGTCATTTAGCAAAGTATCCATTACATTCTTAAATATCAATGTTACCATCTTCTAACAACTTCACCGTCTCCCACTACAAGGAATTTCCTATACCTACCATATCTCCACATCCTCCACCTAATCCATTCCCCATTATCCTTCAAACGTTGTCTCCAATGCCTTCAGGGAATTATCCAACCATCAGCCTACCTTGGGGTCCTCTACAGAATTTCAGGGTCCCATGTAGCCTTTATTCCTAGCGTTTATCACAGCAAGACTTGAGTCTTACCATGCACAACTCTTACATTACCAAAACAATTGCTTATCCAACAATGGACACATTGAAACCCTGGAATTTCTTCTAATGGAATTTTTTTGACCATGTATTTTTTAATGGTATGATAAACACATTGAGAACAATTTTCAAGGTGAGTGATAATGGAGTGATTCGCTAGGCAGCCGATGGCTTGTTGAAGATGCTGTATCAGCTCACTCTCCACATTATAAACACTCAGCATGGGTCAAAATGGACAGATCAAAAATGACTCTGTCAGAAGTATTTCACTATGACAATCTTAACAACTACAGATTGCTTACAAATGAACAAGAGATGGTAGGGAGGTACTAGGTGAGAGATAACTTTGGAAATACATGGCAAATGCAAATAGATAATACGAATAGATTGTACCCAACACGTTTAAACATCTTCTCCTTCACGTTCCGTAGAATCTCACCTGAAGATTTTCCTCTGAACTCTGCTTTCACTTGGTTGTCCAGTGACCAGGAACCCTGATAATAAAATGGCAATAATGTTATGCTCTCCCTAACAGCAGTGATATAGTTTTTATTTCTGCATCCCTAACATAAAGTTTAGGGTCAGTCTCACAGGAACTTCTCAGAAAGTGCTAATTGATCAAATAAATGAATGTTTTTGGATACCAATTAACAACACAGTTGTTCCTCAGAGAGATCCCTCAAGAAGTATGGCCATTTGACAAGAGTTGTAACCTGAGGGCTTCAGCGAACATGTGATACTACAATTTCTATGCAGTGTGAACCAAAAAGTATTTGAGACAAATTTCAATCAATTTAGAAAATCTACTTTGCCAAGGTTAAGGATGAGTCCATGACATAGCCTCCAGAGGTCCTCAGAACATGTGCCCAAGGTGGCTGGGGCACAGCTTGCTTTCATACATTTTTAGGGAGACATAATACATCAGTCAATGCATGTAAGATTTACATCAGTATGATCTAGGACAACTCTAAAGGTGGGGGCTTCCAGGTCAGAGGTAGATTTAAATTTTTTCTGATTGGCAGTTGGTTGAAAGAGATAGGAATGTGTGGGTTATGATAAAGGGTTGTGGAGACCAAGGTTTTATCAAGCAGATAAAGCCTCCAGGTAGCAGGTTTCAGAGAGAATAGACTGTAAATGTTTCTTATCAAACTTAAGGTCTGTGTTGATGTTACTGCTGGAGGGGTATAATGAGGCATGTCCGACTCCTCTTCCATCATGGCCTGAACCAGATTTTCAGGTCAATGCTGGAATGCCCTTGGCCGGGAGGAGGGGTCCATTCAGATGGTTGGGGGGGGCCTTAGAATTTTATTTTTGGTTTACATGGTGTTTTGGGCTTCCCACAGCCAAGTTCCCTGGATTTTCCCCTTGGGAGCCTCCCCTCCTCTACTCTCATTCTTTTTTTTTTTTTTTTTTTTTATTATTATACTTTAAGTTTTAGGGTACATGTGCACATTGTGCAGGTTAGTTACATATGTATACATGTGCCATGCTGGTGCGCTGCACCCACTAACTCGTCATCTAGCATTAGGTATATCTTCCAATGCTATCCCTCCCCCCTCCCCCCACCCCACAACAGTCCCCAGAGTGTGATGTTCCTCTTCCTGTGTCCATGTGTTCTCATTGTTCAATTCCCACCTATGAGTGAGAATATGTGGTGTTTGGTTTTTTGTTCTTGTTTGTGCTTTGGGTGGAACACAGGGGTAGGTGTTCAACCATGAGCTATAATCCTGGACATGTGACCCAAACCTAGCCAATCAGAACATCACATCCTCCTAGACACAGCAATTGGTTCTGAGATGGACACGTAATCCAAGCCATGGCAATCAGTCCAATTGGAGCCAATCCTGAGTCTTTTGTTTGAACAACCGGAAAGAGTTGGTGAGAACCAGACTCTTTTCCACTGGTCTTGGGGAAGCAACCCTGCAAGCCAGGAATAACCTAAGGCCATCAGCAGAGGACGGCCATCAGCAAGGAAATCAACCCAAAGGAAGCAGAACACAGAGAAGGAGAAATATCAGGTCTTGAAGACATGTTTGGAGCCCCTGGATCTAGCTATACCTGAACTCACATTGCCCCTGGACTGTTGCCATGTGACCCAACAAAGTCTTTTTTTTTTTACTTAAATTAGTTTGACTTTCCTGTCACTTGCAGCAAAGAAGACCCTGATTAATACTCTATTTTCTGAAAACATCTGAGTTTTTTGATGCCTTTAACCTAAGAATTTCAGCTTTAATACACTATATGAGTAATTAATGATGCAGGTCTCAGGAGGGTGAAGCAGGAGTTACCAGGTCACAAAGGCCCCAAGGGTAACATGTGAAGATCTAGACATTTCTACAGCATAACTAGTGATAACTGTGAAACTTCCAAGGACTCAAGTGGTTAAAGTTAACTGTATCTGAAATTCAAACACTAACTGGAATTAGTCACATTTAACTGGAATTAGAATGCATTAGGTCACCTATTTCCATTGTAATACCAAATTAGTTCCCATTAATTGGCCCCTATTTATTTTCAATCACATGCTTCTGTCAGATATTTGTACTGGCATTTCAGTCAGGAAGACGTTAGCTAGGCCTAATTGCTCAGACTGTATTTCACAGACAGCCTGTGCTATCAGATAGCTCTGGAAAGAAAACAATAGATGGCTTAACATGCAACTCTAGGAATGTCAGGTATGTGGTCATAAAATCTAATAATTTCAGAGCAGGGAGAGCCTTAGATTAGCTGCTAACCTTCCCTATGGCCCAAAACATTAAGTGGCCCCACAGCTAAAGTCATTTCTGACTGTTTTTTAAAAGACATTTTCTTAAAGAGTAAAAATCATGACTGTCATACAAATAGAAAATGAACACGTCAAAGGTTTTATTTTATTCACCAATTAATGAGGAAACCCTAAGGTGTTAAACTGGTTCAAAGGAGAATTCAAAGACCAGACGCCTATGTAGGCAATCAGAAATGCCCAGCAATGAGGAAATGCATTTGTTAATAGATGCAAGACTGGTTTTCTCCACCAAACATTCATTTGCATTGACTGTGGATGAGAATCATTTACATTACTATGGTTTTTTTTTTTTTTTTTCATTTACAGAGTTATAAAATAGCTCAAAGACAGTGAAAGGCGCAGACTACTATGAACTTAAAGAACCCAAATTAAAGTACTGGATAGCACCCAGCCATATGACACCAGCCATATGACACCCAGTAATTCTCTCCTTGCCATTCAAAAATTTTTAGTTTTTCCTTTCAGTATATGATGTTTGCATTAACCAAAATATATTACACGTTATTAGAGCATTTTTGTGGTTTTTGAAAAACCTCACTGAGCCTCAGTTTCCTCATTTTGAAAGAAAGGAAATTGTAATATTCATCTTGTAGGGTGTGGTAAAGATTAAACGCAATAATGTCTGGGAAATCCCCTAGAACAGCACACCCAGAACCTAGTTTAGGGAAAAATTTATGCTTCAATGGAAAACTATGCATTGTCTAGGGTATAACCTTCCAGATAATCTGATTCTGATTCTATGGGAGCTCTGTAACTGTATTACTGCCTAATAAAGTTACAGTCATTTATCTAAGTACTGTAGTAATTACAGTACTTACATTCAGTAATTTTGTCCATAGACATGAAAATAAATTCTGTCTGTTAGGGAGAGAACCTGTCTCTTCCCCCGACAATAAAGCCAGTTTTGCAGTCGCTTGCAAATTTATTTCATTATTTCTGATCTATAAAAGTCTTTGTGGTTTGACTTCTCCTTTAAACCAATTGTAACATCTGTCAAAGGCTGGCTCCGCTAATACCACAGACACAACCTCTTGATAAGACAAAGCTGAGTTCATTGCTTACTGCAGTAAAGGAAACACTCTTAGGAGCAGCAAATCCATACGGGTCTACAGCAACCTCAATTCTTGCCTCCTCAGAGAAAGAATTTGACATAAGGCAAAGGAAAGGGCATAAGACAGAGTGAGAGACGGAGGCAAGTTTTAGAGCAGGAGTGAAAGAAAGTAAAGTACACTTGTAAGAGGGCCAAGGGGGCCACTTGAGAGATTCAAGTCTGCAGTTTGACCTTTAACTTAGGGTTTTATACGCTGGCATTCTGCATGCGTAATGGCCTGCCAGCCCTGGGGGTGTTGCATGCGCAGTGTGTTTACTTTAGTTGTGTACATGCTCATACGCCGCGCTCTTCCCTTACCAGTCAAGCGTTCCTAGAGGAAGGTCAAACACCAGTTAAACTCCACCATTTTGCCTCTTAGTGCGCATGCTTGAGCCCGCTTACCCAGCTCCTGAGATTTTATCGGGAAGCTACTGATCAGCAGCTTCAGGTGTTTTCTGTCTACTGGGAGACTGCCTTTCCCCGGCGTTGGCTGGGACCAATTATCATTTTAGAGACAGTTTAACAACTGCCTAACCATCACCTGATGGTCACCTGACATTGTTGGGCTGGGAGTTCGCGGGGCTCTCCTGCTCTGCTCACCATTGCCTAACTATCTACTGTAACAATACCACCTAGCAAAGCTGTGGCCGTGTCTTGCAGGAAGAAGGTGAGGTCAGAATTTATTAAGAATTGGAAGTTGATTTAAGGTGGGCTTTGAAAGCCCAGATATGATTAGGATTGGGTAAGGTTCATGGTACAACAGTTCAGAATTGCTAGAAACAGCAACGTGACAATTTCAAAGCAAGAGAGGTGAAGAATCTTCAGGAAGTTTTAATAATCAACATCTGCCTGTGTAGCCCACTCTAATGAAGACACAAGAATAGCACAATGTCATGTTAATGCAGAGTAGGGTGTGTTTGGTTCTCAGCACCCAGCCTGAATATGAGGTAAGGAGACTTCTGTTCTCAGCCCCTCCTGAGGTCATTTTTCAGCCTCAGTTGAAGGATAAACCATTGATTTCTGAGGATGTAATCAATCCAGCTCTTTACCACTATTAGAGGTGTCATAATTGCATATCAAGATTCTATCAATAATTGCATCTAAGTTTCTGGAGGTGGTTGTTTCAACCTCTAAAAGGATCAGATTTTCCAGTTCTTTCTGCCTTCCTTTTGCCAGAACATTTGATGGGACAGCTGCTGAGGAACAGCCTTTATGACTCCAGAGATCACACATGTGAACCCTGCCACACAGACAAATACTAAACCAGGATTATGTTCAGTTTGTTCTTCACTTCTCAGTCAGGAGCCAAGGGCATCCAGGTTACACTAAAAGAACAGATCCCATCCCCCAATCTGAAGAGTTCACAGGACCAGACATGGAGTTGTTAACCAAATGACCTAAGTTTCTGATTTCTTTGTTTACTTCCCCAGATCTTTTTATTAATATTAAAAATCTAAGAGAGGTCTGCAGAGATTTACATATGACATTCTTCTCCTAAAACAGCACATGTTCTTCCTCCAGAGTCCAGTATGATGTCTAAAGCAGATCTGTTCTGAACCCACCACTTGTCCAATTTCATCATCTTCTTGGATGAGGAGTTCTGTGGCTTAGAGGAGAAAAAGAAACCTTTTTCTCTACTCTCAGGTACTGTGAGTGGGACTTGTGAATTAATCTGTCAAAAGACAGATTAAATGAGGAAAAAGGCATACAAATTTTATTTGATGTTAATATTTTAATTTTTATGTAGACAGAGGCATTTTTACAAGTGAAGACCCCAAACAAGCAGTTAGCCCTGGAGGATTATATACCATTTTAACAACGGGCACTAAATCCTGCGTGAGAGAAGTAAC
This sequence comes from Homo sapiens, assembly GCF_000001405.40. Taxonomy (NCBI): domain Eukaryota; kingdom Metazoa; phylum Chordata; class Mammalia; order Primates; family Hominidae; genus Homo; species Homo sapiens. The sequence continues at coordinate 105,442,678 of NC_000012.12, read as the reverse complement.
AAGACAAAGGAAAGTTGGGGTTTAGGCTCCTAGGGGCAGCAAACTGTGGGAAGGTGACTAGAACTTGTATGGTAAATAAGGGTTGTTTAGTAAGGTTTGTTATGAAGAGAGTCATCCTTCTCTTCCTAATACGGGGAACACCTTTACAAATAGAAATTTATGTCAGTTTTACAAAGGGAAATATAAGTCCTGCTTTTAAGCAAAAAAGGGGAGAGCAGAGAATTCTTCCTGTGCCTGCTATTTCTCAGTTTCCTTCAGCTCAAAATAATTCTTATGCCAAAGTGACATATTTTGGGGTGACAATTCTGGTACCCTGCAGTGGCCTTCATGGCATTGTCTAAATTGCTTGCTATTCTCTTAACCATACCAGGTAGGATTCCCCCAACTTTTCACACCTCTTATAAGCATGAATAAAGAGACATAAGGCAAGGGAAAAAAATCAAAATCCAGAATTCCCTTGAAGTGAAGATCTACTGGTCTCTTTTTCCTAGAGGATAAATCAATGAGACAAGAAATAAATAAATAACCTTTATATTATAGGTGAAGACAATAAGCAGTAAAACAAGGAAACAAGGTCATCAAAATTGAACAAATTTTGCTAAGATTCTAATATATTTTATAGCTTTTCAGAAGCATTTACACATACTACAATCTTCTTTTTCCCTTAACAAAAACATATATTATTAACTTGCATAAAAACACATACCTCTCTGCCAAGATTATTCCTAATAGAGTCTCATTCAGGTATATTCAGTTATAACTTTTAACCAAAGTAACCTTATTTCCCAGAGAAAACTGGGGTAAGCAGGAAGTGTGGATAATTGTCCACTGTCACACATCAGCACTTTGCAGACTAGCAGAGCCCATGAATATAACACAATTTTCTACAGCTACACACAACCCTAATACAACTTCTCAAAGTGGCAAAAATGATTACATTCATTAACAGGCACAAAGATAGCATATAAAAATAAGAAGCAAAAGTATACAAACTTTAAGTTATGCTTAATAATTGACGTTTTAATATGCTATCTTACTCAGAAATTATATTGTCATCCAATGACTATCTATTCATTAACTAAATTTAATAGTTCCAAATATCTTGGAAATTAATAGTCTAACACTACAAAACATAATTAGTGTTGAAGTAAAATTTTTCAGAATAAGTCAACACAAATACATATTTTTCATAACCATAAGTATTAAATAGAAGTAAGCCTAGTTTATTTGATCAGTTAACCTGTGTAAGTTTAAGAATATACCCAATTAAGGCTGGGCGCGGTGGCTCACGCCTGTAATCCCAGCACTTGGATCACAAGGCAGGTGGATCACAAGGTCAGGAGATCGAGACCATCCTGGCTAACATGGTGAAACCCCATCTCTACTTAAAAATACAAAAAATTAGCCAGGCATGGTCATGGGCGCCTGTAGTCCCAGCTACTAGGGAGGCTGAGGCAGGAGAATGGCGTGAACCCGGGAGGCAGAGCTTGCAGTGAGCCGAGATTGTGCCAGCCTGGGCGACAGAGCGAGACTCCGTCTCAAAACAAACAAACAAACAAACAAACAAAAAAGAATATACCCAATTAGAATAAAATCATAAGCTTCTATTATACTTTACCCTGATAAATCAGAGAAAATATAACTTTTTCATTAAGCCAAAAATAAGTCTCATTTGCAAAATTTCACTGAAAGCATGTAAACTCAGACTCTTTGACCGTTTAAGTTTCTATAAGATTATCATCTTTAACATATCAAAAGTATTTATTCAATTTTTTTAATTTCTGGGAATTTTTTAAAATATTCAATTGATAGAAGCACTTATTTCAAATAAATCAATTAGAAGGGCTCCTTTAATCTTTAAAGTTTCCTCTGAGCACCTCATTGATTAGTCACTGCATTTTTTACACAGAGTCATCTCTCCACATCCATGGGCTTCACATTCATGGATTTAACCAACCTCAAATTGAAAATATTCTTTAAAAAATGTACATCTGTACTGAACATGTAGACTCTTTTTCTCTTCATTATGCTCTAAACAATACAGTATAACAAATATTTATACAGAATTTACATTGTATTGGGTATGGATATGGTTTGGCTCTGTGTCCCCAAATCTCATCTTGAATTGTAATCCCCACATGTAAAGAAAGGGACCTAGTAGGACATGACTGGATGATCATGGTGGTGGTTTCCCCCATGCTGTTCCCATGAGATCTGATGGTTTTAAAGTGTTGACAGTTCCTCCTTCACTGTCTTTCTTCTATTTCCTGCCACCTTGTGAAGAAGGTGCTTGCTTCCCCTTTGCCTTCTGCCATGATTGTATGTTTCCTGAGGCCTCTCTAGCCATGTCAACTGTGAGTCAATTAAACCTCTTTCCTTTACAAATTACACAGTCTCAGGGAAGTTCTTTACAGCAGTGTGAAAATGAACTAGTACAGTAAATTGGTACCAGGAGTAGGGTACTGCTATAAAGATGCTTGAAAGGCGGATGAAACTTTGGAACCAGGTAATGCACAGAGGTTGGAAAAGTTTGGAGGGCTCAGAAGAAGACAGGAAGATGTGGGAAAGTTTGGAACTTCCTAGAGACTTGTTGAATGGCTTTGACCAAAATGTTGATAGTGAGATGAACAATGAAGTCCAGGCTGAGGTGGTCTCAGATGGAGATGAGTAACTTACTGGGAACTGGAGTAATGGTCACTCTTGCTATGCTTTAGCAAAGAGACTGGTGGCATTTTGCCCCTGCCCTAGAGATCTGTGGAACTTTGAACTTGAGAGAGATGATTTAGGGTATCTGGTGGAAGAAATTTCTAAGTGGCAAAGCATTCAAGAAAAAACAGAGCATAAAAGTTTGGAAAATTTGCAGTCTGACTACGAGGTAGAAAAGAAAAACCAATTTTCTAGGGAAAAATTCAAGCCAGCTGCAGAAATTGCATAAGTAATGAGGAGCCAAATATTAATCACCAAGAAAATGGGGTAAATATCTCCAGGGCATGTCAGAGATCTTCACAGCAGTTCCTCTCATCACAGACATGGAGGCCTAGGAGATAAAAATGGTTTTGCTTGCTGGGCCCAGGGCCCCTGCTGCTCTGTGCAGCCTCAGGACATGGCACCCTGCATCCCAGCCACTTCAACTCCAGCCATGACTAAAAACAGCTCAGCCCATTGCTTCAGAGGGTGCAAGCCCCAGGCCTTGGCAGATTTCATGTGGTGTTGTGCCTGTGGGTGCACAGAAGTCAAGAATTGAGGTTTGGCCACCTCATGTTCTCACTCATAAGTGGGAGCTGAACAATGAGACCACATGGACACAGGGAGGGGAACGTCACACACCAGAATCTGTCAGGGGGTGAGAGGCAAGGGGAGGGAGAGCATTAGGACAAATACCTAATGTATGTGGGGCTTAAAACCTAGATGACAGATTGATAGCGGAGCAAACCACAATAGCACATGTATACCTATGTAACAAACCTGCATGTTCTGCACATGTATCTGATAAAGTAAAATAAAAAATAGAAGAAGAAGAAGAGACATCAGAATATCTCCTCTATATTGTTTGACTTTCTACAGTAAATAAATACATAAATAAACAAAGAATTGAGATTCGGGAACCTCCACCTAGATTTCAGAGGCTGTATGGAAATGCCTGAATGTCCAGGCAGAAGTCTGCTGCAGGGTTAGAGCCCTCATGGAGAACCTCTGCTAGGGCAGTGCAGAAGAGAAATGTGGGATTGGAGTCCCCACACAGAATCCTCACTGGGACACTACCTAGTGAAGCTGTGAGAAGAGGGCCACTGTCCTCCAGACCTCAGAGTGGTAGATCCACCAACAGCTTGCATCATGCACCTGGAAAAGCTGCAGGCAGTCAACACCAGCCCATGAATGAGCTACCCAAGGCCACGCAAGCCCACCCCTTGCACTGGCATGCCCTGGATATGAGGCATGAAGTCAAAAACTATTATTTTGGAGCTTTAAGATTTAATCACTGCCCTGTTGGCTATCAGACTTGCATAGAGCCTGTAGCCCCTTTGTTTTGGGCAATTTCTCCCATTTGGAATGGAAGCATTTTCTAATGCCTGTAATGCCATTGTATCTAGGAAGTAACTAACTGGCTTTTGATTTTATAGGCTCATAGGTGGAAGGGACTTGCCTTGTCTCAGATGATACTTTGGACTTGGACTTTTGGGTTAATCCTGGAATGAGTTAAGACTTTGGAGAACTGTTCAGAAGCCATGACTGCTTTGAAATGTGAGAAATACATGAGATTTTGGAGGGGCCAGGGGTGAAATGATATGGTTTGACCTTTTGTCCTCACCCAAATCTCATCTCAAATTGTAATCCCCATGTGTCAAGGGAGGGACCTAGTGGGAGGTGATTGGATAACAATGGTGGTTTACCCCATGCTGTTCTCATGATACTGAGTGAGTTCTTTTTTTTTTTTCTTTTTTTTTTTTTTTTTTTGAGATGGAGTCTCACTTTGTCACCCAGGCTGGAGTGCAGTGGGGCAATCTTGGCTCACTGCAAGCTCCGCCTCCCAGATTCATGCCATTCTCCTGCCTCAGCCTCCTGAGTAGCTGGGACTACAGGTGCCCGCCACCACGCCTGGCTAATTTTTTGTATTTTTAGTGGAGACAGGGTTTCACCATGTTAGCCAGGATGGTCTCGATAGATAGTGAGTGAGTTCTTATGAGAGCTGATGATTTTATAAGTGTTGACCATTTCTCCTTTGCTGGCTTTCTTCTCTCTCGCCACCTTGTGAAGAAGGTGCGTGCTTCCCCTTTGCCTTCTGCTATGATTGTAAGTTTCCTGAGCCCTCTCTAGTCAGGTGGAACTGTGAATCAATAAAACCTCTTTCCTTTACAAATTACCCAGTCTCAAGGAAGTTATTTTAGCAGTGTGAAAATGGACGAATACAGGTATTATAAGTAATCTGGAGATTATTTAAAGTATATAGGAGGTTATATGTAGGTTATATGCAATTACTACACCACTTTATACTGGTTATTTGAGTATCTGCAAATTTTTGTATCCTGAAACCAATTCCTCATGGATACCGAAGGAAGACTGTATTTTCTCTACTGTTTTTTAGCCAAGACAGGGCAATTCTTTTTGCAATGTCTTTTTTTTAAATATGTACTACTATCTTTATTAAGAGACTCCCTCCTTTGGAGTTGAATGACTAATGTGGGAGCATCCAGATGTTTTATTGGTAAGGCCATAAATTTATTCAGATTTCCACTTCGTTTTTGTCCTAAGCTCTTTTCAAAGCACTCAGCAAGGAATTGGGAGTTCTGGCAGTAGGGTCATTTCCTATTCTAATCTATTCTTATGTGTTAAATACCCAACTTCTGACTTGGCAATATTTATTTGTGAAAAGTTAATGGAGAGCCAGGGCTGCATCTGCTTCAAGATCTTCTCCTGAATGGTGTCTAAAGGTATAAAGAACTATCTCTGAAGTCTCCAAAGAACTCATTCTTTCCTTGCTTCCGACTGGATTACAGTCTAATCTACCTTCATAGAGAAGACTTTGGGTTAGACTCCAAAAGACCTTATCCAACATTTACAGCTTTTCTAAGGCCCTCTGATTTTCTGTAAAAGCCAGGGTCCTTTTAAATCATTCTTGAGAGCTTCCAACCCTGCTCTTTCTATCCAGTCCTTAGCATGTAAGATTACCACTAGCACATGAACTTATTGATAAGATTAGTGAGTCCTGCATTATACATTCATAAGATAATTTCTCTGCAAATTTCTCCCTGTCCTGTCTGGGCTTTGAAAAGTCTTTTGACAATGGCTCTCAGCTAAGACTGAGACCAGGGTTTGAAATCAACAGAAAAGGGTTTTGTTTGTTCTGAGGGAGATTTAACTCTAAGAGACAATGGAGCTTAAGGTGATGCAGGAGAGCCTAGAGGGAGGAAGAGCAAATCAGAGGGATAAATGGGGCAGAAGGAAATGGAAGCGTATAGGATTTGGGGAGAGTAGGCTATTATTAGGTTAAAATTGTGATTCAGGAGGGTCTAAAGAGAGAAATTGATTTAAGATTATTTAAAATTTTGCTTTGGCCAAGTAATATCTTAGAAAAAAGATTTTGGAATCTGAATATTTCAGATTTTTTTTATAAGCATTAAGAAATGAGGACCATTGGAAGTTTAAAGTGCTCCTTTTTGAACTGAACTTCTCAGTCCCCATGGCCTGCTTAAGGAAAGGGCTTATTTCAGTGCCTATGCTTGTCTACTTCCCTATGAATTTTCTCTTCCTGATAGACAACAAATATGACAAGAGAGGCAAACAGCAGTGCTAGTACGAAAAGACTTCCACCAACCATATACATTTTTTTTTCCAATTTGGGCACCTAAGAAGAGTTTCTTAATCCTAGAAATTAAAATTATAAACTCAGCATCTGGGAGCTCAATGAAAGAGATCAAAGTTCCAACCACTGCAAGATTCATTCACCCCATTGATTAGGTCTTATGACCTAATCACCTCTTAAAGATCCCACCTCTGAATATTGTTACAATGGCAATAAATTTCAACATGAGTTTTGGAATGACATTAAAGCCAAAGCAGTTATAAAAGTGAGTTCAGCTCTCTGTTGTTTTTTCTCTCTGTCTCTCTCTCTCTTTCCCTCTCTCCCTCCTCTCTCTCATGCTCTCTTGCCCTTCTGCCTTCTATCATGGGATGATGCAGCATGACCACCCTTGCAAGATATGAGACCCTCCACCTTACACTTCCCACCCTCCAGACCTGTAAGCAATACATCTCTGTTCTTTATAAACTACCTAGTCTTAGGTATTCTGTTATAGTAGGAGAAAACAAATTAAGACAGAAAATTGGTACAGAGAAGTGGAGCTGTTACTATAACAAATACCTGAAAATGCAGAAGCAGCTTTGGAACTGGGTAATGTGTAGAAGCCGGGAGAATTTGGAGGAGCAGGCTAGAAAAAGCCTAGATTGCTATGAATAAAGTGTTAAGGACAATTTCAGTGAGGGCTAAGAAGAGAAGAAGACCAAAAAAATTCTGTAATGTCTTAGAGATTACTTAAGTGGTCATGACCAAAATGTTGATAGAAATACAAATGGTAAAGGCCATTCTGATGAGGTATCAGACAGAAATGAGGAACAACATATTGGAAACTGAAGTAAAGGCCATCCTTGCTATGCAGTTGCAAATAACTTGGCCAAATTGTGTCCATGTTCTAGGTCTTTACAAAATGCAGAACTTAAGAGAGATCAACTAGAATATCTAGTGGAAGAAATATCTATGCAGCAAAGCATTCAGGCTGCCAGGCTGCTGCATGGCTACTTTTAACCATATACAGTGAGACGTGAAAGGAGAGAAATAACTTAAAGATGAACTTTATAATTAAAATAGAGGCAGCTGAGCACGGTGGCTCACCCCTGTAATCCCAGCACTTTGGGAGGCTGAGGCAAGTGGATCACAAAGTCAGGAGTTTGAGACCAGCCTGGCCAATAAGGTGAAATCCCATCTCTACTAAAAATACAAAAATTAGCCGGGCGTGGTGGCGCACACCTGTAGTCCCAGCTACTCAGGAGCCTGAGGCAAAAGAATCACTTGAACCCAGGAGGCAGAGGTTGCAGTGAGCCGAGATCGTGCCACTGCACTCCAGCCTGGGCAACAGAGCAAGACTCCATCTCAAAAAAAAAAAGAGGCAGAACAAAAAGATTCAGAACATTCAAAGCCTGGCCATGTAAAGAGTAAAAAAGCATGTCAGGGAAAGAAAAATAAGGGTGTGGCCAAGAGACTGTTTGCTCAAGAGATTAAAATGGCTAGAAAGGAGCCAGGTACTACTATTCATCAAGACAATGGAAGAAAGACCCCAAAGACATTTCAAACATTTTTGAGGCTACACTTCCCATCACAGGCAAAGCTCTAGGAAGGAAGAATGGTTTCAGGGAAAAAGCCCAGGGCATCCTCCATGGGCTCATTATCCAGGGCTGCCTCAGGACTCTGCTTCCCTCAGCATCCCTCAGCCACCCCAGCCATGGTTCAAGTGGGCCTTTGTATGTCTCAAGCCACAGCCCTAGAGGGCTCAAGGATTAAATCCTGGTGTCATCCTCATGGTGCTAATTCTGTAGATATCCAGAGTGGATTAGCTACGAAGCCATGGTGGCCTCCATCTAGATTTCGAATGATTTTGTAAACAGCCTGGGGACTAGGTAGAGGCTTGTCACTTGGGCACAGCTACAGCAGAGAGCTCCTACCAGAGCAATGCCAAGCAGAAATATGGTGTCAAAGTCACCACAGAGAGTCCTCACTAAGGCAATGCCCAGTGGAGCCATGGGAGCAAAACCACCTCAGAGACCCCAGAACTGTAGCACTACCAGCATGCAATGCTTGCCTAAGAAAGCTGCAGGCACAAGACCCCAACCAAAGAGAGCTCAAATATGAGCTGAGCCTAGCAAAGCCATGGGGACAGGGCTGCCTGAGGCCTTGTGGGCTAAACCCCCACCCCAGTGTGCCCAGGATGTAGAATACAAAGTCAAAGGGTATGATTACCCAACATTCTCCAGGGAAAATGTTGTTTTCTGTTAGGTTTTGGACTTACTTGGGTTCAGTTACCCCTTTTCTTGCCTATTTCCCCCTTTTGGAATGGAATGGGAATGTCTTTCCTATGACTGTCCCACCATTGTATTTTGAAAGTAGACAACATGCTTTTAGTTCACAGGCTCACAACTGGAGGAAATTTGACTCAGAATGAATCATGTCTTGAGTCTCACCTATATCTGATTTAGATGAGACTCTTGAGTTGTTGCTGAAATGAGTTAAGACTTTTGGGACCTTTGGGATAGAATGCATGTATTTTGTATGTGAGAAGGGTATGAATTTTGGGGGATCAGGAGTGGAAATGCCATGGATTGAGTGTCCCCTCCAAAACCCATGTTGAAATTTAATTTCCATTATAACAGTATTGAGAGGTGGGACTTTTAAGAGGTGAGTAGCCCATGAATAAATCAATGCAGTTATCGCGAAAGTGGGTTAGTTCGCATGGGAGTGGGTTCCTGGTAAAAGGATGAGCTTTGACCCCCATTTGTCTCTCACACACATTTGTTCTCTTGCCATGTAATGTCTTCTGCCATGTTTTGATGCAGCAAGAAGGCCGTCACCAGATGCAACCCCTCAATCTTGGACTTCCCAAGCTCCAGAATGATAAGCCAAATAAATCTCTTTTCTTTATAAATTACCCAGTCTGATATTTTGTTATTGCAGCAGAAAAAGGACTAAGACAATAACAAACCTACTCTCACAATACAACACATAACACTGTTTTGGTCAACAATGGACCACAAATACAACAGTGGTCCCATGAGATTATAAGGGGACTGAAAAGTATCTATTGCTTAGTGATGTCTTGATGATTCTGACCCTGTGCAGGCCTGGTCTAATGTTTGTACCTATGTCTTAGTTGTTAATAAAAAAAAAAAGTTTTAAAAGTTAAAAAAAATTAAAAATAGAAAAAAATTTATTGAATGAGGATATAAAGAAAATAGTCTTGTGCAGCTGTACAGTGTTTTTGCATTTTAAGCTGTGTTATTATGACAGTCAAAAAGTTTTTAAAACAGCGGGCAGATCACGAGGTCAGGAGATCGAGACCATCCTGGCTAATGTGGTGAAACCCCATCTCTACTAAAAATACAAAAAATCAGTCAGGCGTGGTGGTGGGCGCCTGTAGTCCCAGCTACTCGGGAGGATGAGGCAGGAGAATGGCGTGAACCCAGGAGGCGGAGCTTGCAGTGAGCTGACATTGCACCACTGCACTCCAGCCTGGGTAACAGAGCAAGACTCCATCTCAAAAAAAAAAAAAATTTAAATGTTTATAAATTAAAAAGTGGCAGTAAGCTAAGGTTAATTTATTATTGAAGAAATAAAATATTTTTATAAAAATTTAGTGTAGCCTAAGTGTACAGTGTTTATTAAGTCTACAGTGGTCTACAGTAATGTCCTAGGCCTTCACATTCACTCACCACTCACTCATTGACTCACCCACAGCAACCTCCTGTCCTGCAAGCTCTATTCGTGGTGAGTGCCCTTAACAGGTATATCATTTTTATCTTTTATACTGTATTTTTACTTTACCTTTTCTATGTTTACATACATAAATACTTACTATTGTGTTGCAGTTGCCTACAGTGTCCAGTACGGTAATACACTCTACAGTTTTGTGGCCTAGGAGCAATAGGCCATATCATATAGCCCAGGTGTGTAATAGACTAGACTATACCACCTATGTTCGTGTAAATGCACTCTATTTGTTTGCATAACAAATCAAATCACCTAACAACACATTTCTCAGAATGTATCCCCTTTGTTAAGGGGTGCATGGCTTAGCTGACTTGAAATTCAAACTCACAAAGTCAATTTGCAATAAAAACAATATATCCTGTGGTCAGGGTAGCTTTGATATCATGAGAGGAAACTCCAAGAAGGCTACTCTGGCAGCCCCATTGTCCCTCTACATCCCCAACCCCATAACCCATGCCAAAGTCAGAATCTGACAAAGCTGACTGACACCCCAACAACTGGGTCTCCCTGTAGGATTCTAACTGGTATTTTCCAGCTATGTCTTCCCATAAGCAATTTACAAGCTTTGTTAACTGCATCATCAAAATTTCAAAAACAGCAGTCTGTTTTTCTCAGCAAAGAAAATAGTGTGAGAGAGAGAAAAAAAGAGAGAGCTTTTCCAAAGAGTGTTAAAAAGCCAAGAATCAATTGTATGATATCATTGAAACTTTGGGTGGTCTTCCCCCGCCCCCTCACAATTCCTGGCTTTCCAGCCCTAAGTACTCCTGACTTAAGATATCTTGAAGATCACCAGAAACAGTCTTGCAGATCATGCATGAAGCCTTATCTTTTTCTTATTATGCTTTTATTTCAGAGGTCACCCATCTACAGTGCTCCAGGAGGCTCACAGCATTAATGAATCCCTTGCTGAATTTACAGTAGCAGCTCTCAGCCCACACATTAGTGCCACTTAGACAGAGATCAGATTTCCTTTCTAAGCCAAAACTTCAATAACTCACAGATCAGCCAGCTGAACTCTCTTTCTGAGTTACAGATTGAATAGTGCAGGGGAAGGGGCAGTGATGGAGCAGATAATCAAAAACAAAGTCCAACGCAACCATTTTCCCATTTTTAAATCTTCTCTAATTTTGTTTGCAAAATAATTGTTATTTGCTCCAAGAAGAATAGGGAGGTCTTTGCTCTAGGTTAAACAGAGAATGGTTCTTAGGATACTTGTAAAAGTGTTTGATCAATTATTTCCAATTAATAATCATTTACTAGCTGAGCGACATTAAGAGTCCATTTCTCTGAATATCAGCATTGTTTTTCTTGTTTGAAACTTAGATGAACTATTGTGTTGGTAAACTTAAAGCCACAAAAGTGACCATTTTAATAGGCTTACGGGGATTATGTCAGGTTAAGAATGATTAACATAAGCCTAAACACCTAAGTGTATAATAAGACTAGTACTGTGATTCTTTGCAATCAGATATGCATAAAGATGATAAATATGAATGGACCCAGTTATGTAGCTGGAGAAATGAACCTAATCAGCTTCCTTTTCCAGAAAGAGAGGAAGCAAATGACCCCTAAGAACATAACTGGGCTCTTGTTAATGGTAATTCCAAAGCTTCCCCTGGGTCTCTGTGAAGCTCGGGATAGAATATGTTTTTTTTTTTTATTTCCAGTAGGCTAGAGGGAGCATAATTTTTGTTTCTCTTTTTTGAGACAGAGTCTTTCTCTGTCACCCAGGCTGGAGTGCAGTGGCGCCATCTCGGCTCGCTGCAACCTCCGCCTCCCGGGTTCAAGCGATTCTCCCACCTCAGCCTCCTGAGTAGCTGGGATTACAAGTGCGTGCCCCATGCCCAGCTAATTTTTGTATTTTTAGTAGAGACAGGGTTTCACCATGTTGGCCAGGCTGGTCTCAAACTCCTGACCTCAAGTGATCCACACCCCTCAGCCTCCCAAAGTGCTAGGATTACAGGCGTGAGCCACTGCACCTGGCAGATGGGGGCATAATTTGAAGATCACCAGAAACAGTCCTGCAGATCGTGCATGAAGCCTTATCTTTTCCTGATTATGCTTTGAAAGCATATCATTTGAAAGCCAGTCAAGGAAAATGGGCAGGAACTTCGTCATGGGAAAGATGCTTTGCTACCATTTGAGATTTGACTATGCTATAATTGAGAATTCACACTGCTTCTTGGGAAGGGTGTGTGTGTGTGTGTGTGTGTGTGTGTGTGTGTGGTGGGTGTGTATGTGGTGTTTGAGGTGGGAGGGTTCCAACAATTACTAGCTGGAAAATCAGAAGAATGAAAGAGTCTAGGCTACAACTCACGCTGCTGTGGGGACCTCCAACAATACTTCATGTGGGTGCCGAGGACCACCATGGACTGCACCATGGACTTCACCATGGAGCTTAGAGTATTAAGACTCAGCCAGCCCTACCACACCCCACTCTTCCCCAGGCTGTGCTAAAAACACAATACCTGAGGGCAGCTGTGGACTTACCACTGCAGCAATGCTCCAGGGCAATTTCTCTCAATAACTCAGACATAGGAAGTGGTCCACTTGGAAAGGAAGGATTGCTCCTGTGAGCAGACGTTTTCTGAAAGTTGGACATAGAGAACACAACAGAAGAAGTATGTACTCAGAGAGGCCTTACCTGGGACAAACAGTTGATGTTAGGAAATGGGGATTCCCATTGAGCCCAACAGGACGTGAAGAGTTTTAACTCCCTGCGGGCTTTTTCTTGGGGTGGGAATATTATTAGTAATAATTAGCACACAATTTCAAAGTGCCTCCCTGTTTGTTATCCTCAATCCTGCACTGAAGTCTGATGCTCAGATACAGACTGGAACAGCCAGGCTTTGTGGCATAAAGGGGAGGGCAGGGACAGGATATATGGCCTGCCTATCTCCGCCTCTCTGCTGCCATTAGTGAGAACAGAGCAGCATCCTGGCAAGGGCTCTGTGTCCTGTTGCTCCAGGCAGGGATCAGCACAGCTGGGATTGGCAGAGAAACACAGGGTACTAGTCTTTCCTCCAGGGCTCTACCCTCCTCCCCAAACCCTCCCATTTCCAACCCATCTTCTTTCCCAAAAACCTTGAAGGAGAGAGAAAATTGGAACTTAGTTTTTAAATTATTTAGCATACTTTTAGGAACTTTTGAAACCATGTATCACTTTAATACCTTTTGATGGCTAACAAATGGTTCACCTCGATGCAATAAGCAGGCATAAGCAATGGTCTGGGATGCTTCTGATCCATTTGGAGATCCTGTTGGATTTTGCTTTAAAACATCACTGATGGCTGTCAACCTCTTTTCCATTTCTGCCTCTCCCAGTCTCCTCATTTAGGCTTCATCACCTCATACCAAAAATACTGAAATATTCTCCTAATGAACTGTCTTTAGTTTCTCCCTGTTGCAAAACCATCCTATATCTCAGTGCCAAAATTTCTCAAAGTGTCACCACACACACACACACACACAAACACACACTCACATAACCATTTTATCCCAATTTGCCTAGGACTTTCCTGGATTTAGCATGAAAGTCCCATGTCTCAGGAAACTCCTCAGTTCCAGGAAAACTGAGACAGTTCAATCTAACAGGTCAACCTAATACATACATAAGCACACATGTGCTCTCTCTCATTCTCTCTCTCTCTCTTTCAATGACTCACCATTGCTTGCAGTGCTTCATATGTAGTGAGTATTCAATTATTGTGGATGGATGGATGAATGGATGCATGGATGGATGAAAGAAATGGGCTAATTCGAGGCAAAATTCATACTCATCCTTCTACAATGTTATAAAATATATTGGAGAGGTATTGTTTAGTTTGTTTTAACATTGTTTGGCTTATAAAGCAATTTTGCCATATTAGTATTCAGAATACTCTGTATATGTATCATACATTCCCCTCACATCACAGATGAGGAACCCAATCCTTGAGGAGGCTAACTAACTTGTCCAAGGACATACAGCTAATGGAGGAAAGGTAGTAATCCAACCCAGGTTCATGGTTCTAGACACTTTCAACATCATTCCCTTCTACTTTGCTCACTCCTCTGCTCTATTTAAGTTGATCTCTTTCCATTCTCTAAATAAGCAACAAATAACCCTATTCTTGTTTCCAGATATTTTCTCAAGCCATCCCTTTAGCAAGGAATGTCTTCACATTTCTCCACTGAATCATAATCCCAATGGTTGTCATTTATTGAGCACTTACTACATGTTGAGGGAGGATAAATAATTTAGATGGTGGTACACTGGCTCTTAAATATTTTGGCCTATGAGTGACACACATTGGTGTCATTCACATTTCATTGGTTAGAACTAATCTGTGGCACACCTGAGTACAAAGTGGCTAGGAAACAAAGTTATCCCATGTGCCCAGGAAGGAGAGTAGAACCAGACAAGAGAGAGCACTGGAAGGCCCTGTAAAGAAGCCAAAGCCAGTGTTTGCCTTATTAACTGGAACTGATGGTAGACAAACTGGGGAGAAGGAAAAAGGAACACTGAGCTTCAGAGACCCAAGAGTTGGTCCCCTACAGGCAAAACAGGGCATGCCAAGAAAGTGAGCTATGACTTGGTGACTAACACAGGAAACCAGTGGTTCATAGTTGATACTCCACCTCAGGACAGGACTCTGGTTCTCAGACAGGAGATCAGAAGTCAGTACTGGGGCATTGCTTCTTTGGGTCACCCTACCAATGAATGTGACTTTAAAATGTCTAGGCTCCTCATGAAAGCTTATCTACACAGTCACACAGGACTGTGTGACAGCAACTCAAGTAGATACCAAATCTGAGTCCTGGGACAGGTATATCTCTCCATCACTAGTGCACATGTACACAAACACACACACACACACACACACACCAGACAACAGAAGGCAAGATTTATATATTCTGCCCTTAGCCCTCTTGCCTGGAGGACTCAACTGAGGCACCCATTGCAAGAAACCTCACCTCTTGAGAAGTAAAATGCTCAAAGAGTTCATCAGTCTGAGTGATTTAACAACTAAACTCTCTGAAATGCATTTGCTGAAAGCAGAGTCTTTGTTTAACTTGGGAACTGAGGTAGGATTGCGTCTATACGTTGGCCATGTGGTACTGGGCAGGGAAGATTAGCATCCATAACAGACATCCAATAGTATTTGTTAACAACGCTGTTAGTGGTGGTGACCTTGATCACAATATCTCTAATCTTGAATTTAATGTTGAAATATACACACAGGATAAAACTGTCTCTCTACCAAAAACCCACTAGTGTTATCAAGCAGACAGAATATGAGTCTGGCCAACTCTGAAGAACTTTCATGTGCCAATTCGTAGGATTACACAAATTATTTTGAGATTTTGCTTGAATATCTGGAAACTGAATATTTTCAAAATAACTGATTTTTAACTGAATTAAACTAAATGGTTCTAAACTATTCTGTGTGTACAGATACAATATGTTGTGCCCACCCAAAGGAGAATAATTTGGCAATTTCTAGTTTGAGCCAAGTAATTAATTCATAATTAATTAATACTAATATAATTTGTAATATTGCTAAAGCCAATGGTCACAAAATGGTGGTATGGGATGGTCATTTTTACAGCAAACGGACACATCTCCGGGGTTTCCAACAGCAAAACTAAACTACTGATTTTGGTGAGCCTGAAGTAAATTATTAACTTACTCTTATCATTGCCCTAGTACATGCCTGAGGAAGTCTCTCTTTTTATCCAGGTAGAGCTTTGTTTCAGCTTACATTCTCCAATCCTCACAACCGGATTCAATTTCATTCCATTTGTATGGAAAGGCTACTTATGCTAAGGATGATATTTATATCTCAGCCTACAAAGATAATGATAATAATAATTGCCATTTTATCATATTCATTTTACAGATGAGAAAACTGAAACAGAAAGGTCACCTCAGCTGTTGCAAAGTAATAAATGGCAAGACTGGAATTCAGAGAAGGGCTGTGTAGCCCCAAGTTCCACTCGTAACCATTACTGCACAGCCCTACCCTCAGAGGACTTGCATTCCTGTTCTTGGATGTGCAGAATGCATCACCTGTAACATCTGCATGCACCCCGAGACATCTGCATCACCCCCAAAGTTAAGTCTGTCCCATCCCCACCTTGCCCCAGCCTGCTCCTCTGTCTTACATTTCAGTCCTCTGAGAGTTGAAGAGCTGGCCCAAGCCCCAATCTGAGCCACTCTGCTTGATCCAAGCCAACTTCCCACCAAGAGCTCAGACTGCTGCTCCCCCAGAACGCAAGTCCTTCTTACCCAATATTAAGGCAGTACAGGGCAGTTAAGAAGAGCTTACAGTTAGACTCACTGCTCTGAGGCTCAGTTTCCTTATTTATAAAGTCAATGTAATATTCTCTCCCTTTAAGGTTGAATGAAATAATCTACATAAAGTGCTCAGTATGGGGCTTGTCTCCTGGGGGCTCCCATCTGCCATGAATATCTCAACATTGTGGTTGGCCAAAAATATTAGACCACCCTCCCTTCATAGCATTAAGGATGCTTAACTCAACTTGTACACTCCTTGGATGCTTTGCACTGCCATGTCCAGTGTCTACCTCTGAAACCAAGCCAGTTTCCCCAGCCCACATCATATTGGCTGAGGGGTCAAAGCCCTTGTTTCTCTCTGGCTGGCTGAGAGCCCAGCATGCCTGCTCCTGTTTCCCCACTTTAGAGTAGTGCTATTAGGTAGAATTTCCTAGGATGATGTAACTGTGCTGTCCAAAGTGGAAGACACTAGCTACAAGTGGCTACTGGGCACTTGAAATGTAGTTAGTACAATTAAGGACTAAAAATTTTAATTATTTTTTATTTAAATCACCACATGTGGCTGTGGCTAGTGACTGTCATATTGGACAGAACAGGTATGCAGTATGGTCAACCAGGTGTGTTCCCTGTCTCTCTGAGTCCTTATATCACCCTATACGGGGTTGCTTAGCCACTCACAGTAAAGTCCTGCCCCACAGGTAACTCACCACATACCCGTTGGCTCCTATAGATGAGCCTGTGATGGCATCTAGTGCATTCGCCTCGGTATTGAGAAATACACCTCCCAGGTAACAACCCCTGTAGGGGTCACTGGAAGGTAAAGAGGAAACAGACGAGCAATCCAGCAGTGGGACTGCAGCAGTCAGAGCTGAGAAGGGGTGTATATAATTACATATCCCAGAGCCAGAGAGGATTAGAAGTGCTACAGAAGTGAATGTCAGGCAATATGATATTCCACAGGTGTGAAAGTAGCGTTTCTACAGAGTTGGCCAACACTCTCTAAATCAAAAATATCTGCTGCCGAATGGGGGGAGAAAGAAAGTGAAGTGAATCATAAACTAGAGTCAAATGGGATAGGAGAGACAGTACAGAGTAGTCAGCCCAGCAGATCATACAAACCTGACTGCCCACACCTTGCTCCAAAGGTTGAGTCCTTTATCAAAGGGACGTGTGATTTAAATTGAAATAATACGTTTAAAAAAAATGATTTTAGGCCCGGCGTGGTGGCTCACGCCTGTAATCCCAACACTTTGGGAGGCTGACGCAGGCAGATCACAAGGTCAGGAGATGGAGACCATCCTGGCTAACACGGTTAAACTCCGTCTCTACCAAAAAATACAAAAAAAATAGCAGGGCGTGGTGGCAGGCACCTGTAGTCCCAGCTACTCGGGAGGCTGAGGCAGGAGGATGGCGTGAACCTGGGAGGCGGAGCTTGCACTGAGCCGAGATCACACCACTGCACTCCAGCCTGAGTGACAGAGCGAGACTCCATCACAAAAAAAAAAAAAGATTTTACAGATGAGGAAGCTGAGGCTTAGGAAGGTTATTTACTCAAGTTCATGCAGTTTATAAGACTTATAACTGTGGGATTCCAGATTTTCATCCTCAGTGATCCAGAATTCACAAGGGAGGTGAGGAGGTCATTTTATTGATCCGAGCATCAAGTGAGAATAAAAATGGATATGGAATCAAGGCCATTTTAGTACCTGCTGGGATGCGTGGGACCCAAGAGCAGAAGGGAAGGATTCAGGAATGAGGATCTTATTTAAGGATCCAGATGATAAGCTGGGTTTTTGATGTGTTGATCTGTAGGTTGCACTGCAATAACTAATTCAAAATGATCAAAAGTCGTTGGAAACGCAGGACTAAAACTATGACGAGAAGTTGGAACTGGAGATAGAAGCATCAATTGAGGAATTGTTGCAAAGCGTACAAAATCTCAAAAGAACAAAGAGAAAGCAGCAATAGCCAAAGAATTGCCAGAGAGGAGACACTGACAGAAAACTGACATTCCCCAGCATGCGCCACTTTTGCTAGGTAGTTGTACCAATCTTTATTTCACCTCATTATCCACACGACAAACGTGTCAGAGAGATATGAGAGCAAACACTTTCCTTTTTCCTTTAAACAAATATTCTCTTTTTCTAGCAACTTCTCACAGGCTGGGGTTGGGGATTCTCTTCTCCAACCTGTGGTGGAAACACATCCAGGGGAGACCACATCCGGGGCAAGGGCAAGTCATGTGACCTAGGCTGAGCCAATAAATGCCTCCCATTTCCCTCGTCACAGTGATTGGTTGAGGGATAGGCACAAGACCCAATCAGCTTCAGCGAGACCCAGTGAGGCTTCCGCTAGGAATGTGTGGACGGAGTCTGGCTGGCTTTCCTTTAGAATTCAAGCCTGAGATGTGTGGGGAATGGAGCAAATGTAACTGTCCTTCTACCATTTGAAACCTGAGATTGGAGTCAAAACTAAGGAATTGCAGCAGAAAGGAAGAAATTGGGTCCTCTGGTGACTATTGAGTCATGAATCAAAATATGCCTAAAGTGAGAACCCACAACCTTTCCACTCACGTGAGCCAGGAAATTCTGTTTGGGATGAGTTTTCTAGTATTTGCAGCAGAAGAATCCCTACCTGATGCAGAAATGACCCACATTTTCCAGCTGAGGCAAATAGAGGCCTCAGGAGATTAGCTAACTTGCCCAAGTTCACACAAATAACTAAGACAAAATTTGAAGCCACTTTGTTTCACCTTGAAAAGCTGGTGAGGAAGACAAACTGGATTTTTAACTGACTGCAATATGACAAACATATGTGAAAAAAGAAAGACACAATAGGAAAATGGAGTGAAAGAAGGGCAGAGAGTGAAGGACAGTGTAATTGAGGTACAAGTTTCAATGACATCTGAAGATTATGAAAATCTGGGGTTTTCCTGGTGCCCCATCTCTCCCAGTGACTCAGTAAGATAGGAAATGAAGGCTAACTCTGATTACCTAGTTGACTATTTTAAACTCCAGCCATTTATAGAGCACTAATTAGAAATCATTTCAAGCAAAACATCTGTTCATTGATTTGCTGAAACATCAATATTGGCTGTCTATGAGAATAATTTGCATTTCATTGCTAAGGAAAAAACATTAGTACCTGGAAACCAAAGAAAGCAAATCTAGACCCACGAAGATCCTCAGTTTTTTTCAGAAGGCAAACCACCATGAATTATTCTAATTATTTGACCTTTTCACTCCAGAATAATCCAAAGCGAGCACCTGCAAAGGGAGTGGGGTGAAGTATCGAGTTCATAGAAGCCCTCAACAGGTATTCTATTTTTGAGGTTCCATATTTTCAAATTTATACCAATTTTGCATTCTTCTTCATAAATACATTTGTTTCCATGTAAAAGCATTTTAGGTATTTATCAACTACTTATTTCAACAAATCTACTAGTGAAATGTATTCTCTGACTGCATGCACCCCATGTGTCTTGCGACTTCTCACACATTAAGAACACCAACACCCCAGGTGTTACAGATTAGAGAAACTGGGATAACAGTGGCACAAAACAATGGGTCTCTGCTTGCTGCTTGCCAGCACCTGTTCTGAGTGTTTTTCATATATTAACTCATTGAGAAAACTGAGTCACAAAAGACTAAGTTGCTTGCCCAAAGTCACAAAAATTGTGAGGGGTAGAGTTAAGATTTGAATGCAATATCTGGCTCCTGACCACGAGGCTATATGCCTCTCAAGTTCCTCAATTTTTGACATAAAACATTACCTGTCATCTGAGGACTATAATAAAGAGTGTGTTAGAACACTCTGCTACACTATGCTATGTTATACTATCTTATACCAGACTATAGCATATTATTCTACACTATACTGCACTATGCTATGCTACACTATATGATACTGTGCCTCACTATATTATGCTACACTGTACTACACTATGCTGTATTATACTATACCACACTATATGATAAGTAGGCACAGACTTTGGGGGTGACTTGTTAGTATCTGTCAAAATTCTACATGCTCACCCCTGAAACCTGGCAACCCCATTTTTAGGATCCATCCTAGTGAAAGACTTGCAGAAATGGACGAGGCACACACAGGCACCCTTGCCACACTGCTTTTTAAAGGGGAAAATTCAAAAAGTCTAAATAGCCTTTGACACTGGAATTCTTTCATTCTAGACATTCCTACAGTGGATTGCCATTGTAGCATTAAAGAACAAGGTCAATGTTTATGTGTGGCATGGAAAACTCTCTAAGGTACAGGATTAAGTGAAAAGGGCAAGTTACAGAAAGATATGTACAGAATGAGGCAGGGATTTAGACATTTAGGTTGAAAACAACATAAACTGTATTTTTGTACATGAAGCAGACTCCATGACAAAGAGCAGTAGGGATTTCAGTGTTTGACGATGGTTAATGGTGGCCCAAGAGACACCTAATTAGGAGACTAGATAGTAGACATTGCAGTTATTCACCAGAAGCAAAAAGAGTGACAGGCACACTGGGGGTGTAAGAAAATGCCCCCCTTTATCCAAGATGCTTAAGAAACTAGAAGAATGTCCTGCAGGATAGCATAGGGGCAAATCAAAAAGGACTTTGAGGGGATGTGGCATGGAATACAGACTGATGATAATCCCTGGCCTGGCCCTTTGCTCTGACTGTTCAAAAGGTTGTCTGCATCCCACAGAGAGATGAATCGCGTGGCTTAAAGTCGCCCAGCTATACCTGTAATCCCAGCACTTTGGGGGGCCAAGGCAGGCAGATCACAAGATCAGGAGTTCGAGACCAGCCTGGGCCAACGTAGCGAAACCCCATCTCTATTAAAAATACAAAAAATTAGTCAGGCGTGGTGGCTCATGCCTGTAATCCCAGCTACTCGGGAGGCTGAGGCAGGAGAATCACTTGAACCCAGGAAGCGGAGGTTGCAGTGAGCGGAGATGGCGCCATTGCACTCCAGCCTGGGCCACAGTGCGAGACTCTGACTTGAAAAAAAAAAAAATCACCCAGCTACATAGGGACTGAGCTGGTATTACATACCAGATGCCTGTAACTCCAAAGCACTCCACTTTCAATTCACTCAGCTCTAAACTGTTGATCTTTAAGTTGCTTTCCAGGTGTTTTCAAAGAGTGTCTTGATCTCTGACACAAATTGTATAAACAAACTAGGGCCCAGGCCACCAGACTCCAGGGGCTCCTAAGACATGTCCAAAGAGAGCAGGTGTGTCATTTTCTATGAGAAGTTTTGGTTTCCATGTTCACCTTAAATTGTGCATAGGATTTTTATTTGAAATTATTGATATTTTTCTCCATTCTGTTTCATTGCAGCCACCCACCAATAAATAATATTTTTAAAAATATTACCTATTCTACATGCTCTCCACATCTCTTCTGGCACATTTTGTCACTTAGTCACTCTGCTGTGCTTTGTACACCTTGTTTCTTTCTGCTCTGAACTTGAAAGGCCCAGAAACAGCATTGGCCCAGAGGCAAATCAGATTGCTGTGGGGATACTGCCCTCTGCAGGCCACTGCTATGCATTTCCCTTTATCCTTAAGGATACAGGCCATCAGTAATAGCTGTTACATTCTGACTTCTTCATGGATTATCTCATTTAGTTTTCACAATATCCCTCCTGAGGTTAAGAACTATTATTATCTCCAGTTTTTGCAGAAGAAACCTGAGTCCCAGAGGGGTTAGGTAACTTGTTCAAGATCACACAGCTAACAAGTAGCAGAAACAGGATTTGAACCTAAGCCATCTCTCTCCAGAATCTATCCTGCCAACCACTATAGCAGACTTCCCAGAGGGAAGGTAACTGCCCATTTTTGAGCAGCTGTATCATGACAGGCATCTTACATACAATACCTCATTTAATCCATCTGTCAGCCAAAGGTAAGTAAATTAACTCAAAAAAACTAATTGACTTACCTGTGAACCCGTGGCTGGTAAGTCAGGTCTTTCTGAGTCCAAAGCATTGGCTTCGTCCACGTGGTTCTCATGCAGGTGCACTGCTCAGCTCTTCTTTTCAGAGAGCATTGGCCAAGGGTGCAATTGACTGACAGCCAGCAGCTGTGTGCCTTTAGAATCACTGTGGCATTTGCACCAAGGCCACCATCTCCCTGAATTCTCCCAGCCATGAGTGAGCATGAGGGAGGATTAGAGCCAGGCCACATCTGCCCAGGATAGGCCTCCTGGATGGAACCTGTGCCTGGAGCCTGCCCCTGGGCCTGAGGAGGCCCTCTCAGAGCCGCACTGTAGTCCTAGCTCTCCTCCCTAAGTCCTCCTGCCTGCCTGCCCCCACTTTGCCGGTAGCAGGTGGCATTGTGGTCTGAGGATCTCCCACCCATTCCTGCTCCCTCCTCCTTTATCTTTCATAGGTAATTTAGCATCCTGGGCACTGATCTTACCCTCATGTTGCTCACATCAAAAGATTAAGATTAGTCATGAACATCAGCAACTGTGTGGCAGATGTCGAGGGAGAAGCCTGGAGTCTGTATTCAGATCGGGACACAGTCCTGCATCTGCCATCTGGTACAAGTTCTTTCTCAGTCACCCAGCCACTGTTTCCACCTCTATAAATGGAGCCCAGTAGAGCACCACAGGCCACATGCTTTGACAGCTAACAAAGCTTTGGGCAGACCTAGGTTCAACTCCTGGCTAGATAAACTCATGAGGGATTTCGCTTCTCCACACTTCAGTTTCTTCATCTGTATAACAGGCACACTAACACACATCTTGTGGTTCTGCTGTGACAATTAAGAGTGGTATATATGTGGCTGGGCACAGTGGCTCATGCCTTTAATCCTAGCACTTTGGGAGGCCAAGGCAGGCAGGCCACCTGAGGTCAGGAGTTACAGACCAGCCTGGTCAACATGGTGAAACCCCATCTCTACTAAAAATACAAAAATTAGCCTGGTGAAGTAGCACATGTCTGTAGTCCCAGCTACTCAGGAGGCTGAGACAGGGAGAATAACTTGAACCTGGGAGGCAGAGGTTACCGTGAGCCAAGATCGGGCCATTGCACTCCAGCCTGGGAAAAATAGTAAGACTCCTTCTCAGAAAAAAAAAAAGAGTGACATATATGTAAAGAATCTTCATAGAAAATATGAAATGCAGGGCAGCTATTTGCCAAATTCTTTTCATAGGAATAAGAAAAGATCATATATGGGGAAGTGCTTTGTAAGGAATACTAGCCAGACAGAGGTTAGTTATTGCTATAATTATAAATGCTGCAAGAAGGAATGGAATTAAGCAGTCTGGAATTCAAAGGAGGGGGAGATTTCACAGCACTAGGGAAAGAGGAGTCGGGCGTTGGAAAGGCAGAGGTGGTGTCCAGATGTGGGGACCAGCAAAGGCAAGAAAGCACAGCGCCTGCCGGCAAATCGCTCTGGGGCTGCATTCCCTCAGGGTCCTACTGGAAGAGCACAAATGCATCTGACGAAGGCACCCAGGGCAGCGTGTTAATGGAAGGAATGTGTGGAGGAGGTAGGAGAAGTGCCTCAGCTATCTCAGGCCTCAGGCAGTTTAACAGGGAGTTTATCATCACAAGGAGACACAAGATGCAGAAGAGCATCCAAGACACTGCAGGATAGCTATGGGAGTTCCAAGGGTACCTGCCCAGGAGATGGGGGCATGAAGAGCAGATTCCCTTAGACCGCAAGGAGAAATGAACATAGCCCAGGCAGAGGACAGCCACAGGCAGGGAGGCAGCAGCTCTTCATATTTGGATCCCACTTTTCCACAAGTGTTCACAGACATCTGCCTGGCTACCATGACACTGAGGCGGGACTAGAAAGATGGCCGCCCCTTCAGCAAGCTCATCCCACGCCCCTTCCCACTCCATCTGGGTGGGGCTGATGTTGCCCATGCAGCTGGGATGGAATTTAAGATTCATGACACTGGCATTCCTATGTGGAGGCTCTGGGGCAGGGCAGGGCCATGCTGAGCCCACATCCAGCATTTTTCACACGTCCCTACCCTGGTCTCCACATTCCTGACTGCACACACATACTTGTGCACGTGACCACTTCACCACCTTTTTAGTGAGCACAGCTGACTCTTTCCACTGTTGGGAGGTATTCATGTGTGGGGTAAATTGAATAAATGACAAGTATCACTATTTCCAGTGGCTCAGTTAAGTTCCATTACCTTATGAGTGAACACAAGGCTCTCAATTCCCTGGTTCTTAAGAATGACCCAGTACAAAGTAACTGGTTGAAAACCCCCTCATTTATTAGCTGTGTGCCAGGGTCACGATGCTTAGCACAGTGAAACTAATGATGTCTGCCTCACAACGCTGATGTGAGAATTAAATGTAGGTAATGTAGGTAAGCTTCAACCACCCTTAGCACCACCAAGTCTTGAGGAAATGCTGCTGAAATTCACAAAATGTTTGGGGTGTGTGGATTTCTTGGGAATGGCAGCCAGAGACTGCGCTGTCTTTAACATCCTAGAGGCAACAAGCAGTATAACAGAAACAGTAAAAAGATACATTTTGTAGATGTGATTAGCCTCTGCAATAGCAGACACACACCAAGGGCCATTGAGTCTAAGGAGACAAGAGACTGGCAGTGACGTCAGAAAAATGCAGAGAGCCTGGTAACATGGAAGGTCACCTACTTGCTGCCCCTCTACCTTTACCCACCCCTGCCTAGAAAAGGGGTGGTACTAAAGATGCCACTGGGACAGTACTCAGCTGGGGAGACACTGAGTGCTACTTGATCTGGCAGGGGAACTTTAATGGAAGAAATTCTTCCCAGGACTTTGGAAGGACTGTGTTCTGATAGCCAGTTTACTAAGGAAGGATGTGAGACCCAGAGCAAGGCAAGGGTGTATTCTGGGCTATTTGACAAGTGGACAAGTTCCTGGTCATGGATTGGACCCTTCTCATGTCTAGCTTTCTATGTGTCCAAGGGGTAAAGGTCAAATTTGATGGTCAACTTGGCCAGGCTATGGTGCCCAGTTGTTTGGTCAAGCACTAAACTGGATGTTGCTGCAAAGGTATGTTATAGATGTGATTAGCATCTCCAATCATTTGACTCTAAGTAAAGGAGATGACTTTCCATAATGTAGTTGGGCCTCATCCAATCAGTTGAAGACCTTAAGAGCATAGAAAGAGATTTCTTGAAGAAGAAATTCTACCTCAAGACTGTAACATGGAAATCCTGCCTGAGTGTCCAGCATGCCAGTCTGCCCTGCAAATTTCAGGCTCAAGGCCTGGACATCAACTGTTGCCTGAGTGTCCGCCTACCACTGCCCTAAAATTTTAGATTTCCCATCCCCCACAATCACATGAACAAATTCCTTAAAATAAATCTTAGTGCATGGAGATGTAGACTCTCTTGGTTCTGTTTTTCTGGAGAATCCTGACTGATCCACAGGGTAGTTATTTTTTACCCTTTTTTTTAAATTTAATTTTTTTTTTTTTTTAGATGAAGTTTCATTCTCATTGCCCAGCCTGGAGTGCAACAGCGCAATCTCAGCTCACTGCAACCTCTGCCTCCCGGGTTCAAGCGATTCTCCTGCCTCAGCCTCCCAAGTAGCTGGGATTAGAGGCATGCACCAGCAAGCCCAGCTAATTTTATACTTTTTTTAGTAAAGATGGGGTTTCTCCACGTTGGTCAGGCTGGTCTCAAGCTCAGGTGATCCACCCGCCTCAGCCTCCCTAAGTGCTGGGATTACAGGTGTGAGCCACCATGCCCGTCCTTTAAATATAACTTTTAAGATCAGGGGTTCATGCGCAGGTTTGTTATATAAGTAAACCTGTGTCATGGTGGCTTGTTGTACAGATTATTTTGTCACCCAGGTATTAAGGTTGGTGCCCATTAGTTATTTTTCCTGATCCTCTCCCTCCTCACACCCTGCAACCTCCAAAAGGCCCCAGAGTTGTTGTTCCCCTCTATGTGTCCATGTGTTCTCATCATTTAGCTCCCAGTTATGTGAGAACATGTAGTATTTGGTTTTCTGTTCCTGTGTTCGTTTGCTAAGGATAATGACCTCCAGCTCCACCCATGTTCCTGCAAAGGACATGATCTCATTCTTTTTAATGGTGACATAATATTCAATGTATATGAACCACATTTTCTTTATCCAGTCTACAATTGATGAGCATTTGTGTAGGTTCCATGTCTTTGCTATTGTGAATAGTACTGCAATGAACATATACATGCATGTGTCTTTATAACAGAATTATTTATATTCCTTTGGGTATATACCCAGTAATGGGATCACTGGGTCAAATGATATTTCTGTTTTTAGGTCTTTGAGAAATCGCCACACTTTCTTCCACAATGGCTGAACTAACTAACACTCCCACCAACAGTGCATAAGCATTCCTTTTTCTCTGCAACCTCGCCAGCATCTGTTATTTTTTGACTCTTTAATAATAGCCTTTCTGACTGGTGTGAGATGGTATCTCGTCAATGGTGTGAGATGGTATCTCGTCATGGTTTTGATTTGTGTTTCTCTAATGATCAGTGATGTTGAGCTTTTTTTCATGTGATTGCTGGCCATGTGTATGTCTTCTTTTGAAAAGTGTCTGTTCCTTCTCAAAAGAAGACATGCGTGCAGTGAACAAACATTCCTATGTCCAGAATGGTATCGTCTAGGTTGTCTTCCAGGGTTTCTATTGTTTTGGGTTTTACATTTAAGTCTTTAATCCATCTTGAGTTAATTTTTGTATATGGTGTAAGGAAGGGGTCCAGTTGCAATCTTCTGCATATGGCTAGCCAGTTCTCCCAGCACCATTTACTGACTAGGGAATCCTTTTCCCATTGCTTATTTTTGTCAGGTTTGGCAAAGATCAGATAGTTGTAGGTGCGTGGTCTTATTTCTGGGTTCTCTGTTCCGTTCCATTGATCTAATACACAGAGTAGCTATTGCCATTTTAGGCATGAGGTGAACAGAACAGCCAGTCTCAGATACTGTGCTCACACACAAGTGCCTTGGGAGGTAGGTTGGCGCTGGAGTAGCCCCATTTTACAGAGAGGAAACTGGCACTTGTAGGCAGTTATTCTCAAACCTCACATCACATGGGTGGTAGAGCAGAACCTAAACCCTAGTCCTCCTCCTCCAAAGTGCCTCACTCTTGGGTTCACTCTCCTTCCAGAGCATCTTTTGGGCCTCACCTCTCATAGCAGAGCACCTGGTCGCATTCAGCTCTTCGTCTGTGGAATTCTGGGGCCAACTGTCTATATAATACTTTACCACCCTTTCCATGTTAATGGCGTGTTAATTCTCCAGTGCCCAATCTCAAGAATACTAAGCCACATTTTATGCTCATCTTTTCCTCATTCCCCACATCTAATGACTTTAATTTTGGAGCGTCAGCCTTGAAAATGTCTCACATATCTGTCCTCTTTTTGTTCCTTCCCACAGAGGCCACACGTGCTCAGGCCCTCAGTCCTTCTTGCCTGTGGATTGGGCATAGAAAGCAGATTTTGAGAACAATTGAGCTCCTGTGGGATATAAGAAATTAATGGAAAAAAAGCCATGTGCTAGTTTTTATGACCAAGACCTTGGACACTTTGGACATTTTTACATGCACGTGGCCTTTGTTCCAACAAGTCCCATTATTACTGTCAAGCAATCAGAAATCATTCATCCACCACCTGGATGAGCTTCCTTAGAGCATTTCTAAATGGGGGCTGCATCTCACTCCTAGAGGACATAGGAATTTGTAGGGGCATTCTCTGGTCACAATGTTGACCCGTGGGGTGCCAATAGAAATTAGTAAGTGAGGCACAGGACAGTTCTAAAAGGAAAAATATAAAAAGTGTCCCCATCCTAACAACTCTCAAATGTCCTGCTGGAAACTCCTATAGATAAAATACTTGTTCATAATTTCCTAATTATAATTTTGTTTCACATATAAATACAAGGTACCTTTTAGTACATTTTTAATATCCACTTGAGTTTCTAGGAATGTAACAAGACAAATGTAGATGCACTGTGATTAATTTAGAGCTTTACCAAGAGTTGTTCCTTGTTTTGGAAAATCACTTCTGGCAATGCACTCCAGGGACAGCATCGTCACATGGCACCTACATGTTGGTCTGTTTTCGTGGCTTATGAGGGGCAGACGTGCAATCACTGCATTGTGTACTCATGCAGCCCAGCTCCAGCCTTGGCATTCTGAAATACCACATACTACTTAACTACCAATCGCTTTTCTATTTTTCTCCTTTATAAAACAGTTATGCTGATGGGACTGTAAAATGGTGCAGCTGCTATGGAAAACCATACGGCAGTTTCACAAAAAATTAAAAATAGAGTCCCATATGATCCACCAATTATACTGTTGGGTATATACCCAAAAGAATTGAAAGCAAGGACTCAAACAGATATTTGCATACCCATGTTTATAGCAACACTATTTAAAATAGCCAAAAGGTGGAAGCGACCCAAGTGTCCATCGACACATGAATGGATAAACACAATGTGGTGTATGCGGACATGAAGATGGAAACGATAGACACCAGGGACTCCAAACAGGGGGAAGGAAGGAAAGGGACAAGAGTTGAAAACTTCCTATCGGTTACTATATTCACTATTTGGGTGCTGGGTTCAATAGAAGCCCAAACCCCAACACTATGCAATATATCCACGTAACAAACCCGCACATATACCCCCTGAATTTAAAAGAAAAAAAAAGTGCCGTGTATATATATAATGGAATACTGTTCAGCCATAAAAAGGAAGGCACTTCTGACCCATGCTACAACATAAACGTTGAAGAATTTATGCTAAGTGAAATAAGCTGCACCAGGTGCGGTGGCTCATTCCTATAATCCCAGCACTTTGGGAGGCTGAGGCTGGAGGATCACTTGACATCAGGAGTTCGAGACCAGCCTGGTCAATATGGCAAAACCCCGACTCTACTTAAAATACAAAAATTATCTGGGCATGGTGGTCCATGCCTGTAGTCCCAGCTACTCGGGAGGCTGAGGCACGAGAATTGCTTGAAGGGAGGCAGAAGTTGCAGTGAGCTAAGATGGTGCCACTGTACTCCAGCCTGAGTGACAGAGCAAGACTCTGTCAAAAAAAAAAGAAAAAAGAGAAAGAAAGAAAAAGAAGAAAGCAAGAAAGAAAGGAAGGAAGGAAGGAAGGAGAAAGGAAAGAAGAAAGAAAGAAGAAAGAAAAGAAAGAAAAAGAAAGAAAGAAAGAAAGAAAGAAAGAAAGAAAGAAAGAAAGGAAAGAAAGAAAGAAAAAGAGGGAAAGAAAGACGCCAGTTACAAAAGGGCAAATGGCTATATGATTCCACTCATATGAGGTACCTAGAATGGTTAAATTCATAGAGACACAAAGTAGAATGGTAGTTGCAGGGCTGGAAGGAGAGGGGAATGGGGAATTAGTGTTTAAGGAATGCAGGTTTTCAGTTTGGGAGGATGAAAAAATTTCTGGAGATAGATGGTAGCGATGGTGGCAGAACAATATGAATGTACTAAAAAACACAAAACCATACACTTTGAAAGTGGTTAAAATGGTAAATTTTTTATTATGTATATCTTCCCACAATTTTTAAGAAAAGAGTTTGTGCATTTTATTAGTTTTTATGTGTGTATCAGCAGGATAGTAAAGAGGGCATTTCAAAATATTTGTTTTTAAAAGGAAACATGACATGGAGAACAAGGTGTCTAGAGTTTTATGCACTTGGTGTTTTATGGCATCTTTTATTTTGTCTGGAGACTTTCTGGCACCCCTTGAAATATGTGGAGACATCTAGGCATTACTAATGAAGGGTTAGGGATTGTTGGGGCACAGAATGGAGGATCCCAGGGGACTAAGAAAATATATATTTGAGCTTATGAGAATTGGGGCTGAGAGAAGAACTACCCAAGAGTCAATTTAACTTGGATTTGAGCTAGCAAGGCTGGGACTACAAACATTTTATATTTATGGAGCTTCACACACTTTATGAGGCAAAAGCACTCTAAATGTATAGTCCATTAACAGGAGGTAGCCACGGCAGAGTGGAAGGGGAACAAACTGGGGCCAGATCTGACTTGGCCATTTAAGAACTGTCTGTGTGATTTAGGGCAAATGTCTTAACTTCTTTGAGTCCCATTTGCTTCCATCTGTAACACATGAATATTTACCCATCTTTACTATGAATGCCTCCTTTTCTTTGGATACCTACTATGAGCCAGGCACTTGGAAGACATTTAGCCATTTAATCATTAATCATTTCATCTCTGTCACTGTCCTGTGACATAGACATCATCTCTAGCATACAAATTAGAAAAACAAAACGGATGCTGTCGGTCCCCCAGACATTCCCTCCTGGCCCATGCTGGAGGGCATCTATGTGGCTTCCTGTGTGTCTCCACCCCATGGCACTCTCTGGCTGCTTGAGTCTCCTCTGGCCACAGCAGGCAGTGTGAAATGGCCAGGGAGTTAAAACTTCCAAGAACAACCCTCAGCCAGTGAGGGATGGAAGGTGGTGAATAAACACCCCAGCACCCGCACCCTGCATTCCACCAACCCCAGGATGTGTCCTGCACAGTCTTCATCACAGTTGTGGCACTGAGACCGAGTTGCCCACTTGTGAATACACCAATAATTGGGTTTCTTCCCTTTTCTGAGTCCCTGCCCAGTCCCTCCTGGTGCATCCTGGGATCAGCTCCCAAATGAACTATTTGCACTCAAATATTTGTCTCAGGATGTGATTTTGGGGGAGCTCAAAGTAAGACAATAGCTGAGGTTCAGAGAGCTTCAGTTTCCCATGATCTCACAGTTAAAAAGCTTGGCTGAGCCACAGTTGATGACCTCTTCTTCTGATTCCAAAGTGCCTGCCTGTCCTTGTCCCCTGGCCTCTCTGCCTTATACCCTACCCGGCTGTTGAGGAATTAAGTGAGATAATGCAGATGAAGAAGAGGGTCAAATGGCAAGCGAATGATTTTAACACTTTCACTGGCTGTTCCCCATGGCCCTGTGAGGCAGACAAGAGGTAGACAAGTTTGATGCCCACTCTATAGAAAACTGAGGCTCAAGGCCTTGGACAAAGCAACTGGCTAATAGGTGACAAATGACAAGATGATTCTCAGCTACTCCAGGTCTATTTTGCATCTTTCTCTGCATCTCTCTGTACCTGGGAGGCTAATGCCACTGGACATCTCCACCCAGGCCCCCTTGCCTTCTGGCTGCTAGTTTCACCCAACAGAAGGCATGGACAGGAAGAGAGAAGAGAGGGTTATTTAAATCCCTAGTCCCTCTTTGATGGGCTGTGTTTCTCTTCCTAAGCCATAGCTCCCATCCAACCACTTTAGTTTTTTTTTTTTTAACTAATTTAGATTTGTATAGGGTTTTGTTGTTGTTGTTGTTGTTGTTGTTGTTGTTTTTAGAAATCTCAAATCCTGGGGAAGAGAAGAGGAAATGACATCAGTTCACTAAGACCCCAGTACACTTTCCAAGTGCCAGTAGGCCCCATCCCTGTCTCAGGGCTCCAGCTCTCGCCAGATACTGTGGGTAGGAGCTCACCCTGGTCTTGCCCTTTGGCAGGCATTAGGGCTTCTGCTGTTTCTGGTCCCAGGGTGTTTCTCATCTGATCCCACATCTCTACAAATAATCTTCACGACACTCTCTTCACTTAAATCCTTTGAAGTGTCATTTTCATTCTTGTTGATACTTTAGCTGATCTGGAAGCCTTAGCAATCAATGAAAGGGGGAGAAAATAGAATACGTTATGGAGCAAATGTCATTCTCCAGGCTCTGTGTTGAGTCTTCTGTTCGTGAGCCTCACAATACTGCTGTGAGGTAGGGAATAAGATGATTCTCATTTCACAGATAAATGACTTGAGGCTAAGAAATGGTACATGGACCAAAATCCAGGTCAGTTAGAATTGA
Source organism: Homo sapiens (assembly GCF_000001405.40). Taxonomy (NCBI): domain Eukaryota; kingdom Metazoa; phylum Chordata; class Mammalia; order Primates; family Hominidae; genus Homo; species Homo sapiens. The sequence continues at coordinate 105,410,511 of NC_000012.12, read as the reverse complement.
CAGCCCATGCTCTCTCCCCAGCACCACAAAGACCACACTGTTCTCTAACCTGACTTGCCTTCACTGTAAATAACTGTTGGGACCAGAGCCCTCCAACCTTGCCCTGGGCATGTCAGGAAACCCGAGAACACCCTGCCTGTGGCAAGGGTGTAGCATCTTTGTGGCAAATGAGCTTTCCATGAATGGAAACAGCCTTTCCCTTCGGTGAGGAGAGGCAGGATTTCATGTGAATGTGTGATGACTGGCAGGGAGCCAAGAATAAGAGCAGGAAATGGGAGCCCAAGTGAGATAACTGCCACGGACATTGAGGGGAGGGGGCAGGATAAACAGAGGGGGTTCAATTTTGCAAAGCATTGGAGAGCACTTTGGATTAAGGACGGCCCTTGGGGAGAGCCGGGGATATTAGGAAAAGGGGGAGCCAGCCTTGGCAGGCAGCGGAGACTGAGTGCTGGTGGAGCAATTAAAGGGCGGAGCAAGTGGGCAGGAAACCACAGAATAATGCAAAACCCAAAAGCAGGCATCTAAAATGTGCACAAAAAAAAAATTATAAGGCAAAACATAGCAGACCAGAGTGTGTGCTTAGTAGCTAAAAATATTTGAGACAACATGTTAGAATGAGAAACATATGGAGTAAGCGGCAGCTGCCATTCAATTTAGCAGCTCAAGAAATGTGACTTGTCCCCATGGGCATTGGGAGGAGGAAATACTTGGAAAGAAAGAGTTCAGAATTCTAAATAAAGACATGAGGCTGAATGGGCACAGAGGAGTTTTCCCCAATATTTGACAATTGTGAATAAGATCAGAAATACTAGATGAATCACAAGATCCATTAGAATAGTGCAAATTTTATTCTCCTCACTCTATATAAATCTGCAACATACCCGTTACAAATTAATCATAACTTCCAGCTATTTAGCACCCACATACCAGGCACTTTGCATATATTATTTTGAATTCTCCCAACTACCCTGCAAGTAATATTATTGGCCCCATTAGATTTGGAAGCTGAAGCACAGAGAGTTTGAGTGACTTGCCTAACGTCACACAAACATCTGGTGAGAGGCCTGGTGAGGAATTAAATGCAGATCACTGTCCCCGGGCACATCCCATTACCCCGTGGCGAATCCCAAAATCTAGGCTTTCAAAATACTCTCATTTTCAGAAAAGAAAACAGAGGCATAAAAAGGGGAGAGATGTATCCTACAGAAGTGGAGAGACCCTAGAATTTCACCAAAGTTCTAGGGAGTTTGGGAAGAGAAATCTTAAGATTACTGAGCCCAATTCCTCTACTTTAATGTCAATGTGATCCCTCCAAGATCCAGAGCCAGGGCAGCAGGGTAGCACATTTTTCAAGCACAGTAGCACAGATTCCTACCATTCATGTATTCATTTATTCAGTCAACAAACATTTATCAAGTCACTGCTTGGTGCCAAGAACTATGTGCTATGAAAATATTTTTCCAATAGGCAGCTAGAAGGTGCTTGGTTTGCGTTTCCTTTTGGGTTTCTTTTTCTTTTTCTTTTTCTTTTTAGCACATTTCCACTTAATTCACTGCATCAGGTCCTCAAATGCTCCTCCAAAACTCTGTTCAGCTAATAACCAGCATACTGCTCTCTTTAGAATATTTATGATCAAATAACAGTCCTTTGTTTTTTCTAGTGGTGATTGTGTTTTCTGTTCGGTAACAATGGCAGCTCTGAAAGCGTGTATTTTCTTTAGCAAATATGAACAGTAAAGGCCTCTTATATTCCCTTTTCTGAGCTGAAGAAGGTAATTGAAAGGGTGCTTTATGAAAGGATCTGAAAAAACAAACATGGATTTGGCTAGAATTTTATTGGAAATCTAGAAACCTAGAGAGGGGGAAGAAAATAGGTTTTCCAAATACCAAAACATTCTGAACAAACATGCTGGCCTACTCATCAATAAGCTTTTGCTATGTAACAAATGACTCCCAAAACTTAGTGGCTGAAGACAACAAACACTTATTTCCCATGAACCAGTGGGTCTGCTGTGTGGTTTGTCTGGGACCCTTTGGCCGGGACTGAGTGGTCTAGGACAGCATCCTCAACCTTTTTGGCCACCAGAGACCAGTTTCACGGAAGACTTCTCCACAGACAGGGGTGGAGTGGGTAGAGAGGATGGCTTCAGGATGAAACTCTTCCACCTCAGATCATCAGGCATTAGTTAGGTTCTCATACCCAGCGTGCTACCTAGATCCCTCACATGCACAGTTCACAATAGGGTTCATGCTCCTGTGATAATTTTTTTTTTTTTGAGATGGAGTCTCACTCTGTCATCCTAGCTGGAGTGCAGTGGCACGATCTCAGCTCACTGCTACCTCCGCCTCCCAGGTTCAAGTGATTCTTCTGCTTCAGCCTCCCAAGTAGCTGGGACTACAGGCAAGCACCACCATGCCCGGCTAATTTTTTTTATATTTTTAGTAGAGACGGGTTTCACCATATTGGCCAGTCTGGCCTCGAACTCTGGACTTCGTGATCCACCTGCCTCAGCCTCCCAAAGTGCTAGGATTATAGGCGTGAGCCACTGCGCCCAGCCTCCTATGAAAATTTAATGCTGCCACTGATGCGACAGGAGGCAGAACTCAGGCGGTAATGCTCACTCACCTGCCACTAACCTCCTACTGTGTGACCCAGTTCCTAAGAGGCCACGGATCAGTACCAGTCTGTGGCCTGGGGTTTAGGAACCCCTGGTATGGGATACCACAACATATGTCTGAGGCCTTGCCTGGGATGCATGGGGCCCCTCTCTTCCTTCAGGGGCCTATGTCTGTGGCCTTGCCTGGGATCCTTGCCTGGGATGCATGGGGTCCCTCTCTTCCTTCAGGGGTCTATGTCTGAGGGCTTGCTTGGGATGTATGGGGCCCCTCTCTTCCTTCAGGGGCCTAGCCTGGCTTCTTCACACAACATGGAAGGGTTCTCAGTAGGAAGCCTAGGCAAGTGCTTTTCAGGACTTTGCTGTATCATATTGGCTACTCTCCCACTGGCTAAACCAAGTTACAAGGCCAAGCCAGATTCAAGAGATGGAAGAATAGAATCTGCTTCTTAAGAGGTGGGTCTACAAAATACTGTGCCCATTTTTTTCTCCTCATTCCTTCTGCTGCTGAGACTTTTGCCGGCTGAGAGCCCTCAACTGTTATCTCTCTCCAGAAATTCCTCTTTTTCCCTGAAGAAAGCTGCCTCACTGAAGGACACTCCACCTTCCCAAGGGCAGCCTACAATGGTAAGTGGCTGTCTTAGTCCATTTGGGCTGCTACAACAAAGTGCCATGGACTGGGTGGCCTAAGAACAACAGAAACTCATTTCCCACAGTTCTGGAGGCTGGAAGTTGAGGGTCAGGGTGCCAGCACCATTGAGTTCTGGTGGAGGTTCTCTCTGGGTTGCAGTTGGTCATCTTCTCATTTTATCCTCACGTGCCAGAAAGAGAGCAAGAGAGATTTCTGGGGTCCCTTTTATAAAGGCATTAATCCCACTCATGAGGGTTTCATCCTCAGGACCTAATCACTTCCCAAAGGCCCCATCTCCATCACATTTGGGGGTTAGGATTTCAGCATGAATTTTTGGAGAGACACGAACATTCAGCCCACTGCACTAGTCAATACAGGAATATAAAGGCATAGGCCATTGCCCGAACCTGGGACAAGTCTGAAGGTTCAGAGCTTCCCAAAGGGGTCAGCTGAGGCCTTAGATGAAACTGAATTGCAATCCAACACCTCTCTCTTCTCGATCTCGCTTCCTGCCCTGCCACCACAGGTGTCCATGCTGAGCACACCTCCTGGTGAACCTATGCACTCAAATCTCTGTCCAGCACCTGCTTCCTGGGGAATCAACCGAACAGATGATGCCAGGAGTAGTCTGAGAAAGAAGATGCTAAGATGGGATCTGAGGCTGCCAGCTGACCACTGACAGGCAATGAGATCCCCGTTACCGTTGGTACACCGAGCTGATAAAGCCCCTGACACAAGATGGTGATGAAACTGGCAAAACTTCCAATGGTGTTAAAATGGAATGGGATACAGGTGGAAGGAAAATGTATTTGGTGTTAAAAATATATGGGAAATAGTCATTACAAGGGCAGTGGAATTAAATGGCTGTCACTGGAGAACAATGTTTGCTTTGGAAAAAGATGACAAAAGACTGAGGGTGACTACCAGTCAATTAAAAACTGAACACAAAAGCTCAAGTGCCTCCTTAGCATGGTTAAAAAAAATTTTAAAAAAAGACTCTTATCTCCTGTAGCAAAGGAGGTTAAATTCTCAACCTTAGGTAGATTTGCTATGATAGGGTCAGGACCCTGGCTGGGAAAGCAATGTGACCTTGAGGGATGACAGCTGGGTTAATGCCTCTGAAAAAGCATGAATCCTCTGATTTCTCTGAATGCCTGGGCCTGCAAAATGGCCTCGTCTTGTTAAGTTCCATCCCTGTTTCCTCCTGGAAGGGGATGCCGAGGCCTCTCCCATGTAAGAGAACGTGTGTACCACTGTGATCTGCCCATACTTCCCACTGGCCTCTAAGCCAGGTGCACATCCCAGCAACACAACCCAGCTGTGGAGGTGCTGAACCTTATAAGGAGGAAAAGGACTCTACCCTGTAGGAGCTACAGAATCCTGCCAAGTCTTATCAGAAAAGAGACTGCATTCGAAGGGTGCTGGAATGAGGAAGGTGTGAGAATTAGAAAACAGCACTGGATAAAAGAGAATGTATCATTATGGGGGCACTTTCTCTGAATATAGGATTTAATACCCTGGCAGGGACCCTGAGAGACACTGCAAACATGCTGATAGGATGGCTCCTGGAAGCATGGAGAAAACAAGTTGTTGGGTTTTCTTAAGTATTCCATCTTGGCTGGGCATGATGGCTCACGTCTGTAATCCCAGTGCTTTGGGAGGCTAAGGCAGGAGGATAAGGACACATCTAGCAGCAGGATTAGAGAAAACAACTTGGAGGTGAAGCCAAACGCAGGACTCCACTCCTTCCTCCCTGAATTAAATGCACACCCATGCCTGGGCAACACAGCAAGACCTCGTCTCTACAAAAAAATAAAATAAATATAAATATATAATAAATAAAAAATTAGCCAGGTGTGGTGGCACGTGCCTGCAGTATTCCAGCTATTCAAGAGGCTGACGTGGGGGATCACTTGAGCACAAGAGGTCAAGGCTGCTGTGAGCTGTGATCATGCCACTGCAATCCAGCCTGGGTGACAGAATGAGACCCTCTCTCAGTGTATTAGGCCGCTCTCACACTGCTGTAAAGACATACCTGAGACTGGGTAATTTATAAAGAAAAAGAGGCTTAATGGACTTACAGTTCCACGTGGCTTGGGAGGCCTCACAATCATGGCAGAAGGTGAAAGGCACATCTTACATGGCGGCAGGCAAGAGAGAGAATGACAGCCAAGTGAAAGGGGTCTCCCCTTATAAAACCATCAGATCTCTTCTGAGTTATTCACAACCGTGAGCACAGTATAGGGGTAATCACCCCCATGATTCAATTATCTCCCACCAGGTCCTTCCCACAACACGTGGTAATTACGGGAGCTATAATTCAAAATGAGATTTAGGTGGGGACACAGAGCCAAGCCATATCACTCAAAAAAACAATAAAAATAAATATATGTATACCCAGTGTCAGGTATAACTGCAGATTGCCTTTTTCCCTCCTGGCAACTCCTCCAGATGCTCATCCTGCTCTAGGCTCTTTCCCCATGGAGGAGGCAGCTGTGAAGGCAACATAGCTTGGACAAACCCTGCCCCTGAGTTCAGAAGGGGCTATGCTGGCTATGGTCACTTCCCCTGATCTCAATCTCCCCCATGAGATATGTCCTTCCTCCCCTGGGAGACACATTAGTAAAAGAGGTGGAGATAAGGACAGGGGAAAGAGAAGGACAGAAGAGAGAGAAATGGAGCTCCTTCCTCTCCTGTCCCACAGAAGTCAGGGCTGGGTAGGGCAGGTATTAAGAAGCCCAATTATGGCACTGGCCCTGGGTGTGGAAGGCATTATGATCTTTATAAATGATCATAGCATTCATAGCTACCATTTGTTGAATTATCTGATGTGCCAGACATTGTGCTATTCACAATAGCAAAGACTTGGAACCAACCCAAATGCCCATCAATGATAAAGTGGATAAAGAAAATGTGGCACATATACACCGTGGAATACTATGCGGCCATAAAAAAGGATGAGTTCATGTCCTTTGTAGGGACATGGATGAAGCTGGAAACCATCATTCTCAGCAAACTAACACAAGAACAGGAAACTAAACACCGCATGTTCTCACTCATAAGTGGGAGTTGAACAGTGAGAACACATGGACACAGTAAGGGGAACATCACACACCAGGGCCTGTCAGGGGTGGAGGGCTAGGGGAGGGATAGCATTAGGAGAATACCTAATGTAGATGACAAGTTGATGGGTGCAGCAAACCACCATGGCTTGTGTATACCTATGTAACAAACCTGCACGTTCTGCACATATACTTTAAGTACCCCAGAACTTAAAGTATAATAAAAAAATTGGCTAGATAATTTGATGATATTAAGTAATCATTGTTACTATATTTAGGTGTGATAATGTTAAAAATGAATAGTTCTAATAGTTTAGAGATGTACACTGGAATATTCACAGATACAATAATATGATGTCTGGAATTTGCTTCAAAATAATACTGGGAGAGATTAGATGGAAGTACAGATCAAGCAAGTTTCGCCAGGACTCAGTCATTGTTGAAACCAGCTGACGAGTGCATGAGGATTTATGATATGATTCTGGATATTTTGTGTGTGTGTTTGAAATTTTCCATAATAAAAGTTAAAAATATATATGCAAAGGGGCCTGATTTGATAGGCGGATGAGTCATGGTAGAAAGAGTTCTTCCCTGAACACATCTGTGCTTCACAGCTGTATGTATGGATTGAGGGGAGATGTCAGCTGGTGGCTGGGGCCCCAGGCAGTGGGGAGAAAGGGAAAATGCTAGGCAAATAGTCAGGCTTATTGAAGGGTCTATCAAGAGCAGAGGTGGAGTATACCTCCAACAAGCAGGCAAGAACACCAAAAGAAAGACTACCAAGAGGTGGGAGGAAACCAACATGGTGGACACATAGGTACTTGCTACTTAGGGCTGCCAGACTAATTTCCAGACCCCACCCCTTGGCAGACACAGGGCACCCAATGTACTGCCAGAGCTGGGTAGATTGATTCCAGAAACGGGCAGGACTGAGCTTGCCAGCAAAGGTCCCTGGTGCCCAAGCCAAGCTCAGTGGGAGAAAGGCAGACAGTAATACCTACAGCACCTTAACCCTCTGGAGAGAATACTGAAGCAATTTTAGGATTGAATGGGGGTCCATTATAGAAAGGTTTTCTTATTGCTTGCCTTCCTCTTCTGGGAAAAGCTTGCAGTCCCTGTGTGGTTGAGACTACTATGTTGGAACCACATGGCCCGACCTGACTAATCCAAGGGTTCACACCTAACCCTTGAGGAAAAAAGATCTGTAGGATAAGTTGGTCCATCACATTTTTCTCAAGAATTTGAACTAAGAAACCAAGATTGAGAACGGTGAACCACACCATCAGGTAGTGCAGCCATTGAATGGATAAGATCATGTCTTCCCACAGTGGGCAAGTGAGTCACACGAAATGGGTCTGGGTCTCATTTGCCTGTGTAACTTTAAGTGAGTTCCTTGGTCTCCTTGAACCTGTTTCCTTATCTGTAATGTGGAGATAATAAAGGTAACTATTCCGAAGTGATTTTTATGAGGATAAAATGAAAGTGTTTATAAAATGCTTATATAGCAAAAGTTCAATAACTATTAGCTATTATTATTATTACTAGTAGTGTTAATACTACTCTTGGCTATGGCTATTTTCAGCCTTGTGAGAGCAAAGGAAGCCAGTCACAAGAGACAGACAATGCTAATCTGGCTTGAACATTGCCGAACACCAGGCGCTGTGCTAAGTACTTGAGAGCTGTTAATCCACTGAAACCTCACAACACCCCCAGAGTCTGGCAATGTTCATTTCACCAATGAAGAAACTGAGGCACAAACTGAGTGATTTGCCAAAAGTTTAGGAAGTGGCGATGACAAGAATGAACATTGACCTTCCGTTTCTGGGTCTATACTCTTAATCACTCTGCAACTGCTCCATTATACAAATGAAAAAGCTGAGGCTCAGAGAAGATCATGCAGCTACCGAGAAATGGGAGGAAAAGAGAACCCCTGCACTGACCAAGAACCAGAGAGCACGACTTGCGCCCCTAAAGTCCAACTCCGGTTCCTGCGAGGCCCAAGCTTCTTTGTGTTCCAGTGTGATGATAATCTGCTTTCGCCTTCAAATGACCCCCCTCATTTAGGCCACCTTGAGTTTTGTTTCCTTAGCTCTGACTAAAACAACAGGAACCGTGATGTGCTTCAGTCGCCCACATTAGAATCCTATATCCTAAACCTCTGATGAAGTGGTTCTGGTGCCAGGACAAACATCTTGTCATGGGGATTACATCTCAAATGTCTGGTTATTCTAATGAAGCTCATTCTGCCCCTGTCCCACCTAATGATCACTTTTATACGGCATCCATGTTAACCAGAATAAACACTCAGCCCCTCTGCACAAAGAAGGCCTTGACAGAGAAGGTGGTCAACACGTGGCCAGAACAAGATTCAATGTGGATAATTCCCTTTTGAGAAAACACCCCCTTAGCCAGGAGTCACAAAATAAACAGAGACAGGGCAAAACCACGAACAAGAGAAAACTTGAAAGCCAAAATGTTAAGGACAGTGCAAAAAGAGTCTTCTAAATGAGGCCAGACTCAAAACTCAAGACCTTCTCCTTTGCCCTGCCTGTTTTTCCACCCATCACCTCCAACCCTCAAATTTTCCAAAAAAAAAAAACCATTAAAAAACCTATAAATTATTCCATCTGAGACCAAAGTTGTTCAAAGTAAAGAAAGAATGCAGCAAAGAATTCCAGTTGTCAAATATCTGAAGCTAACTAGTAGGCCTCAGTCATCTCCCATTTCATCTAAAGAGAAACCACCAGCCCCACACCCACACCCAAGAATCAACAACTGGGAAACAATATAATTGCCCATAAAACTTGTAAAGTCAACATGGATTTTAGAAGAAAAAAGAAAAAGAGAATGATCCTCTTTAAATAGGGCAAGAGCTTACAGTAAAGGCGTGCTATTTGAGTTGACAGAGTGAAGCACTGTAACTCCAAAATCATATAGCTCCAGGCCCGTATCTAGACACTGCCGCTTAGCAGCCAGCGACCTTGGGCAAGTTAACTTTGCCTCTCAGTGTCTCCGTTTCTTCATCTGAATAATGGGGGTGATAAAAACAGAACCTGCTTCAGAAGGTTGCTAGGAAGACTCATGCACAGTGGCATATTGAACACACTCCATGTATGCCCATTATTATTCTTTATAATAAATTTAATTATATAAATATTCATGTGATTATGATGGCATGTTTAGTTAGATAAGTAGAAGAACCAAAGGTGTCCTCAAAGGTGAAGCAGCATGTGTGACCCTGGCTTCTATGGAAACCTTAAAAACAAAATGGGGGCAATTCCCAGGTCCCCAGATTCTGGAATGTGGGGATTGTGAAGAGGGGAACATGAGCTTTCTACCGCAGTTTCCTTAGGTGTCATGGCTGCCTCACTCCAAGGCAAGGCTGTGGAATGGAAGAGGGAATGAAGGAGGATTAGTAGGAAGCACCTGAGCTAATACTGGCTGAGCACTTCTCCAGTGCCGAGTACGGGGCTGAGAGCCACACACATACACACACACATAAGCTCATGCAATCTCCATGATTCCGCAGTGAGGCAGGTATTATTAGATTGGTGCAAAAGTAATTTTGCACACTGGAAAGGCAGTAGAATCATGCCTTTCCAACCGTCCCCTAAAGTCTTAGCTCATTTCAGCATGAGCTAATTTTTTTTTTTCACCAACCTAATAATGTGGTTTTGGCATTGAAGTTTTTGCATTAAAAAAAAAAAAAAAAAAAAAAAAGGCAAAAACCGCAATTACTTTTGCACCAAGTCATATTATCATTCCCATTTTACAGATGAGGAAATTGAGAGTTAGAGACATTCTGTGACTTGCTCAAGGTCATGCAGCCAGTAAGTAAAAGAACTGGGATTTTGATCAAATTAGCTGTCACTACTACACTGCAGTGTCTTCTGATAACACGCAGATATTTCCCTTCTCTGGGCCTCAGTTTTCTTCATCTACAAAATGGGGTTTGCGCTAAAGGCCTTTGTAGCACTCACATTCTATGGTTATAAATATTTTTAAGATGTCGTTCAGCCAGAATCACCATTTTCCAGCCAAGGGAAAGAGGAAATGGGCTGACATATGTTCCCTGTGCCTTTTCACAATTTTGTTTCTTGAGCTAATTACAAGTGGAACTGAATGGAGGATGATTCTGTAGCCAGTGAAACACAGGTGTCTCACAGGATGTCACATTGATGTCACACACCCACACTCGGCTTTATGAATGGGTGTGGAGGGCGAGAGTCTTGCCAGGAGGACTGACGCTGGTGTTCAGCACCTCGAGTTAGCAGGTGGACTCTGTTCTGTTGCTTTTGGTATTCCACCTCCTGTCCCAGCAAAAAGGTTATGGCCAAGTAGGGGTGGCCTCGTCATGCTGTGGTTCAAAGTACTAGCTTTGGAATCCACCAGCCTGAGGTCAGTTCTCTGTCCATTCGCTGACCAACTACATGACCTCAGACAAATCACTTCACCTGTCACAGCCTCAGCTTCACGACCTACAAAATGACAGTAGTGGTGTTTACTACACAGGTGTACAGAGGGCTGCATGTGATAATGCAGGTACATCAGTTAGCATAGTGCCTGACCCCAGGTCACCCTAAGTGAAAAGCAGCTCTCATTTTCAATGGATGATGCAAGAGCATTTCAGCACAGGAAGCCATCAAGCCTATCACAGCCCCAAAACATCAAGAGCATAAAGATCAGCTGGAGATTAGAACCTACCCTCTCTTCACATAAAAGATGTCCAGGCCAAGCATGGTGGCTCATGCCTGTAATCCCAGCTCTTTGGGAGGCTGAGGTGGGCAGATCTCTTGAGCTCAGGAGTTCGAGGCCAGCCTAGGCAACATAATGAAACACCTTCTCTACAAAAAAAAAATACAAAAAATTAGCCAAACCTGGTGGCACCCACCTGTAGTCCCAGCTACTCAGGAGGCTGAGGTGGGAGAATCACCTGAGCTGATAGTGAGCCATGATTGTGCCACTGCACTCTAGCCTGGGCAACAGAGCGAGACTCTGTCAAAAAAAAAAGAAAGTTCAGATGTTGAGGCTGGGGTGGAATAAACATGTTGATCCTAATGAACATAATATTCCCAACCATCAAAAGTGAATAACTTAGGCAAACATTTCTTGTTATTCATGAAATGAACTCAACAGAGTGCTGCTGAAAATTCTGGAGGAAAGACAGTTTATCAGAGTGCCTGCAGGTCTGCCAAAAGCCCTCTCCAACATCTTGACTCTCAACCGCACATCCTTAGTTGAAAACACACCATTTAAAAAGCCATCTGAAAGGCTCTGGCCAGGAAAGGAAAGTCACTTTCCATGGATCAGCAAAAAAGAATCTACTTCTGACAGCCAAAGCCTCCCCACTACTCCTCTCACCAATTAGCAAAAATACAACCTTGATCTCTAAACCAAAATAAACTGCTTCCATTGTGTGGCTTTCACAAATGATTGAGCAAGATCAGCACCTGAAACCCCTTCAGGTATTGTATTAGTCTGTTCTCATGCTGCTAATAAAGATAAAGACTTGCCTGAGACTGAGTAATTTATAAAGGAAAGAGGTTTAATTGACTCACAGTTCAGCATGGCTGGGGAGGCCTGAGAAAACTTACAATCATGGTGGAAGGGGAAGCAAACATGTCCTTCTACACATGGCAGCAGGAAGGAGAAGAATGACAGCCCAGCAAAGTGGGGAAAGCCACTTATGAAACCATCAGATCTCCTGAGAACACATTCACTATCACAAGAACAGCAGCATGGGGGTAACTGCCCCCATGATTCAATTACCTCCCCCCAGGTCCCTCCCACGACATGTGGAGATGATGGGAACTACAATTCAAGATGAGATTTGGTGGGGACACAGCCAAACCATATCAGGTATGCTCTCCAAAGGGACAGACTCCAAGGCCATGTTTAACACTGCAAATTAAACTCCTTAGGCTGCATCCTGGGAAAAGAATGAACCAGTATTAAAGAAGGATCTTTCAAACACTGAATCCTTCTTTGAAATAGCCAGTGGCAAAAAAAAAAAAAGGAAGAAAAGTGCTCAACAAATGCACAGAAATGTGCACCATGGAAAGAACTCAATTGCATTGATACCCATATGAATGAAAAAGGGAGAAAGAACTCAGGAATTCAAACAAGAAAATAAGACAGTGTATTAATAATATTCATTGCATCATAACAAATTAACCCAAAGTTCAGCAGCTTAAAACAACAAATATTTATTATCTCACACAATTTCTATGTGTCCAGAATTCTGGAGCACCTTAGCTGAGTAGTTCTAGCTCATTCTCTCATGAAGTTGCAGTGAAGATGTTGGCCAAGGATGCCTTTATCTGAAGGCTTGACTGGAACTGATGGGTCTGCTTCTGGAGGCTCATGCACATGTCGTTCATTGTTTTCAGGAGGTCTCAGTTCCTCCTCAATAAGCTACTTGAATATCTTCACAACATAGCAACTACTTTCCCCAGAGAAAATGCTCAAAGAGAGAGCAAGGTGGAGCCACAGTGTCTTTTCTGACCTTGCCTCCAGAGTAACTCACTGTCATTTCTACAATATTCTACTGTTTGCACAAATCAGCCCCAATTGATGTTGTCACTGACACAAGAGATGCATATCAGGAGGCAAGGATCATTGGGACCATTTGCTAGCTATCACAGAGAGCCAAATAGAAAAGAGGTTAGCTTACAAATAGATTTTAATTACTAAATTATGGCATGATTGCAAATGGCAATTCAGCCAGGGAAAGTAATGATTTTTTAGGCTAGTAACATCAGTCAAAGAGCACGCATGGTACTTCTAAGAGGGGAAAGGTAACATAAATGATACGCTAGGTATTATTAGAATGCCGATTTTATTTATTACACTACCTTTGTACCTCCTGATAGGACACATGAGGTGGAATAAGGGGGACAGTTCCATGTGCTGCTAATTAGATTACTACAACTGGAATGAAGACTGTTGAGTTAAGGAAAACATGAGGTTGGCGAGCTTTAACTTCTTGCCAAGGCCAAGGCAGCCTTGGCTCAGTTTGGGGCATTTCCTATCCAAGGCTGGATCCTGAGAAATGCAGGTGTGGAGTTACCACAGAGCTCAGAGAATCCTAACAGGAAAGGATAAAAATGCAGTTCAGCAGGGACACTAATTGCAATAAGGTCCAGAAATTGCAATAGAGAACTTGGGGGTTTTTTCAGAGCTCCTCTCCTGCCACCCCACAAACATTCTTAACTACAGTCCTTGCTTCTTCAACATCACAAGATTGCCAAACAATATACACTCCGTATTTCAGAGACTTTCTGCTTGCCTCCTGTCTTAAGCCATTTCAGAAATCAGCAAATATCTTGAGAGGGAAATTGATCTTGTATGGGATCAGTTCACTGCTTCTCCCTTCTCCCCGGGACCTTGGCCCCTCAACCTCTACATTGTGTCTTTCTAGCCCTGCAGGACAGCCAAAAATTCTGCCTCTTATTAGTAGCCCTTCTGTCCAGACCCTTTGCCTCAGTTCTCACCCCATACCCATAGTGGGCAAATGCCTCGAGGGGGAAAGTGGCTATAGAATGTCAACTAACCTCTGTGATTCCCTCTTCTCTAGGATTTTGGCCCCTCAAGTCTTGGCGGCCTCTGAAGTTCTCTCTATATGAGAGAAGTTTATATAAAGATAAAGGTTTCTTATGTCTTTACAGGTTTTCTAGTTGTTCTTGGAAGATAAGTAGTCTAATTTGAGCTACTTCATTACCTTCAGGAGTATACTTTTAAATTTCCAGATATATAAAGTTTTTTATTTCCCATTTTGTTAGTAATTTCTAACTTCATAACATTATGTTGTCAGAGATTTCCTTGCAATCTGTTGAGACTTGCTTATGGCCTAGTACAAGATTTTTTTTTTAATGTAAATACCCAATGTGTGCTTGAAAAGAACACACATTCTCTCATTGCTAAATGCAGAAATCTGTATATGCCCATTAGGCCAAGCTTTTTAAAATGTCTTTTTTTCAAATCACTTAATTTACATAAGTTATTGCACACATGAAAGTTTGAATAGCTCATCTTTCAGTCTGGTATAAAAGAAAGGATCCAGAGGTCAGAAAACAGTAAGAATTTTTGGTCTAATAATGAATCGCTAACAATTGCTTCCATTCCTAAATTATTGTGTTGCCTTAGGGGAATTTGATGAACAAGGTTGGCAGCCAATTTAAATTTTAAAAAACACTTTTCAAGTATATCTTGACACATCCAGCAACACTTTTAATTATTAGAAACCTCCATTTCTGTCTCTGTTGGATATTCATAAAATACTTCTAAACCATCTAATTGATTTTGTTTTAAATGTTGAGCCCAAAATTTAGTCTTTCAATTACTTTCATGAAGCTTTAACTGCTCCTGTAGGCATGGTAATATAGTAAGCCCCACATTGCTCTATTGAAACCATTCTGCTTGCCAAAGTCAGAACTGTAACAACAACCTTAAATAGGAAAATTGTCTGTGACATTACATTGTCACAACTCACCATGTTTTATCTTCTGCTGTTACTATACAGCTGATCCATTAAGCAATGACAGAGCCTCACCCAGGTTGTGCTTGAGAATGGCCTGCAAATATAAGAATGTATTCACTTGCACAGTTTTAGACAAGTATATGAGTGCTAGCCTAAATTGTTTGAAATATTAGTGTAACAGCCCACCTGCATAAGTTAATGAGACTTCCACCAGAATTTTAAATATATGCAGAGCTCTAGTCCAAAGTTTACATAAACCATGCAACATACAATAAAGTACCAACTGGTAGTGGTTTCCATTTGCTACATTTTGGTATATAATACATTTGAATCTGTTGTTTCTATTGTCTTTTTAATCAACTTTATTGAGGTATAATTAAAATGCAATAAAATATACCCATTTTAAGAATATATTTTGATTAGTGTTCTAAATAATTAAAAATTAGGCCAGGTAGGGTGGCTCGTGCCTATAATCCCAACTCTTTGGAAGACCAAGGTGGCTTGCTTGAGCCCAGGAGTTCGAGACCAGCCTAGGCCAAATGGTGAGATCTTGTCTCTACAAACAAAAAATTAGCCAGACATAGTGGTGTGTACCTGTAGTCCCAGCTACTTGGAGGTTGAGGTGGGAGGATCACTTGAGCCTGGGAGGTGAAGGCTGCAGTGAGCTGTGATGGCACACTGCACTCCAGTCTGGGTGACAGAGCGAGACTGAGTCTCAAAAAAAATCAATGTTAAAAATGATGTTTTAGATTCTAATCTTCAGCATTTCCATTGAATCTAATCTTTTTCATCTTAAAAATATCCTCCCTGAGATTGGCATGACCAGGTGTTTTGAAATATCACAAATCTATAATTAAACAGTTTGGTACTGGAGCATTGTATTAGTTTGCTAGAGCTCCCCTACTAGAGTACCACAAACTGGGAGAAATGTATTGTCTCACAGCCCTGGAAGCTAGAAGTATGAAAGCAAGGTGTTGGTAGGGTCATGTGCCCTGTGAAGCCTTTAGGGAAAGGATCCTTTTTTGCCCCTTTCTAGCTTTTGGTGGTTGGCCAGCAATCTTCGGTGTCCCCAGGTTTATACAGGAATCACCCCAGTCCTCGGCTTTATATGGCTGTCTTCCCTCTGTGCATGTCTGTCTCTGTGTCCAAATTTCCCGTTTTTATAAGGACGCCAGCCATATTGGATTAGAGCCCACCTAATGACCTTACTTTAATTTGATTACCTCTAGAGAGACCCTATTTTCAAATAAGTTCAGTTACTGCAGTATTGGGGGTCAAGACTTTAACATATGTCTTTTGGGGGACATATTTCAACCCATAACAACCACAAACGGCAGAATGGATAAAATCCTACCAGAAATTGACCCGAATACACACACACAAAAATAAAATCTTATAAATGTGGCATTTCAAACCAGGTGAGAAAAAATTGATTACTTAATACACGGTGTTTGAACAGTCAGGTAGCCATCTGTTGTGTCGGCAATGGACTATTGTACCAAGACTTGATGCCTTGCACCTTGTATGCTTTCCAGGTCCTGATTTTTGTCCCTAGGGAGGCCTCGCTGTCCTTAGGTTCTACAGAATACTCCTGCGTCCTTCCAGAAAATTTACCGTTTTGAAAGGACTGGATTGAGTTGGGTTTTGTAGCTTGCAACTATTTTAAGGGCTGATGGCCTTCTAACTGGACATTCTTTCTCCTAGTGAGAAATGTATATGTTCTTCATAAAAAAGCTTTTCTTACTGTCAGCCTGCCTCCTTCCCAATTCCATCTGGTTTCTCACCTCTACCTGGAAGTAGGCTGTTTGAAGTAAATTGGTTACTTCTGCATCTTTCATCATTCTGGGCCTCCCAGGAGAAGTGATCAGTCAAAGCAGAAGCTGTCCGTTGAGGGCCACTAGGAAGTCTGTGAAGCCAGCTAAGATCGCTGCTATTTTAAAAGCCAGACATCAAAGTATTTGGATGGAATCCAGCGTTTCCTGCCTCACTGCAACCTCCTTCCAGAAGAGAATCAAAATGTGGGGAAGAGGGAAAACTGCTCTAATTGAACCCCTAATTCCCAAAACTGCTATTGGACTCCTTGCTACAGAAAGGGGACTCCTTGGAACTGAGCTTATGAAAATATTTTTCTGAAAACCGATGAGACCAAGGGCAGTGCTAAAACCAGACAAAGTGTACATCAGGCCAGAGGCTCTAGTTCTCTTCCAGGCTTCCTCTCACATTGCCCAGTTTTGCTTTTCAAAGAGTAACAGTAATTCCCATCAATTATGTATCTTGCACATATACAAAAAGACTCACATGATTACATTATTTAATTCTTGCAACAGCCCCATAAGGTAGTTCAATTACTATTCTCATTTTCCAAATGAGGAAACTGAGTCTCAAGGAGTTTAGCTAAGTTGCCCAAGGCCACACATTTAGGAAGTGACATAGATCAGATTTGAACAGAAGGCTTGGCTGATTCCAGAGTCTGTGCTCTTAACCTCTACTCTGTAAGCCCCAAACCAAAATATCTAAAGACACCAGGGGACATAGACATGAGTGATGCAGACCAGGGTAGACGGTAGGGGGTGGCAGGAGGTAGAAAGGGGTAGGAGAACAGCAACCTGGAGAGCTTGGGCCCCATCTGCAGAAGGCAGCCTCTTTGCAGCAACAACCAGGCTGCCCTGTGGGAATGTGAGCCCAGCATGGCCAGATTTTTCCACAGGAGAACCTTGAAATCTGGATTTTATATAGAATCTTCCAACTTTTGGGTGTTGACTACTGATTCAATACTGATGTATAAGTATATATACTTATATCTATTATATGTATTTATTTATATTTATATAATTTGTTTACGTATTATATAAACATATATATGTTATATATATAACATATATAATATATTATATAACATATATACTTATATAATATGTAAACATAAATTATATAAATATATGTTATATATATATAAAATATATATATAGTGCAAGTTAAAAAATAGGCATCTACAGCCCACCGTTAGACAGGAACTCTTATTTCCCACTCCCCATGCTTCCCATGGGAGGAACTTTAGCTAGACTACCCCCACTTCTCATCTTTTGCCTCAGATTGGTGAGTTTTGGAGAAAGAACTGGGCATCCTCAACTTATCTCCTTCCTCCTAGAGAGGCAGCCTGCCCATGGAGGGTGCATGGTCCCTGCTTCCCTGGAAGGGAAAGTCTGTCTATTTAGGGATGAGGCACCCACAAACCCACTTCCTTGCAAACAGAAAACCATGTTCTCCAAACTGCCTGGCTGGTGCATTACTCTTCTGTGGCTACTGTAACAAAGCACCACAAAATGGGTGGCTTAAAACAACAGAAATTTATTCTCCCACAGTTCTGGAGCCTAAAAGTCCAAAATTGAGGTCCCAGCAGGCTCATGCTCCCTCTGAAGGCGCTGGGGAAGATCCTTCCTCATCAACTCCAGCTTCCAGTGACTCTGGCAATCCTTGACATCCCTAAGCTTGCAGCTGCATCACTCCAGTCTCTGTCTTAACCAGGTGTTCTCTCTGTGTGTCTCTGTGTCTGTCTTCCCTTCTTATAAAAACACTAGTCATTGCATTAGGGCCCACCCTAATCCAGAATGACCTTGTCTTAACTGATTACATCTGCAAAGACCCTATTTCCAAATAAGGTCACATTCTGAGGTTCTAGCAGATATGATTTAGGGGCTATTCAAATCAATAGAATTGTTTTCACTTTCCCTTCTTAAGATGTGACATTTTAATCTCCACCTGTCTGATTCCCACATCTGTCTCTACACTGGTTCCAACTGGGAGAGTAAGAAAGGACCTTTGTTTCTTTATCTCCAAAAACCCCAGCAGCCATATTCGACATGAATGCCACCAATCTGCAACCTCTCAACTGCTCATTTCTTTCATCTCTCCTTTTTTCTCTTCTTCCCTCTCATTTCCTCTTCTCTCTCTTTCTTTGTGTTATTAACCACTCCTTTGCCAGTTAGATCTCTGCTGTATGCTGCCTTGCTATAGCGGAAAGGCTTTGAAGTTGTACAGACCTGGGTTCAAGACCCATCGCACAACCTACCAGTCCTTACGGCCTGACTCTTTGTAGATGTTCAGTAAAGGTGTGGGCTGAACCTGCCAATGGATGAGAGGCCTTGAGGCAAGTGCATTGCTCTCCTGTATCTCAGTTTCCTCTTTTGAAACATGGCAGTGTTAACAAACATCAAAGGGTATCTCTGTGCTTAGTGAAAAAGACTATGAAATAAATGGTTCTGTATGAGTGGGATCAAGGAGATAGGAGTGTCATATGGTGAAATTTTGCAGATGTTAGGAGAATTCACAGCAGCTCAGCATAGTAAACAGAGCAGCCCTAGAGGCCTTCCAAGCTGAGCTCCAACATCGGGAGCTACTCCTGCCCATAGCATCTCAGCAGAGCCTGGCTTCCTTCCCTCTCCCTCTCCCTCTCCATCTCCCTCTCCCTGTCTCCCCTGTCCCACCACATTTCCATTGCCTAATTGCCCACCCCACAACCCCCACTCCCACACATAGGCCATAGCCTCGTGGATTTCCAGCTATAAAGATCTAAGTGCTTGATACGATGTGGATGCTTATCTCCTCCAAATTTCATGTCAAAGAGTAATGTCCAATGTTTGAGGTGGGGCCTGGTGGGAGGTCTTTGGGTCATGGGGGCAGATAGCTCGTGAATGGCTTGGTGCCATCTCCTCATGATAGTGAGTGAGCTCTGGCGAGATCTGGCACTTTAAAAGTGTGTGACACCTCTCTACCCTCTTTCTTGCTTCTCCTCTCATCAGGTGACCTGCTCCCACCTTGTCTTCCGCCATGGTTGTAAGCTTTCTGAGGTCACGCCAGAAGCAGGTGCTGGAGCCATCCTAGTAGAGCCTGCAGAACCATGGGACAATTAAACCTCTTTTCTTTAAAAATTACCTAGTCTCAGCTACTTCTTTAGAGCAACGCAAAGAACGGCCTAATATGGTGCTATTGTGCTGAGTACTTCATACACTCCTGAGAAACAATTTGACTCTTCACCAAAGCCTTTGAAGCTGGAATAGGTGTGTGTTGCTGTCACATAAAATTCCAGATTGTTTGTTGTTATCGTTGTTGTTTTTAGAGACAAGGTCTCACTCTGTTGCCCAGACTGGAGTGCAGTCGCTAGATCATAGCTCACTGCAGCCTGGAACTCCCAGGCTTAAGCAATCCTCCCACCTCAGCCTCCTGAGTAGCTGGGACCACAGGTGCACACCACAATGCCCAGCTAAGTTTTACATTTTTGTAGAGACAGGGTCTCACTATATTGCCACCAGGCTGGTCTTGAATTCCTGGGCCCACTCGATCCTTCTGCCTCAGCCTCCCAAAGTGCTGGGATTACAGGTGTGAGCCACTGCACTTGGCCTCTACATTGTTTTTAAAAGTGATTTTTCTGGCCGGGCACCGGGGCTTGCACCTGTAATACCAGCACTTTTGAGAGGCCAAGGCAGAAGGATGACTTGAGCCCAGGAGTTTGAGACCAGCCTGGGCAACATGGTGAGACCCCATCTGCACAAAAATTTAAAAATTAGCTGGGCATGGTGGTGCATGCCTGTGGTCCCAGCTACTTGGGAGGCTGAGGCGGGAGGATTGCTTGAGCCTGGGAGTTTGAGGCTGCAGTGAGCTATGATCATGCCACTGCACTCCAGCTGGGCAACAGAATCAGACCCTGTCTCTAAATAAATAAATAAAAGTGATTCTTCTTCACTGAGACATGAACAAGAAAAAATGGAAATAATAGCAACCAGCACGAGGGCCTGAAGGAAGAGCAAAAAAGAATGGGCAGGAGATCCATTGGGGAGTTCCTGCAGAGGGGGAGCACTTTGCTTCTGGGGCTCCATGAGAGTCCATGCATGTCTCTGTGATGATTCCATCTTGGCTTCTGCGGGGCCAGGGCAGGCCTCCCGGAAAAGGTGTCAGCTGAGCCTGAGGATGCCTCTGCCATAGCGGGGTGAGCCGAGCATCCCAGGCAAAGAGAGAGGATTGTTTAAAGGTTTGGTGACAAGAAATCGCATAGCCTCCAAGCCACTCACAATGACTGAAGCATTGTGGAGGGAAAGGCCAAGTGGTGAGAAGTGGGATTTGGAAAGGGCAGTGGACATGTGTCATGTTGGGACCATCCCTCTTATACTGGAGAAAGTACGGCATTATGAGTCCCTCCCTCCTCTCCAGGGGAGAGGGCCAAAACTCCACCTGGCAGCCACCCTTGCAGCTGGAGCAGCCATGTGACATAGACTCCATCAAATAGATGCATGTATTCCAAGCACACAAAGTGAGGATAGGGGTGCTAGAAGGAGTGGGGCATTGGTGCGATGGCAGAGCCTCAGCTATGCAATCCCAGAATCATGAGTGGGAAAAGCAGGGTCTGTGCTGAGCACAGCGGCAGCAGCAGCAACAGTGGGGTCTTCACTGGGGCGGTCCTGTGGGATGGGTTGGGTCTTGCTTCTGGCTGAAATAGCCTCAGAGCCTGACACTCTCTGCCTTCCTTCTCCCTCACCCCCGAGATTCTTGCACTTTCTAATATCCTTTCAAACATGCATTTTTCTGCTAAAATTGGTTAAAATGGATTCTGCTGTTTCAACAAGAGCCCTGTTACAGTAATCAGTATCAGGAGTGGTCTGAGGCAGCCAAACACTCAAGGAAATGAAAATTAAGGATGAATTTTCTGGCATGGTTGGATCTCAAGTCAAGAGAATACAGTTAAAAAAGAGGATCAGGCTCTGACAGTGCATGTTCTTATGTGCGTAAATCCAGCCTCTGCACTATCACTGGGATGTCTGGAAACAAAATGTCCCTGGAAGGTAAAGCTTTAGGGAACCCCATAGCCATCGTCCTCAACAGTGTGATGAGCATGCAGAATTCAAGGACCATGAGTGGTAGTGGTCAGAGGACGATGGTCTCCACTTCTTCATGCTTCTCCAAAAGGAGTATGCATCCTTGTCACAAAGGGATCACGCATGCATCCTGAGCCTGCAACTTCCCAGTGCTTCCCAGTAGGGTAAGCGGCTTTATCACCCTTATCCCATTAATGGTCTGACTCAAAGAAAACATTTAAAAACAGAATGTGGGCCGGGCAGTGGCTCATGCCTATAATCCAAGCACTTTGGGAAGCTGAGGGAGGCAGATCACGAGGTCAGGAGTTCAAGACCAGCCAGACCAACATGATGAAACCCTGTCTCTACTAAAAATACAAAAAAATTAGCTGGGCGTGGTGGCGCGCACCTGTAATCCCAGCTGCTCAGGAGGCTAAGGCAGAAGAATCGCTTGAACCCTGGAGGCGGAGGTTGCAGTGAACGAAGATGGCACCACTGCACCCTAGCCTGGGCAACAGAGAGAGACTCTGTCTAAAAAAAAAAAAAAAAAAAAAAAAAAAACCAGACAGTGTAGGCAACCCTTTGAGGAGCTTTGCTGTAAAGGGAAACAGAGAACAGAGCCCTAGCTGGAGGGGTCATTTTCATGGCCTTGGTCTTGAGAATCACCAATAAAGATGTAACTCTACTTCACCTGGAGGAAGACCGTGGTGATGCTAACTCTTCTTCTCAGCTCCGGCTCCACCCTTTTTCCACCCCTCTCATTCACTTTTTTGCTGGGGAAGAAGAAAGATCTCTGGTTGGAAATTTTGGGAGCAGCCGGTGGTGTGCAGGTAAATGTTCAACAATTGGTTCTCTGGGGCAAAAGTTTCAATTTGCAGCATTTGATAACTTCTGTAGTGTAAAGATACCCATTTCAGCAGGGCTGAAATGTCGGTACCAAGCTACCGACAAGGTAGCTGAGAAGGTCACTGAACCTGGAGCTGAGATATGCACAAGCCGGTGCTAGCCAACTCTGCTGAGAGTAGGCATTGCACCAGGATAGCCCAGCCCCTTTACTCCCTTTCTCCTTGGGAGCTGACTGCCTGCAGGAAATACACATTCTCCTCCCCATGCCCTACCACCACACACACACACACACACACTGAGGGTCTTCCGGGCATAGTCCTGTGTGTGCAGAGGCCCAGGGTGGCCCCACACTGCTGGTGGCTGGGTATTTCTAACTCTGGGGTTCGGTAGTAGGAAATCTGCTTACCCACAGAAAAAAAAGGCACAATCTCCAAAAATCAGCTTCATCAGCAACAAAGGTGACATCTTGCTCTTCCATTTGCCTTACTCTTTTGTCCTATTTCTCAACTCGTTCAGAACTTGGCAAGGAAGAGTAATATTTTCTTGGGCCTCTTCACATTCCAACAGAAGGAAGAGAAAGGAAAGTATTCCTACAGGTGCGAGGGCATTAAAATCATTTTGTCTCCAAATTAAATTCTCTAGCAGTAAACAGGCATACATGGAAAATCCCAAGCTGTTGCCTAGAGGGTTAACCTTGTTATAGTATAATAATCTCTATAGTTTTAATTTCTCTGTGGCTTTAAGGATTAAATGAGATACTATATAGGAAGGATCTAACACAGGCCTGGCCTAAATAGTAAGTGCTCAATAAGTGTTTGCTGAATTTTCCTCTAAATCTTGCATGATGAATTTTCCTCTAAGTCAACATCTTGCACTGCTCTTTTTCAAGTTGTGGAGGAGAAATTAAGCAACTTGTTTTCTGTTTTTTCAAGTTGGCATTTCATGTTGAAGCCTTCACTGAATGAGTTATCATTTCTTGGGCCTTTGGGCGTTGCTCTCAAAACCAATAAATAACTCAATTAGGCTGCACGTGGTGACTCACGCCTGTAATCCCAGCACTTTGGGAGGCTGAGACAGGAGGATCACTTGAGCCCAGGAGTTTAAGACCAGCCTGGGCAACATAGTGAGAACTTGTCTCTACAAAAGAATAAAAATAGCCAGGTGTGGTGGCATGTGCCTGTAGTCCCAGCTACTTGGGAGCCTGAGACAGGAGGATTACTTGAACCCAGGAGTTGGAGACTGCAGTGGGCTATGATCATGCCACTGCATTCCAGCCTGGGTGACAAAGTGAGTCCGCGTCGGAAAGACAGAAAGAAAGAAAAAGAAAGAAGGAAAGAAAAGAAAAGAGAAAAAGAGAAGAGAAGAGAAAGGAAGGAAGGAAGGAAAGAAGGAAGGAAGGAAGGAAAGGGGAGGGAGAGAGAGAGAGAGAAAGAAAGAAAGAAGAAAAAGAAAAAGAAAGAAACAAAAAAGAAAGAAGCAAAAAGAAAAAGAGAAGGAAGGAAGGAAGGAAGGAAAGAAGGAAACAAATAAATCTGGGGCTTCTAATGCCATCAGTAAGTTAAATGAGCATGGATGAGATTCCATTCTATGCTCAGCAGAAAGGTAAATGGCAATGAATTACATGACAACCTCCACTGTGCCCTGTGTGCACCTCCACAGCATCAATGTTAGAGAGAACTGGTGCTTTTAGGTGAAGGACACGTGGGGGCAGCTGCCTGTTTTCCATGAAGCAGCCTGTGCTGTCACTGCACTACTCATCTTCAAATTAGAGTCCGCACCAAGCTCGACTTTCCATGGAGCACCCAGTGACCTAGCCATTCCCTAGAAGGTTATTTCATATTTCATCGGCTTTCTATGCACTGGCTTCTAGTGCTCTATTTGTTAAAAAAATAATAATAATCAATCCCCAAAATGTACTCCCTCCCACCCCCAATAATTTCCATTCATATTGGACTTGATTATTTAAATTTAATTTGTTAGAAGTTCAATATTTTATTTTGCATGATTAGCCTTTTAATCAAGTTGTGAGAGTTCAAAAATATTCACACTATTGCATTTCTTTTTATTGGTTTGGGGGTTTTTTTGTTTTTGTTTTTGTTTTTTTTGCTTTTTTGGAGTTTGTTTGTTTGTTTGAGAGAGGGTCTCACTCTGTCCCCCAGGCTGCAGTGCAATGGTCCAATCTTGGCTCACTGCAGCCTCAACCTCCCAGACTCAGAAGATCCTCTCGCTTCAGCCTCCCTGGTAGCTAGGACTACAGGTGCACACCACCAGACCCGGCTAATTTTTCGCCATGTTGCCAAGGCTGGTCTCAAATTCCTAGGCGACCCACCTGCCTCAGCTTCCCAGAGTGTTGAGATTACAGGCGTGAGCCACCACACCCAGCCTATTGCATTTCTTAACACAATACGTATACTTTATTTTTTTAAATGCAATGTTGTCCTAGTCCTTGCAGGCTGCTATAACACAGTATCATAGACTGGGTGGCTTACAAATAACAAAAAAACATATTTCTCACAGTCCTGGAGCCTGAGAAGTTCAAGATCAAGGAACTGGCAGATTCAATGTCTGGTGAGGGCCCCTTTCCGGGTTCACAGAGGACAACTTCTTGCTGTGTCCTCACTTGGTAGAAGGGATGACCAAGCTCCTTCAGGCCTCTTTCCTAAGGGCCTGAATCCCTATGACCTAATCACTTCCCAAAGGCCCCACCTCTGAATACCATCGAGTTCGTGGTTAGGATTTCAACACATGAATTGGGGTGGCGGGGAGCACACAAGCATTCAGACCATAGCAAATGTAAAGAATTTGTCTACAAGAAAATCCACACATTGGTCATGCTCTCGTCTTCATCTGTGTCCCTGATTCTTTCATTTCTGTTGGCATCCAGCAGCATGATGGACTTTGTATGGAAGTGCTGAGCAAGAGGCCAGCACTTCAAACAGTGCAAGACACTTAGGGGCTCAGGGCGTAGATGCATGAGGAAATGAGCAGCTTAATAAGCTACATGGATAGCTGTGGGTGCCAGCCCAGTTCCTCATCCCCACTGCTCATGCTCAGACCTGGGAAAATGTGGGGAAGATATATGGGGACCCTGGTTACCTCTAGACAGCTGCATCCTAATATAAATACTCAATCTGCCCATTTACTCTTCCTTCCCCTCTCCCAGGATCTCCCCAGTACACTCAAGAGTGAAATGGGCTATGGGCTGACCTTCCATTAGCCTCTGGAGAAATGAAGACTTATGCCCTGACTTAAGAAGTGTCTAGAAAACTATGAATACATAAGCATAGCTCATTGTTTGATATAGTGTATATTTTGTCATGCAAGTGATTGATGCCTGTTGAAAATGAGAGTAGCTCAAGTGTAAACAAGGATCCACATGGCCCATGGCAATGTCTTCATCACAGAACCAATCCTGTAACACTAACAATGACGATGAGGTTAGGGGACACTCGCTATGTGCCAGGCCCTCTCTAACCATCCTCCCTGCATTAATTCATGTGATTCTCACACTTCTCTAAGAAGTAGGAACTATTTTTCTCTAGTTCTTGATTCTCTTATTTGTAAAATGGAAAGAATATTTGTTTCCATTTTATTTTAATTTATTTATTTATTTATTTATTTATTTATTTATTTATTTATTTCCTGAGACAGGGTCTCACTCTGTCCAGCAGGCTGGAGTGCAGTGGCACGATCACAGCTCGCTGCAGCCTTGACCTCCCTGGACTCCCATCTCAGCCTCCCAAGTAGCTGGGACTACAGGCGTGCGCCACCATGCCTGGCTAATGTTTTTGTATTTTTTGGAGATGGGGTTTCACCATGTTGCTCAGGCTATTTGTTCCCATTTTATAGGACATTTTAAATTTTTTTTTTTTTTTTTTTGAGACAGAGTCTTGCTTTGTCGCCCAGGCTGGAGTGCAGTGGCGCGATCTCGGCTCACTGCAAGCTCTGCCTCCCGGGTTCATGCCATTCTCCTGCCTCAGCCTCCCGATTAGCTGGGACTACAGGCGTCCGCCACCACGTCCGGCTAATTTTTTGTATTTTTTAGTAGAGATGGGGTTTCACCATGTTAGCCAGGATGGTCTCGATCTCCTGACCTCGTGATCCGCCTGCCTCGGCCTCCCAAAGTGCTGGGATTACAGGCGTGAGCCACCGTGCCCGGCCAGGACATTTTAAATCTTATGTAATAGGATTTTTGTAGAAATTTAATGAGTTCATACATGCCATGTAGTAAGCACTTGATATGTATTCGTTTTTAATATTTTATTATTGATACTGTCTCCATTTTACAGGTTAAGAAACCGAGACGCAGAGAAGTTAA
Organism: Homo sapiens; assembly: GCF_000001405.40. NCBI lineage: Eukaryota > Metazoa > Chordata > Mammalia > Primates > Hominidae > Homo > Homo sapiens. The sequence continues at coordinate 105,383,716 of NC_000012.12, read as the reverse complement.
GTAAATTGCCCAAGTTACACAGCTAGTAAGTGGCAAAGCCAGAACATAAACTTCCTGCTATTATGAAGACACTGCTGAATCCTGCAATCCATGAATATCTGTGTTAAGGAAAGTGAGAGATGGATTACTCCTGCCAATAATAAAGGGGGGAAAACAAAGCTGCTATTAGAAGATGAGTCCACCAGGGGGAAGTAGATGCATGCATTACTTAGGCATGACGCTAGCCCGGGGAATTTTTTTTAAGACGTTAAATATTAAAAGTTTAATCACCGATTTTACGCCAATGGTGAAGGAAGAACTTGATTCAAATTATTTTCCTATTACCTGAAAGTGCAGAGGATTAAAAATGACCACGCACGTAAAATTGACAGGTAAACTGTCAAGTAAATGAAAGGGCTTCCCCCAACAAGCCGGAGATAAATGGTGGTTGTTCACTCCCGCGAGCCTGACCCTGTGTTAGCGCTGGGGATCAGGAGGACAGGCATGAAGTTCACTGAACAGCGAGAGGCAAAGACCCACCACACCACTCCCCCACTCTCCACTCACCCTGATTCTGTGTTAAAAGGTGAATGAGATGGTCTGGGCCAAAGCGTGCAGGCTTGGTCTCCAGTGCTGGCAACAGACAGGGAAAGAAGTCAGTGGGCTCAGTGCACATGTGAAGCAAATGAATGAAACTGAATTTGGAAAACAGAGTGACAAGTGTTATCTTGGGGCGGATATGCCACGAAGTATAGGAGTGCAGGAGAGGGAGGGAGCGGTCCTGCCTAGAGATGACATCAGAAACCAGCTTTTACAAATGCAGAACAGCTGGCCGGTCAGATGGAAGGAAGTGGAAAATAGTCCAGAAGAAATACTCTGGACAATGGTTTCGGAACATGGAAGGTCCTCATGCCTTTGGAAAATAATAAGAAAAAGGATTGACTGTGGAATGAGTCAGAAAGAAGGAGAGATTAGCTCTCCCTGTTCACGCCACCCACCCTGCCCCCAAGTAAGAATACAGTCAAGACGGGCAGTAGAATAATCATTTTCTTTGGGGGAAGGGGGCTTATATACTTCTGATTACAAAAGCCTCATTTTAAACATTTTGGAAAAATACATAAGGAATTTGCATTTCATCACAAACAGAAAGCCAGTATTTCCTGTCTCTCTTATAGATATACTATATTTGTGTGTATATATGTACATGTGTATACAAATATACATATATGTACGTGTGTATATATACATATATGTACATGTGTGTATATATGTACATGTGTATACATATATATGTACATGTGTATATATATGTACATGTGTATACATATATATGTACACATGTATACATATATACACACATTCATATATATCTGGGATAATTCTATACAAAATTTAATATCTTTGTTTTGTGAAATAGACAATGCACATTTTCCCATTAAATTACGCATAAAAGTATAATTTTGATGACTCTACAATATTCCTTTGTATAGCTGATTCATAATTTTTAAGCAGCCCTTTATTGTTGGACACTATATGGTTTCCAACTCCCCTTTACTATAAGCAACTTTGATGAACATTCCTTTTGTAAGTCTCTACATCTCATTATACACACACACACACACACACACACACACACACACACTTTTTTTGAGACAGGGTCGCCCAGGCTGGAGTGCAGTGACGCGAGCATGGCTCACTGCAGCCTCGACCTCCCAGGCTCAAGCAATCCTCCCACCTTAGCCTCCTGAGTAGCTGGAACTACAGATAAGAGCCACCACACCAGGCTACTTTTTGTATTTTTTGTAGAGACCAGGTTTTCCCATGTTGCCCAGGCTGGTCTCAAATTCCTGAGCTCAAGTGATCTGCCCGCCTCGGCCTCTCAAAGTGCTGGGATTACATGAATGAGCCAACGCACCTGGCCTTAAATGTTCTTGATTCAAATTGCCAAACTGCTCTCTAGAAAGGTTTTAGTAATTGAAACTTCCAAGCAAAGATGAGAGTGACCATTTGGCCACATTCATGCCAAGGCTGCGAATTATCATATTTAGTATCTTGTCACTCAAAAAAATACTTATTAGGCATTTACTAGGTGGTAGGCTCTGGGCTGGGTGCTGAGATACAGCAATGAGCAAGTGAGATAAGGAATTCCTGCTTCCTGGAGTTTCCATTCTTGTGCAGGAGGCTGTCAGTAAACAAGGGAAATCAGTAAAGTATGCAGCATGTTCATTGTAAATGCTAATGAGAAAAATAAATCTAGCAATAACAACTGGAAGTGTTGGGTGAAAGGGGCGTGAATTTTAGATGGGGTGGGCAGAGAAGGGCTTACTGGGGAGATATGAGTAAAGTGCTAAATAGGGAGATGGCGTGCAAATATCTGGAGGACAAGATTGCAGACATGAGGGATCGGCAAGTGAGAAGGTGTGAGATGAGAGCCTGGTTGGCAAGTTCGAGGTAAAGCAAAATCAGTGTGGCCGAAGAAAGGCAGAGAGGAGAAGAGTAATGTGTGTAAGTGATGTCAGAGGAGTAACCGAAATCAGAAGGGGAGGAGGAGATAGATGTGTTATGGAGGACCGTGTGGAATTCAACTTTCCCTGGAAGAGAAGGGGAGCACTGGAGGGTTTGACTTGGAATTTAACAAGATCCCTCTCGCTGCTGTGTTCAGAACAGGCTGAGGTGGGCTAAGGAACGAAGGAGGCTAGTGCCGTAATCTAGGATGGAGATGATGGTGGCAATGGAATAGACGTGATGGGGATGGTGAGAAGAGATTGAAATCTAGAGACGTGAAGGTGGCACGTGCACCTACAGGATTTGCTGATTCGGGGATGGGGGAGAGCTAAGAAAGAGTCAGGGTGAGTCCCAGCTTTTTGACCTGAGCAGCTTGGAGAATGAAGTTGCCATTTACTAAGTTGGAGAAGTTGGCAAAGGAACAAAACAGAACAGGGGTAGAGGGTGGAGATCAAGACCTCAGATATGAGCTTATTAATATGAGATACGGTTTAAGACATCCTAGTAGAGACACCAAGTAGACAGTTGGATAGAGGACTGAAGCTTAGGGAGAGGTCAAGGCTGAGGGCACACAGGAATTAACAGCACATAGAATGGACAGAAAAGAGGATCTGTCCAAAGATGAAGGCTGTGGGCACGCCTGTGTTCAGAGGTTTGGATGCCAGAAGGAATCAGCAAAGGATACTGAGGACGAGCAGACAGAGAGGCAAGAAAACAATCAAGAGAATGCGGTGACCCAGAAGCCAAGTGGAGAAGTCTCAGGGAGGCTGGAGGGATCAGGATTAAGATGAAGACTAAGAATTGACCATTAGATTAGCAATAAGGAGGCCACTGGTGCCCATGAGAACCAGTCTTAGTGGAATGAGAGGAGCAAAGACCTGACTGGAGTAGGTTCAAGAGAGAAAGTGGAGACAGTGATTATAGACTAATCTTATTAGGAGCTCTGATGGCAAAGGAAGGAGAGAAAGGGGCATTTGATCGAGAGACGGTTCTTTTTTTAGGACGGGAGAAATAAAATAATGTTTGTATGATGATGGAAATAATCCTGTAGGCGGGAAGAACTGGTTGGAGAATTGTTGGGGCAAAGTGCTTGGTTGGGTGCAAGAGGATGGGATGCAATGCGGGAAAGGGGGAGCAATGGTACCCATCGTGGGGGAAGCTCGATTGTTTCTTTTTTTTTTTTTTTTTTTTTTTTTTTTTTTTTTTGAGACGGAGTCTCGCTGTCGCCCAGGCTGGAGTGCAGTGGCGCAATCTCGGCTCACTGCAGGCTCCGCCCCCTGGGGTTCACGCCATTCTCCTGCCTCAGCCTCCGGAGTAGCTGGGACTACAGGGGCCCGCCACCTCGCCCGGCTAATTTTTTGTATTTTTAGTAGAGACAGGGTTTCACCGTGTTAGCCAGGATGGTCTCGATCTCCTGACCTCGTGATCCGCCCGCCTCGGCCTCCCAAAGTGCTGGGATTACAGGCGTGAGCCACCGCGCCCGGCCGATTGTTTCTACATTGTTTCTACATTGTTAGTGAGATAGGAAGCAAGGGTGACAGCTGAGAGTGAGGATGAGAGGATGTGTTGGAGGTTTGAGGAAAAGCTAGAAGATAGGAAATAGTCATCTAAGGAAAGAAAGAATGAATGGGCTCAGGAAATAGAGGGTGGTGCCCCGGCAGCATTATGGACCCACTGGAAGTCCCTGTCTGTGTGGTTGTCTATGCAGCCATATCACCAGGGCACATGCATGCAGTGACATGGCTTCAACCAGGGTTGTAGTCAGGCAAGTGATTACAAAAGAGAGGGAGGCAAAGGAGGGATGACACTGAGCGACCTTGGTGTTTAAGCTGAGGAAGGAGGGACAGGAAAGGCTAGCAGTGAAAACAGCAATGAGTGGCCCCCAAGGCCAAAAGATGGCTGGAGTCAGAGATGGAAAGAGAGGAGATAGCGGCCGGAGTGTGGGATCTTAGAAACTGCCCTTGAGAGAAGCTGTAGTTATGGATAATAACGCTGGGTGTCAGGATGGGAGCAGATGTCAGGGGCTTGGTGGAGAACAAGTTCACTGGAGAAGGGAAAGGTCAAAGAGCTGGGAGGCCAGGGCACCGCATGGTTCCTGCATGTGGGTGTGGAAATCATCAAGGAATCATGTCGGTCACAGTGACCAAGAACAGAAGTCCTCATGGACCAGCAGCCCCCGCGGTCCAGCTGACAGCCACAGGAGGGCAGTGGGCAGTTTCAATTGATGGGTGAAAACTGTCTCTCATTTTTTATTCCCAATCATTTGACTTTAATGACACTCAATTCCCTCCTATGACTCATGGCCATTTATATTCCTTTTACAAATTGTCTTTTTAGTTCCTTTGTTAGTAAGTCTCTTAGGCCCTTCATCTAAGAGCTCTTTACAAAGCACATTACCTCTTTGTCCGTCACAAACGTTCCCTTGTTTCCCAGCCATTTGCCTTTTATATGTTTCCAGGCTTTATATATATATATATATATATATATATATATATATATATATATATATATATATATATATACACACACACACATACACAGATGTTCTCGTGTTTTTCCATCATCAGGTCTACCAATATTTTACTTTATAAAATCAGCCTCATGTGCCATTCACATAAATCTGTTTCCCAATGGTCAGATAGAACCATTCACCAATATTTTCTTCAGTTTTATGGTTTTATCGTTTATGTTCAAATCCACTCAATTGTATTTATAGGATAGTACGTAATATGTGGCATTTCTCCATGTAACTATTTAACTATTTCCAGCACCATTTAAAAAAATAACTTTCTTTACATTCCAATGTATGACATAATCATATGCAAAATTTATACTTATAGTATATGTATGTGCTTCCTCTTCTGTTCCATCCATCTATCCATTCCTGTCCCAGTCTTCCTCTGGCTATTGTGGGTATATTAAAGCTCTGATATTCAGTAAGGTATGTTCTGCTTGTCACTTCCACTCTCTCAATTGACATATTTTATGGCTGTAACTACACTAAAGCTATTATATAGACAGAAAATAATTTGTTCCTAAAGGATACAATCTCTTTATATCACTCCCTCACAAGAAATACCACCTTTAGGGAAAGAATTAGGAAGTTCAGGTTATAGATTTCATTCTTTGCTCCAAACAGAACCTACATCAGTTATAAAAATATACCTAAGCCAACAGTTATAACAGACCTAAATAGGAGAGAGTTTCTGTTAATAGACTATCTGCCTAATACAAAATTAATATCCCCAGACTCTCTTCTCTGCTCCCATTGGCTCCATTTCTATGGGAATCTGTGCTTGTGAGAGTATGATTATTCTACCCATTTGCTAAATACCTCATTCAGCACTCTTTGCATGTGCTTTCGAGGACACCAGACTCTCCTTGGTTTTCTCTGTCTTTTTCTGGCTACTTCAGCACTGACACTTCATCTTCCAGAGTCTAAACACTGAGTGGCCAGACCTAGCTCTTCAAACTCTTCTCCATCTACTCACTCTGCTGGAGGTCCCAGCAGCCCTATGGCTGCAAATATTCTTTACCTAATTGATAGCCAAATATACACCCATGCATGCACACCAAAAAATGATACCTCAGCTCTGACCTCTCTCCTGATATCTTGCCTTCCTATTCTATGCTTCCCCTTTAAAGTCAAAGATGCATCTCAAACTTAATGTGTCCAAGTCACCTGACCACGCCCCATACCTACTCCTCCCACAGTCTTCACCATCTCAGCAAATGGCAACCTTATTCTCCTAGCGGTTCAGCCAAGATCTTTGTATTACTCCTTAATTCTTTTTCCACTCTTGCACCCCATAGCTAACACATCAACAAATTCTGTCCACTCGATCTTCAAAATCTATCCAGAATCTGACCACTTCCAATACTGTCACCCTGTTCCAAAGTCTTGTCCTCCTTCCTATTCTAACAGCCTCCCAAGGGATCCCCCTGCTCCCATCCTCACCCGACACCTGACAAACTTGGTTCGAGCTTAGATCACATGACTCCTCTCCTCCAAACCACTCAAGGGCTGGATGATTTCCCAAGGTGAAAGCCACCCGGGAAATACATCTGATGGTCTACAAGAGATCAGATCTTCCTCCAAATCTCCCTCCCAGCAGCCCTTTGACCTCTCCTATTACTCTCCTATTTGCAATCTTTGCCCTGCCACACCAAATTCTTGGCTCTTCTGCAAATAAGCCAGACACACTCTTGCATAAGGCATTTTAACCTGTCCTTCTTGGAACATCTTCTGCTGGATACCTGCAGGGGTGGCTACTTCTCCTTCAGGTCTTTGCCTTCACAGGACATCTTTCCAGGGAGTAATTCCCTGATCATTCTGTTTAAGATGAAAATTGCAATGCCCACCTTCCCAGCTGGCTATTTCCTCTTCTCTGGTATTATTGTAACAATTACATATATATTATTTATTCATTTGCTATGCCTTCCCTCTGTAGAACATAACCCCAGGATGACAGGAACTTTTTTCTGATTTGTTCACTGTTGCATCTCAAATCTCTAAAACAATGCCAGGCATATAACAGATACTCAGGGAAAATTGTTGGTGAAAGATATGAATAAATGAATTCTGCTAACCATCTTAGAAGAGAATTAGAATTCATTTTATCCCATTGAAAATTTCTGAGGTACAGAAAAGCCAACTAACTTCCCAAAGGCCCTAAAAATAATTCCAAAGATACTGCTGCTCTTAAGAGAGATGACACTGTAGATGCCCAAAAGGTCTGTGTCTGGGGAGAAAGTCACAAATTATTTCACTTTTACACAAATACAAGGCCTTTTCTTCACGGTGGGTCCCTGAGGCTTGACTACAAGAATAAAAAAGAATATACAAAGACCCTGCCTTCTAAGGAGTCTGCAGTATTTTAATATTAAATATTTGGAGAAGAAGCAAATTATATAATTGAGTACTACATTATCTAAGTGTCAGAGACTTCACTAATGGAGAAAGAAATTTGTCTTTTTTTTTTTTTTTTTTCTTTTTTTGAGCTAGAGTCTCACTCTGTCACCCAGGCTGGAGTGCAATGGCACAGTCTCGGCTCACTGCAACCCCGGGCCTCCCGGGTTCAAGTGATTCTCCTGCCTCAGCCTCCCGAGTAGCTGGGACTACAGGCACTTGCCACCACACCTGGCTAATTTTTTTTATTTTTAGTAGAGACAGGGTTTTGCCATGTTAGCCAGGCTGGTCTCGAACTCCTGACCTCGTGATCTGCCCGCCTTGGTCTCCCAAAGTGCTGGGATTATAGGCGTGAGCCACCACACCCAGCCAGAAATTTGTCTTAATGGAATAGTTTTGTGAAAAAAGACATAAGAAGCCGAGAACGGTGATGTACACCTGTGATCCCAGCTACCTGGGAAGCCAAGGTGGGTGGATTGCTTGAGGTCAGGAGTTCGAGACCAGCCTGGCCAACATGGTGAAACCCCGTCTCTCTACTAAAAATAAAAATAAAAAAATTAGCTGGGCATGGTGGTGCACGCCTGTAATCCTAGCTACCTGGGAGGCTGAGGTGGGAGGACTGCTTGAACCCAGGAGGTGGAGGTTGCAGTGAGCCGAGATCACACCACTGCACTCCAGCCTGGGCAACAGAATGAGACTCCACCTCAAAAAAAAAAAAAAAAAAAAAAGACATGGGAGAAATACGTGAAGCAACAAGATAACCCCAACATTGTCACAAACCTAAACCAAGCAGCTGATGATTATACCTGCTGCTGGGATAGGCATGGCCCTGCCCTAATGGAATGTTCCTGACACACTCATTGCCTGGCTACATCTACCCCGACATGATGCACCTGAAAATTCCAAGTAGTTTATATAATATTATAGATTAAATGGGAAAGCTACACCTTCATAAGACATGGAAAGTACTGCAAGTACTTATCATGCCTACTAGAGAGACAGACCCACAAACCAGGCACTGGAGGGGAAACTAAGACCAGTCATGACGGCCCTTAAGCACCTAAGCTCCATGACAGCTTCATTCCCCAGTGGCTTCTCACAGGCTTCAGAAGTTCAAAGGTGACCCTCCAGGCTCCACGCAAGCTCACCTTGCCTGCCTCTCCCATCCCATTACCATCACCTTCCACCCAGCCAGGCTCAACTCCTAGCATTTCCCAGGTTATGCCAAGAGCGTTCCAGGTGTCTCTGCACCTGTGGTTCTCAGCCTGAAGCTGCTTTCTTCCTTGATCTATGCTGGCAAACTCACACCTTCCCTATGGCTCTGCACCAGGGACTGCCCTCTGGGAAGTCTTCCTTCGTCCACCATCCTGACTTAGGCGTCCCTGCTCTGTGGTCCCGAAGCAATCTCTACCAGCCCCGGCCACTGCTCTAGATGTTCCTTACAGGCTACCCAGAGTATCCACCACTCATGTGAAGAGCCTTGAGTGCATGGATCGGGTCTTTCAGCTGTACCCCAGTAACCATTGCCCATCAGGGGCACAGCAAGAACTCAACTGGTGATGGTTGAGAAACAACGGAAAATCAGAACTGGGTACTGGGACAAAATCTACGAAAAGCACCTCATCCTTCTGTACTGCTTGAATTGATCAGGTGCATCAAGTATATGTAAATAAGTAAATGCAAACGATCTTCCTGGGAATGAGTTCCTTACATAACTTTTCCACACCAGAAATTCTTCCCACCCTTGGGCATGGATACAGTACAGATACACTAGCTCCCATTTGCAAAACTAAGCCTGTTTTCTCTTCCTCTTCAAACTCTTTTAACAATTCAAAAAACCAGAAAGGCAACTCCCCACTGTATTAACTTAGTGCCTTCTATCATTTTGCCTCTCTCCCCAGAGCCTAGTCCAGATCACTTTCCAACAGGCCAGCATTCTTCAATAGCACCCCAGAAGTCAGCTGTACTTGTCAAAACCAGAGTTTTCTACATTCCAGAGTTCCAAGCAGGTCTCCAAAACTAAATTATAGCTGTCTTCTTTAACTGAGTCTAGCAATGAGTGCCTTCTAGCTTAGAAGGTTTCTTAAGAAAACCTTTTTTATTCAGACAATCTTATCAATCAGAAAATCTCAGAAACTCATCTCTTCATTGTATTTTTCAATAATAATCTTGCGAAGAAACCATATATTGTTTGAAAAGGCATTAACTCTTAAATATCAGGCATTTTTAAGGCTTTACCCATCTCTTTTTCTTCTGAAATGTTTTAATGTTATTTATTCTTCTCTGAGTTCTTCACTCAAGTTTCTTGCAGTACTTATTAAAAATTATAGTCATTAGCTTTAAGATATAGGTTAAGTGGGTGGCAAGTAAGAATCACAAGGTTCTAAATTTTAAAAATGTCTAGTTGAAGAAAAATGCCAAGACTTATCACAATATGGAAATTACTATCCAGTTATGATGAAAAGTGATGAAGTTTTAGGAATGTGTTTTAAACAAACTTTTGAATTGGATTTTTATTTTAGAGGCCTGTTTGTTACTAAAAATCAACCAAAGGTGGAGGCAGTGGAGGTGGGGGGCAGGATGGAGCATGTCAGAGCCAACCTGAAAAAGCTCCCAGAAGCCAAAGCTGGAACAATTTGAGCAACAAAATAGCAAGAGTATTGGATTATAACCTAAAAGACAAAATAAATATCCAAAAGCCCATACTGATGAAAATGAATGACTGAATAAGTAAATGGGGGAAAAATGGACAAATGTTCCTTAGAGAAGAATTCCAAATAATACAGGTAGAGGAACGAGGGAAATAGAAAGTCACATTTTTATGCCACATAACAGATGCTGCAGACAACAGCCAAGGATGAACCTGAAAATTAGTGGGCAAAACTCTAAGGAGAAACAGGGTATTTGCAGAGTCTCAAACTATCTTCTCCAAATTACTTATTAATTACCGTGGTGCCTTTAAGAGTCCAAAAATTCCTTGATACTCTTTTCTCCAGGAGGTGAAGCTTGATTCCCCTGTCCTTGAGTGTGGTCTCAACTTAGTGGTTCATTTATCACTTATAAGGAGCAGGGGATGAAAACGGAAAACTAGAGGCCAGGTGCTGTAGCTCACACCTGTAATCCTAGCACTTTGGGAAGCCAAGGCAGGAGGATTGTTTGAGGCCAGGAGTTCAATAATAGCCTGGGCAACAGAGCGAAACCCCACCTCTACAAAAAAAATTTTAATTAGCTGGGTGTGGTGGCATGCACCTCTAGTCCCAGCTACTCAGAAGGCTGAGGCGAGAGGATCACCTAAGTCAAGGAGTTTGAGGCTGCAGTGAGCTGTGATCGTGCCACTGCACTCCAGCCTGGGCAACACAGCAAGCCCATCTCCAAAAAAAAAAATAAATAAATAAATAAAAAACTTGAAACTTTATCAAAGAGAAAGCTGCCAGATATCACCTAGTCAAGTGATGAAGGTCAATATCAGCAGTAATAAGTCATGTTGAGATCATGAGATATAATGATATGCTCTAATGAGGGGGCCACTTTACCTCTGTGGTCCTCTTCCCACCAATCTCTGTTCCAGAGACAGGGTCTTGTTCTGTGGCCCAGGATGGAGTGCAGTGGTGCGATCACAGCTCACTGCAATCTCAAACTCCGGGGCTCACGCAATCCTCCCACCTCAGCCTCCTGAGTAGCTGGGACTATAGGTGTGTGCCACCACACCCAGCTAATATCTCTTCCTAAAAATCTACAACCCCAGTCCAATCATAAGAGAACAGACAAATTCAAATTAAATGCACTACAAAATATGTAATCAGTAGGCTAAAAAAGTGTCAAGGTCATGAAAAACAAGGAAAGACGAAGAAAGTACCAGGAAGGGGAGACTAAGGAGACAAATGGAGAATAAGGAAACAGGATGATCAAGTGCAACAGAATGCAATGGAATCTTGGATTTGATCCTGAAACAAACAAAAAGGACATTAGTAGAAAAACTGATGTAATCTAATTAAAGGCTGTAGTTTATCACATTGTACCTATGTTTAATTTCTTCTGACAAATGTACTGTGGTCATGCAAGATTAACATCAGAAGTAGCTGGGTTAAGCGCATACAGGAACTCTTCATATAATCTTTATGTGCTTCTATGGATCTAAAATTTTTTCAAAATTAAAAGTTTTTTAAAAGTCAATCTGGCCAGGTGCAGTGGCTCACACCTATAATCCCAGCACTTTGGGAGGCCAAGGCAGGTGAATCACCTGAGGTCAGGAGTTCAAGACCAGCCTGGCCAACATGGTGAAACCCCGTGTCTACTAAAATTACAAAAAATTAGTCAGGCGTGGTGGTGCACACCTGTAGTCCCAGCTACCTGGCAGGCTAAGGCAGGAGAATCGCTTGAACCCAGGAGGCAGAGGTTGCAGTGAGCCGAGATCATGCCATTGCACTCCAGCCTGGGAGACAGAGCAAGACTCCATCACCAAAAAAAAAAAAAAAGTCAATCTATCTGTTATTCCTAATAGGACAAACTGCTGATATTCCACCTAAATACCATTATGGACTTATGAACATGAGACAGGAATGTGTGTATCAGGATAATTTCTTAGTAATTCTTAGCTTTGAAATTTTTTATCAATTTGATGTCCCTGTGGTTGTCATACAGACCAAATATATAAGATAATGCCTTTCTTCCTATGAAAAACTTTGGTTTTTCTTAGTAATCTACTTATATATTATTATCTTCATATGTTTATATAATGTATCTATACATCACAATGCCATGTGTGACTTTAAGTGTTCTTTTGAAAAATAATTAAGAAATGTAAGTGAAGAGGGATAAAAATGTTTTAATTGTTGAAATACATTGGTGAATTGAGTAACTTACATTGCAATACTAAGTAGATACACAAGTCATTATCAAATTAATTTCCAGATATCCCACTAACCATCCATCGCAAGTCCTTGAAAAGTTATAGAAATAATATGATGAGATTGTCGTGATGTAGAATGAGCAACCCAAACAGCTATGAAGTATTTGTAGTTGCACATGCCTTTCACGAAAGAAAATAAAAATGTAATCAAAATGTGCATATGGCATGCAAATTTGAGTTTATTTTTAAATAGTGCAATGAAATACACATTGTTCCTAAAAAAGGAAATTCTGACATTTAAATGAAATTTGAAAACCAAATAGTAAGAAATGGAAAGAGATAGTTGTAAGAATCCATTTACCAATTTTACAGCTAAAAATTAAAGTGAAGTAGAAATAGCAAAAGATAACAGACAAATATATTATTTTAGGTCATTAATTTATAGTGCCTTATCATCTTAAGTTATAAATAGAATAAGGATTTTGTTATATAAAAACTATCAAAAAAGTATCAGTGAAAAGACATGACCTCCATGAAATGTGCTGAGTGGCCAGGGTGGAAATGTTGTCAAAATGCAGCGGCCCTGGCTGGGCAACAACAGCCTCCATGACAGTTTGTTAACTTGTCTTTCGTAGGTGGCCACAGAAAGTTCCATAAACAAGTGTACTGTTTAACCAATTCCCTTCTATTACCACAACAATATGTACCCAGGGTTTTATGTATACACTTAAGATTTGGGGGAATGCAAAAGGGAAGGGTGACTGTTTAGAATTTCCTTGGAAATGTCTGTGCACATTACAACGTCCCACGGAGCCAAATTCCTTCCAAACTGATGAGCAAGCTAAGGAGACAACAGAAGAGGAGAAAAGAGTGAGCAAACAGGTACAACTTAGGTTAAAAAATGTATTAGCCTTAAGCCTACAAGTTATTTACTTTCTTTTAAGTAAAACACCTATTTAATATTCACCCAATATTAATTTAAGACTTAGGTGGCCAGTGTAGAGCCAAGCATTGATGATAATTATATAAAGAGGCAAAGTTGGGTAGGAAAAGAGACTTACAAACTTACAATTAAAATACATCTTGATAAGCAATGCCCAAACCTAGCTGCATGTATATTAACATCATCCAAATTAAAAATAGAGACTGTTCGGTCACAATTCCATCCCTTCCCCACTTGGTCCAAACCTCCTGGGAGAGCCTAGGCCTCCACATTACATGGCACTCCCCCACGGGATTCTGATGCAGCCAGGCCATCCATTGTCATCTGAGCACCATCACTTAAGCCCCTCTGTGCTGGAAGTAGTCTGCACATCTAAGTGGGCATAACTTTCAGCCTAGGGTCATCTGCAGAAGAAACTACACATCTGCATCCTGACATAAGTAATTTTAAGGGATTCTGAAATCATTCCTCAATTTGTTTCAAAATCAACCAAACCAAATCAACTTTGAACTTTGGTCACTGAGTGCATTTAGTTCAGAGAGTCTACATGTTAGGTAAAAAACAAACAAACAACAACAACAACAAAAGTGTCTCCAATTCTTTCCATGAAACATCTCTTTTCTAAAGTCATCTCATCAGGGTTTCTGCCCAACAACTAAGGCCTAGAAAGCCATGAGTTCAGACATGTCACAGGTAAGGACCACAATGGATGCTTAGCATCTAAGGAAAATGGGCAGCCTATCAACTTAGAAAACTTTTCAGATAATTCAAAGGAGGCTACAGAAAGACCAGGATCAAACTAATTGTTTAGAGACAGCTAAACATCGCATGTTCTCACTCATAAGTGGGAGCTGAACCATGAGAATACATGGACACAGGGAGGGGAACATCACACAGCGGGGCCTGTTCAGGGGTTGGGGGAAAGGGGAGGGAGAGCATTAGGACAAATACCTAATACATGTGCGGCTTAAAACCTAGATGATGGGTTGATAGGTGCAGCAAACCACCATGGCACATGTTTACCTATGTAACAAGCCTGCACGTTCAGCACATGTATCCCAGAACTTAAAGTAAAATAAAAATAAAAATAAGTAAAATAAATAAAATGTAAGGGTAATAGAAAAAAAAGAAAGAGTTAAAGAATGGGGAAAGTTGAGGAGAGAGAGGGGTGCAATAAAATACGATAAATTTACAGCCATGAACAGTAAGAAATGTTTTAGCTAGCTGCCTAAAATTATATGAGCTTGCTCACCAGGATTATGCTAAAGTGTTAGTGGCAAACTTCAGATCCACCCACAAGGGTGAGCAATCATCGTGTCTAACACTCCCATGAGAAAACTGTGGTTGAGACAAGCTGAGGGAAGTTAAGGGATTCGTCTTAGGTCTGTGTTGGTAGCAGAGCTGCCCAGTCTCCTGATAGCTATGTAGACAGCACCTCTTTCCACTCTATTTCTATGCTTTTTGAAATACATTCTGTTTCCAGGAGGGTAAACAGCAGTATATTCTTGGTTTCAACTTATCTTTTCTATTTGATACAAATAATAAAAGTACTTCTGCACAGGAGAAAACTAGCGGAGAACTCAGAAATCTATATGGAGGGCTAGAACTATGTTAAAAATACTAGAAATAGAAACTCTCCAGTGACCTCCCAAGAAGAAACCGAATACCCTCTGTTCATGGGTACGAGGGGATAAAACTCCAAAATGTTGCCTTGATGAGCAAATCTTCAAAGAAGTAGCTACCCACAGATTGTTCTAGTTCTTGTCAGGAAGAAACTGGTTACAGTTTCTGCGTCTCCTTTCTCTAGCAGGTAAGTTTGTTTGTCTCTACCTGTGAAATTAGTCTGTAATCCCACCCCATCCCAAACAGCAAATCCAGTACTGGCCCTGGGCAAGAAGTTGGTTCAGTATCAAATCAGTCTTGCTTTTGGTCTGCCAACGGTTAGATTCTGGTTATCAAAAAAAATTAATAGTATGGTGGTGATGACGATGATGATAGCAGATGCTAACATTTATTTCATATTTAATCCTAACAACAACTCTTCAGTCTAAGTATTGGCTCCATTTTTCAGATAACAAAACTGAGGTCATAAAGGGGAAGGAACGTGCCCAGCTAGTAAATGAGAGCCTGAATTCATAACCAAGGCAACCTGACTTCCAGAATAGAACAGGCTATCTCAGGAGATAGGACGTTCCTAATCACTGGAGGCCTCAAAAGAGGTTGGGTGTCATTCACCAGGAGTGAAATACAGTGGAGAGCCCAGCATGGAATGTGTTGTTGGACCCTTGGTGGACCCAGTGAACTAAGATTCTTTGTCTGTATGGAAATGCTGCTCCATGTCTTTTAAAGACTGGTATGTAGGGTAGTTAACAAATGAAAGCTATTTTTCTCTTGTCGTTGTTCTTGTTTCTTATTATAATTCTAACTCCTAGCTCTTTGCCATGTCCATACTGAACGTGTTTTGTAAAACCAATCTGTTAACTTATTCTCTGATTCTTACTATTCCTTCCTGCATAACTACATCTCTGTTCAGTTAGATTAGAATCAATATTAAGTGTTTGGGACTTAATTGACCGATTGCCCATCTCTACTGGAGTTCTGGTACTGACACATCTCCTCTCTGTATATTAACCACTGGCTAATACCACTTAAAATCGATTCTAATCTAATCCCCAGTTCTAGCCTCTCTGGTCTCTCCCTGTCATTTCTCAAGTCCTAGGCCCTCAAAGATTTCTGCAATGAAGAAGGGTGAGATCTCAATGTTTTAGGGAGACACTTAGCTTGCTCTTATTAAATAAATATTCATTTTTAACAAAATGAAATGAAAAAAGTAGCTGAAAGAAAATTGATCTGATTATTCACCTCTATGCAATAAAACACACTCAATTCCATAGGATGAAACCCCTCCTTTAAATTGTAAAGTTCAAGATTTCTTAGAAATTTTTTATAGAGCAAATAATATCTACAGTCCATTCATCAATAAGTCTAAATATATAGAATTATTTAGAAAAATATACAGCACCTCTTGATTCTTGAGTCATGATGTTATTTTCTTCTAATCTTAAAGAGAAAATTAAGAAAAGTTAAATGTTCAGATTATAAATAGCATATTCTAATTTTCTATAGAACATTAAACAGTAATGACATACATGTATTTGCTAGTCTAAATCACAAAGTACAGAAAGAACAATGAGGAACAAATATAGTATGTTCAAAATAATGTAATACAGCCTTGTGTATAAAGCAAACATGTTAATAGTCATTTAAAACTATACATCAGACAATACATTGTACAGTGGTTTTATAAATCAGCATTGTTTACCATGAGCCTCGCTTAAAAATTGCCTTGAGCAAGAAGATATCTATCAGTCAAAAGGACTTCATTGGCCCCATAATTGCTAACTATTAAAACTCAGAAAATGAAGCCTCATTTCATTTAATTATACAATAGGCAATTATTTTTCCTTTAAACAGCAGATTGCTTATCAGTCAGTCATCTTATATTACAGAAATTTACCTTTCTGTTCTATGAAAATGCCATAAACTTACATAAATATTAGCTTTCATTTTCACACTGATCATTGCTAAAATTAACAAGAAATTAAAAATATGGAGCATAACCACAAATAAAAGCTAAATTATGCTCTGGAATTCTTCTTACCATGTGGGTGGCTATTTCAACCAATGACTGCAATGAACAGACAGTACTTATACATGGTTCACTGCAACCAATACATAGGTTGAGTCGAGTAAGCTGAAATATAAATTTCATGCTTTTTCATAAAACATAAAAATAAATAATTAGGGAAAATCAACAGCACATGATTTCACTTACTTTTCCGAACCGTCTTTGTTTGACTGGACACCATATTGACAGCTTCAGATGGTAGGCCAACATATACTCCTCCATAGTTTCTTGATAAAAAGAAATCAAACCAATTTAAATGGTACTATCTATTTACAGGAAGCAACAGAAGCACGGAGTACTCCAAACAATTATATAATTATTAAAATAACTCATGATTTTTCAAAAGTAGAATCTAGAATATTATGGCCCTTGGGAATATAATTGGTTTCCTAGGTTAAAAAGAAGCTATTTTTTTTAAAAAAAAGAAAGATGTATTGCGTTAGTAGAATTTTTAGATATTTTACTTGTAATGAGAAAGAAGAAAAGACTTTGGGATGTTACAATTTATTAGAGTATTAAATATCATACAGTGACATGTTACAGTTAACATTTATCAATAATTCAGAGTGGTCAACATGGTATGATATTAGGCATTATGGACACACAAAGATATCTTACTAATAGAGAGATACAAAATGAGGGCAGAGACAGCAAGAGAGAAATGAGGGTGGAGTGCAGTTAATCAGAGAAGTAGGAGGACAGGGAAGGCTGAGAGAATGAAGGGAAGTCATCCAGTTAGGGAGAAGAGCACACCCAAAGGTCATAGGATGAAAATTAGCACACGCCACATGCATAGGACAAAAACCAAGTTTGCTTGGAAGGAGCAAAGATGATGAATCCTGGGCAAGTTCTTTTTCAGACCATATGCCCCTACCTGTATTCTCTGTGCCAACAGTTTTCCTGGCAGAATCTGTGTTATTGGGAATATGCTACAGTGTGTTAAATCCATGAGGTATGGCCAAAACCATTCAAACTAAAGCCAGCTGCAATACCAAACATACCTCCTCTTGTCATCTTCTGTTACGGATTCTTCTGTTCTAAAAGGTCAGAAACATTTGCTATGAGACACTTGGTTACATAGTCGGGGACTTCATTTTTGGTTATGAGAAAAAGGGACTACTGAGTTGAAGTCAATTTTATTTCAAATGTTTCCATCAGACTTAAGTAGAGGAGCAAAACTATCCATCAAGTGTTTCTGTGACAATATTCTGCCTTCACCTCAATCATTCATACGTTAAAACTTGGTAATTTTCTACAAACCAAAATGTGTGAATCCAGCAAATGCCAAAATGCACAACTGCCAAATGAAATGGAAAACTGAGGGCAGCTGAAATTGGAAAGAAGCCTGAGTTATCGTCTTGTGTGTACCACCCACTCCCTGTGTGACAGACAGGCTGTGGGCGAGCTGCCAGCCTGTGTCTCATTTGTAAAATAAGCTGGTTGACCAGATGACCCCTCAGGTCTCTTCCAGTCCTAATACATGGTTTTAGATCTCTTATGACACTTCAGTGGCACAACTATAGGTACTGAAAGACTTCTTCAGTGCAAAAAGAGTTAATGCCTATTTGATTTTTTTTTATCTAAAAACATGAGCCATTTCATACATGATCTACTGCAAAGAGAGGGAGAAATATTTAAAAGGATACATTTAGAGGGGATCACTACTTTAAAATGCACAGCTTCTCTCCTTGCATTAAGAGGAATCCAAGCTGGACATGGTGGCTCATGCCTGTAATACCAGCACTTTGGGAGGCCGAGGCGGGCGGATCACCTGAGGTCAGGAGTTCGAGACCAGCTTGGCCAACATGCTGAAACCCCATCTCTACTAAAAATACAAAAATTAGCCAGGCATGGTGACGCCTGTAGTCCCAGCTACTCAAGAGGCTGAGGCACAGGAATCCTTGAACCCGGGAGGTGGAGGTTGCAGTGAGCAGAGATCACGCCATTACACTCCAGCTTGGGCAACAGAGGGATACTTGGTCTCAAAAAAAAAAAAAAAAAAAAAAGGAGTCCATATTCTACCAGAATTCCTTGGCGTATTTCTAAGAGAATCAGGACACTTTCCTTGAAGCACTAGTTGGCATACATAAGTTGCTTTTCTGAAAGAAAAAAAAAATAATTCAACAAGATTCCAATGTATCTGGCTGAATTCAACTTGTAACACTAAGGGGCTTCAGTTGAGCAAAAAGCAGACTGCAAACATCTAAATGTCATTGACTCTTCTGATTCAGAGATTGTCTAACTATGATTTTACCCACTTAAAAGCTGTGAATATTTCAAATGTGACTGTATATGTGCATGAGATTTTTGCTTTATTGCAACAGCCAGTAAGTCCAAGTCTATAAAGAAGGAAAGTGTAGATTTAATAATTATCTGGTGAACGCTGGCCATGAACAGCTAATACTGGAAGAGAGTGCAAAATCCATCTTGAGACCTAATTCATCCAAACTGAGCATATAACCTAAATTCACTAGATGGTTATCAGCTTCATTTACCTCTTAACGCTGGATTGTTTTTTTAGTTCAAGTGTCAAAGTCATACTAATGGTGTTATGCTTATTGATGTGGTATAAGAGAGAGTTGTTCACTACTTTTAATTAAAATGGATTTATAATCCTTTAGCATAGATAATGGAGAAATGATGAGGACAAACTCGTTCAAGGTAAGTTCTGATAAGAACTGTTTACTTTGGTCCTGAGTGATTAACTTTCTCAAGAAATCACTTGAATCTGTATATAACTGGTAGCTTATGACACACATTTCCGGCCATGACTATTCTTTTCACATCCATTTACATATCCGTTTATTTTAATTCTTTCCCCTTTTGCTTAACTGTGCTTAAGGATATATTCAAGGTTTTAAAATATATTTTCACTTTCCCAAATGTAAGAAAATAGTCATTTACTTTCTCCTGTTAAATTACTCAATATCTTAAAACTCAATCTGTGTTCTCCATTATAAAATTAATCAACAACCTTACATGTATAACTGGCAGGAAATGATAATGTAGTTGCCATATTTATTGGATAATAAATTAAGCTTCAGATATAATGCCAAATCTTAAAAAAAATACTACCTATAAAGACTTATAAGATGTCCACTCTTTTTTTTTTTTTTAATTAAGACAGAGTCTTGCTCTGTCACCAGCCTGGAGTGCAGTGGCACAATCTCGGCTCCCTGCAACCTCTGACTCCCTGGTTCAAGTGATTCTCCTGCCTCAGCCTCCCGAGTAGCTGGGATTCCAGGCCCGTGCCACCATGCTCAGCTAATTTTTGTATTTTTAGTAGAGACGAGGTTTCAACATGTTGGCCAGGATGGTCTTGATCTCCTGACCTCGTGATCCTCCCACCTCGGCCTCCCAAAGTGCTGGGATTACAGGCTGAGCCACCCCGCCCGGCCAGATATCCACTCTTTTAAACCTTCCAGTAAGTTGTAAAGCCTGTCTTTGCATACTCACTCCCATGTATAAGACTGTCACTTCATCCATTCCTTCCACAAACAGTTATTCTACAACACTAGGACTAGAGACCAGGACTCCGTGGGTATAATGGTGTCATTCATGAGTCTCTCCTGTGTGTCAGGCACAGTGCAGGACACTGCACGTGCATCCATGCTATTCCTCACAACAGCTCTGAGGGCCTAGGCCTGAGGAACCAGGTGCAGAAAGCCATGTAATTCATAAACATACAAGACTAACAAGCATGACCAACATCCATACCCCATCCATCTGGCACCAAAGCCATGCTCCATTCTCATTCACCACTCTGCTTCTCAGGTAGAAAGATGTAAAAGTCAAAAACACTTCCTGTGAAAGACCAACGTAGTGGCTTCTCCTAAAGTGGGCGATTCACCTCCATACTGCTTTTGCAAAAGCTTTGACCATCATCCCATCTCTCAACCTGATTGTGTAACTATACTAGGCACTTTGCTAATCCTATTATATTAGTTCATTTAATCCTTATACAATCTTGCAAGACCAGTACTACTCACATTTTAAAAATGAAAAAACTGAGTAGCATGACCGAACTTACGAAGCTAAATCATAGAGCCAGAATTCAAACCCAGATTTGTGTGATCCTAATTCCTGCTTCATACACTGTAGGCCCATGCTAATTTGCATTAGAGAAACATGCACCTTCCCGCAGCTGGAGCTCTCCAATTTTTTTTTTTTTTTTTTTGAGACGGAGTCTTGCTCTGTCACCCAGGCTGGAGTGCAGTGGCGCGATCTCAGCTCACTGCAAGCTCCGCCTCCCAGGTTCACGCCATTCTCCTGCCTCAGCCTCCTGAGTAGCTGGGACTACAGGCACCCGCCACCACACCCGGCTAATTTTTTGTATTTTTAGTAGACAGGAGGTTTCACCATGTTAGCCAGGATGGTCTCAATCTCCTGACCTCATGATCCACCCGCCTCAGCCTCCCAAAGGAGCTCTCCAAATTTTTTTTTTTTTTTTTTTTTTTTTGAGACGGAGTCTCGCTCTGTCGCCCAGGCTGGAGTGCAGTGGCGGGATCTCGGCTCACTGCAAGCTCCGCCTCCCGGGTTCACGCCATTCTCCTGCCTCAGCCTCCCAAGTAGCTGGGACTACAGGCGCCCGCCACACGCCCGGCTAATTTTTTGTATTTTTAGTAGAGACGGGGTTTCACCGTTTTAGCCAGGATGGTCTCGATCTCCTGACCTCGTGATCCGCCCGCCTCGGCCTCCCAAAGTGCTGGGATTACAGGCGTGAGCCACCGCGCCCGGCCAGGAGCTCTCCAATTTTTATCATCCCACTCAAGAAAAGTCAGAAACAAGATTGTAGAAGAGTCCTAGTCTGTTTCATCAGCATGAGAAACAACCTCTAACTGCTGCCAGGGACCATCAATCTTCGCAGATCTTGTCAAATTGCCACATAAGTCATTTTTATGCAGGTACAAAGGTTGTTCTGATGAGCAGTTACATTAGAATCTATTCATCTGGACAACCAGGTCCAGACTAAGGTTAAATCAGAAAGCGGTGGTTGGTCTAAACCAACTCTTCCTGCGGAAGGATAGGTCCAAGCCCTTGTGTTGAGCTGCCTGGGGAGAGAACCAAATGCTGTCCTGCCAGTGTTCAAAGGGACACAGCATCCTACCTGTTGGGGTGGTGTGGTCCTGCCCCACCTGCACAAGCTTTAGCGTAAGGAAGAAAAATGGGTCAATACACAGCAATAAAGACCCCTGGTAAAAGGAAGGCCCAGACATGTTAAGCCAAAGCTCCTGACAGGCCAATGCGATTGCCTCAGGTTATTAGGTTTTTAGGCTCCATAGTCTAAAAAGTCTAAAAAGCACACCTTCTGGTGGGGGGACTCATTTCCCTAAAGGTCGTTTTTTTGGTAAGAGAAGTGGCTGTTCAAAACTGGGATGTTAAATTTATTTTATCACTCAACACTTTTACAAGAAACTTTAAGTCTTTGGGATTTGAATCCTTGTTCTCAATTTCTCAAGTGTTGAATAATGCCCCAGCTATCCAAACAACAGGGCTGCCCCATCTGCAAACCATTTTAAGGAATCAACATACCTTTTTCCCCCTCACAAAACTCTTTATTTTGAAAGATTTTACCTGCCTTAATAATTTCAGCCTGGGCAACACGGCAAGATCTTATCTCTACTAAGAACACAGAAAATAAAATAAAAGTAGCCAGGTGTGGTGGTGTGCACCTGTGGTCCCAGCTACAGGAGGTGGCGGTGGGAGGATCACACGAGCCTCCCTCTTGTGAGGGAAAAGGGTACGTTGATTCCTTAAAATGATCTACAGGGCAGGCGCGGTGGCTCACACCTTTAATCCCAACACTTTGGAAGGCCGAGACAGGCGGATCACCTGAGGTCAGGAGTTCGAGACCAGCCTGGCCAACATGAAGAAACCCCGTCTCTACTAAAAATACAAAAATTAACTGGGCATGGTGATGTGTGCCTGTTATTTCAGCTACTCGGGAGGCTGAGGCAGGAGAATCGCTTGAACCTGGGAGGCGGAGGTTGCAGTGAGCCGAGATCGCGCCATTGCACTCCAGGCTGGGCAACAGAGACAGACTCGGTCTCACAAAAAAAAAGATCTAAGATGAGGCAGCCCAGATGTTCACCTGAGCCCGGGAGACAGTGGTTGCAGTCAGCTGAGATCACGCCACTGCACTCCAGCCTGGGTGAAAGAGCAAGGCCCCGTCTCAAAAAATAAAAATTGTAATAATTCACTTGTCAATATTTTCTTACACATGTAAGTGCCAAAAGGAGCTTCTGATGGGCATGGGGGAACTGAGGTGCCCACAGGTAGCTTATGTCATTCAAATCAAAGGCAAATAAATTTTACATTTACAGGTACACATCACCGTAGGCACACATAGATTTCTATTAGGTTTCAGAAGTTACAAAAATAGTGTCTGGTCCTTCTTCAGCCCTGAGGATCCAGAATGTCTTGCTGGAAATGGCCATGCTCAGGCCAGAACATCCACAGCCACATAAGCTCCTGGATGAGCCACTCCGTTCTTCACCAAGGATGTGATTATTTTCTTTTCTGGTCACTACAGCTCCAGTTGTAGGGCAGTGACCACTGCATGCTCTGCAGCCGTGATTGCTGATGGACTGCAAAATTTGTCCCCCAAACCAGAGAAAGAAATGGGGAGGGAGAGCAGAACACAGAGCCACACCCTCCCCAGCCTTGTGAGAATAGCAGCCAGTGATAGGGCCCAGAAGGTCTTCAGAAGGAGGCAGCAAGGCCCTAGTTTCTGCAGTCAGTCCTAATGCAGATCAGTAAGAGCAAGGAATGAGATGACTTCACCCTCTAGAATCTTCCCTCAGAGATCAGGGCCTGGAGATTGAATTATTCTGTGCTGGAGGAGATAAACAAAGTGAAGACAAGGCCAATTCACGGTGGCTGAAACTAGAAAAGAGGTCAAACTGTCCTGCTGCACTTGATCACACTCTTTGGGAGTTAATTGGTCCAAACATCTCTACAAACTCAGTTTAAACATAATCTTGCTCCCGTAGAAAAGGAGCAAATGGACATACAGCAACCAGGATAAATCTCTCATGGTATAATCGTAATCTTTTTTTTTTTTTTTTTTTCTGGAGAAGGAGTCTGGCTCTTTTGCCCCAACTGGAGTGCAGTGGTGTGATCTCAGTTCACTGGAACCTCTGCCTCCTGGGTTCAAACGATTCTCCTACCTCAGCCTCCCAAATACCTGGGACTATAGGCACACACCACCACGCCTGAGTAATTTTTGTATTTTTAGTACAGACGGGGTCTCACCATGTTGGCCAGGCTGGTCTTGAACTCCTGACCCCAAGTGATCCACCCGCCTTGCCCTCCCAAAGTGCTGAGATTACAGGTGTGAGCCACTGCGCCCAGCCAGTAATAATCCACTGCTAAATAATAGCCTCCTGGGGTGGAGGGCACAATTCAGGAAGCAATGCCCAGACGCCCACAAGCCAACGCACTAAAAACTGGAAAATGGGAGAGAAGCAACTTAGGGGCAACAAGAGTACCCCTTAATCTACTATAAATGGGGAAGAAACCTTGAAGATAAGGCTTATACCAAGAGAACCAAAATGCAGAGTTAGAGGAGATAAGGGATCAGGTGCCATAAACCAAATCACCTAAAAATAAAAAGTAAAAGGTGAATTCTACCAGTTTGCCTCCCACCACTTCTGGCCTGGCCCCAAGCATTGAAGCTTATCACGACTTCTTCAATTTCACAACCATGGAGTCAAACGTTGGTGCCGACGCAGGGGAAGAGAAACTAGCCCAAATTACCAAGGGATCAAGGGAAATCTGGAAATAAGTACGTGGCACATCAAGACAAATCCTGCTCTTGCTAGGGGAGCTATGCTAGACATTAAGTCCATTAGAGAAGTGAAAGGGGAAGGAAGACCCAAGGGAAGGGACTGGAACCAAGTGCTGGGGTTTGGTCGAAACATCATCCGCTTTACAGCTGTGCCCAGAGCCAATCTTAGAAGGAAGACTGACTTCTGGAGTCCAAAGAGTGCTGGAGGAAGCCAGTACTAAAGGATTTACATTAATTTACTGAGCAGTGATTCCATTTTCTAGTTGCACACGAGCCACTACTCTAAAGAATAAACTTGTGTAATAAGCTTGTTTTTCCAGGGTAAGCATGACTGAAAACCTATCGGTAAATTGCTTTCTCTGGTATCAAGACAATGTTTTGTTTCTCCTCATCTATACCATTTGAAAAATTTGTGGAAAGTAATGCAACATTTGAAAAAATGTAAGACTGAAATATTTTTTAATCATAACCTCAAATACCATCTTATCAGGAAAACCCTGTATTTATTTATTATTATTGTTTTGGTTTTTTTCTGAGACAGGGTCTTGCTCCATAGCCTAGGCTGGAGAGCAGTGGCACAATCATAGCTCACTGTAGCCTCAACCTCTCAGGCTCAAGCGATGCTCCCATCTCGGCCTCCCTAGCAGCTGGCACCACAGGCGCACACCCCGCACCTGGCTAACATATATGTTTTTTGGTTTTGTAGAGATGGAGTCTCACTATGTTGCCTAGACTGGTCTCGAACTCCTCAGCTCAAGTGATCCTCCCACCTTAGCCTCCTGAGTGGCTGGGACTACAAACACGTGCCACCATGCCCAGCTATAAAACCTTTTAAACCACAGGAACGTTCCCTAAGAACCATAGAACATGTATTCACCAATTTGGACCAGGTTTAAAAAATACACTGAGCCCAGCGCAGTGACTCACATCTGTAATCTCAGCAATTCAGGCAGCCAAGGCAGACAGATATCTTGAGCCCAGGAGTTCAAGATCAGCTGGGGCAACAAAGGGAGACCCTGTTTCTTCAAAAAATACAAAATAAAATAGCCAAGCATGCTGGCTTGCACCTGTAGTCCCAGCTACTCAGGAGGCTGAAATGGGAAGACTGCCTGAGCCTGGGAGGTC
This sequence comes from Homo sapiens, assembly GCF_000001405.40. Taxonomy (NCBI): domain Eukaryota; kingdom Metazoa; phylum Chordata; class Mammalia; order Primates; family Hominidae; genus Homo; species Homo sapiens. The sequence goes on along the minus strand of NC_000012.12, from coordinate 105,357,929 downwards.
GAGGTTACAGTGAGTCATGATCGCACCACTGCACTCCAGCCTGGGCAACAGAGCAAGACCCTGTGTCTGTCTGTCTGTCTGTCTGTCTCTCTCTCTCTCCTCTCTCTCTCTCTCTCTCTCTCACACACACACACACACACACACACACACAGAAAATACATTGGGCATTCAACTAAAATCAGGTCTCCTTTTGTTAGCAAAAAAATGTAGCTTCTTTTATCAAAGAACAGGTGATCAAGGAGAAAGAATGAGTCGAGGTTCAAGCCACCCGTTGAGTATCATAATCATCTCCTAGCCTAAGGTCACACACTTACAGGGCTCTGAGTCAGACTTTCAGTCATAGCATTAATAAAACTGTTTGCAGAAACAAGTGTTATTCAAGGTGACCCCCGTAACTCATATTCTCCCCACTTTCAACGTCTTTTGGGATTGTTGAAAAGATAAATCCTCAGTTGATGGTTTAAACATGACTCACTCTTGTAGAGTAAGATACTGTTTAGTGATATGTACCTTATCAAAGTTGGCTTGACACTCGGCATGCAAGAAAAAGAAAGAAGAAAAGAAAAAAAAGCAACTGACCAAAGGCAACCACTGCAACTAAGATTACAGATGGATGGCTTCGGGTTTCCTCTGTCTCAGAGTTTCTATTAATTCCACTTCTAGCTCACTTCCTGTGAACTTACTAAAACCAGCCAGGTGCTCTTCTTACCCTTCTCAGGGTGAATAGCAGTGCTGATCCAGATTCTCTAGGTAGTTATGCATCCTTCTGTTTTATACTAGGGTCACAGACTTTTTCTGAATGAACTGGAGACATTGAATGTCTCTCTAATCATAAATAAGCTCTGTCTTCTTGTAGGTCGGGGTTCTGGAAGGTGGGCTGCCTCCAAAACGACCATGTCTCTGTGGCTGCTCTTTGGGGTGGGTGGGCTTTCGCCTACCTGGCCTTTTTTTAAATTAATGTATTTTTTGCATGCCTATTTAAAACCAAATATCTGCATGGAACACCTCAACCTTACAATCATTTTAAATTACTATGATTTATCTTACCAATAACTATCACTTTCATTAAGTGAAACCTTATTCAAAGTTAATACATAAAATATGAATCTTTTTCTTCCTCAGTAATATATGGTAGTCAAAATCTTTCATCATTACATTTACTTAGTTTCTGGGTTGTATAAAATAGCTATCCCAAGTGACCTAAAGATTTTAACAGTGAAATAATGGAACCATGTCATGATCAAGGACAAATACAGATGACAAATATGAGATAGCAGCCAGCCATTTGAAACAGCAGCTCCCAAGTCATCCTTGCTACAACTTACCTGAAAATTCAGAAAGTTCTCACTTCCCTTAGGCTTCTAGAACTAACAAAGTTATGTGGCAAAGAAATGATTTATTTTTTACTTATTCATCAAGAAAAATGTTCTAAATATACAGCTATTCTTATTAGAGATGATCTAAAAAGCAAAAAAAAAAAAAAAAAAAAAGCCTGTAGTCTTTTCTTTTTCCCTATTTGCAGTGTCACTAAAGAGGCTAAACTTACTTTGACTCGTAAACAGTAAAAATTGAATATGGAAACCCTGGAGACCATGGCTCTCCTGATCTGTTTCTAGTTACCATTCATGATAACCTTCTGGAATAGGTTTATTAATTGATTGTGTTTACTTCCATCTACACTACAATTCTCCAGATAAAATATAATTATTTAATTTTCTTTATAACATGTTTTCATGATGGTTCCTGCTCCTTGGGGTGGTTTCAATCCATTCTAGCAAACCCTTAATTACACAATGAATTATGTTTTACCATTGGCTGTTTTGGCCTATGTTTAATATCATTCATTTCTTTCCAATTTCAAAACTTCTTTGGACTGTTTTCTTTTGATCTCTCTCCCTGGATGAGCCCATTGGCCAATATTAGTCCCTTTCTTTCTTCCAGAGTGTATGACTGGAGAACATGAGTAACATTCACTTCAAAGGAATGCTTTCAACTTCTCTTTATCCAGAAGCAAGAGATCAAGAGCCAGACTGCAAATTCCCTGTCCTCTCTAGCTCTCCTCCCCCCAGTTATTCTCTTACTAAGGGGCACACAGTGTTAGGAATTATTTCAGAATTGGTTGTAAAAATATCATTTGCTATAAGGCAAGGGTGCACTCTTCATCTCCTTACCTTAAGAAATTTGGCTTTTCCTTGCTGGCACCACTTTTCTCAAAACCTCAAGAATATGCATCTTGTTCTCACCTACCCTAGCTTCTCCTAACAGGAGACAGAGCCAGCATGCTCCTCATCTCCCCACAGAGCTCTTACAGGTGGGGCCATTTCATTTTCACTCAGAACCTCTCCTCTCTGGAGTCTAAACCCTGCCATAACTGTCCCCAGAGCACCAAAGATTTTGACCCTGACCCAAAGTTTTTCTTTCTAAGCACCATTATCTTGGTCAATTTAAAACTCCATGAAAATGGCCACGTGCAGTGGCACACACCTGTAATCCTAGCACTTTGGGAGGCCAAGGCGGGCGGATCACAAGGTCAGGAGTTCGAGACCAGCCTGGCCAATATGGCAAAATCCCAACTCTACTAAAAACACAAAAATCAGCTGGGCGTGGTGACATGCGCTTGTAATCCCAGCTACTTGGGAGGCTGAGGCAGGAGAATCACTTGAACCCAGGAGGCAGAGGTTGCAGTGAGCTGAGATAGTGCCACTGCACTCCAGCCTGGGCAAGAGAGCAAAACTCTGAAAAAAAAAAAGAAAAAGAAAAAGAAAAAGAAATTCGTGAAAACCACCCATCCAACCTCTCACCTCATATTTTGCTGACTTCCTCTATCCCAACAACTTCTGTGCTGCTCCGCTAACATACTCCGATGGCTGCTCCATGGAGTATAGTTCCTGGAACTATTTTACCACATTTTAGAGTAGAAAATCCCACTCCCTAGGGAGGAAAAAAAAATCCTCCTTTCGATAGTCCCATCATTCCCAAGAAGGCTGCTTTCTTATTGCAACATCAGCTCCAGTTCATCCATCCCTCCCCGTCCTCCCTATCCATCAGCCCCTCGTGTTTCCCTTCCCTCTCTCCCTAGCACATGTCTTGCAGTCAAGTATTTCTGCAGCACTTGCTGGTCACCACCTATTCCTCTCCATCCCTGGATGAATCCGTCCATCTGCTCTCTCTCTTCCTGCTCCTATTTCACAGGGTCCGACCTAAGGAAAATCTCATCATGGCTACCAATGGGAATATATGATTTCTAACCACAGCAAGGCCCTCAATATGCTGGGTCTTCTGCCATCAAGTATTCATGTCAGAGGCCCTGCCAAATTTTTTCAACAACATTTTAAACTAACTAATAATTCTAGCTGTCATTCACCGGGGGCAACAAGCATAATGCCAAGTATTTTCCTAGGATATTAAATATACTGTATTTGTAATCTGTCCCTCCAGCAGCTACTTCAGCTCTCTGTGCTCCCCACCTCCTCACTTGTAAAATGAAACATCATTATTCTGTCCATCAGATTATCATGGGTATGGAAGGAGATAACGTACAGAAAATGCTGGAAATCAGTGTATGGTGCACAGTCCTCAGTAAAGATTAGCTACTACTGTAAGAATGATGATGATGAAGATGATCACCCTGCACAGTTATTATATTATCCCAATTTCACAGATAATTATACTAAGGACACAATGTAACACAGCTAGCAAATGGTGAAGGGGATTTTAAACACAAGTCCCTCTGCTTCCAAAATGCAGGCTTTTTCAATGCTACTTCAACCCCATCCTCTTCACCCTCAGAAGACAGCGTTACCTTCTACTACATGGATGAGAAAAGAGCCCATCAGATACCCTAAGGTCTGTATCTATGAGGAGCAGAGAGGGCTCAGCTGACATGGGTGCATTAGACATGGTAAATTTATAAAGGATCCCAAGAAACTCAACATAAAAGATTTATCATTTCTTTTTTCCAAACACAAAAACAAAAACAAATTGCCAATGGGTTTTATGTCATTTCATTCCAAAATATTTTTCCCTGTATTTGCTACCTTCCATAATAATAAAATAGCTTTACCAAGGAAAGAATCTCAGTAAGATTCACTTTACATGTTTTAAGTGAAAGAAGTATTTGAATTACATTGTTTACATTGAGTAGCTATGGTTTTTTATTTTCAACAGCAAACATTATATTTGAGTCAACTTATTTAATACTGTTTCTTATTTGAAACGTAGTCATAATATTCTTATAAATATTGCTTAAGCTTTAAATCAAGACTTCTTTAAGAACACGAAAATTGATCTACAAAAAAAAATGCTTTCAATTAAATTCCAATTGTTTCGGTTTGCCCACTTACAATTTCTCCCCTTTTTTTTGGTAACGGCATCCCAATTTTTCCGTGGGGAATCACCCCTCTTCTGCTCTTTGGCCATATGGTAAGGTGGGGCTGATGATACTGATTGGCTCCAGTGGTGAGCACATGACTGCAGCCTGGCCAATGAGCACCCCACATTCTCCTGGCCCACTGACTGATTCCGAGATAGGAACATGACCCCAACGGGCCAAGAGAGCCCAGCCCTAGGACTTTTGATCAAACTACAAGGAAAAAGAAGCTGCTTTTTTCCACAGGAATTAGGAAGCTGATAAGATATAAACTGGTCCTGTTTGTCACCACTTGAGGAAAGCTGCCTAAGAATGAAGACGAAAGCAGAGAAGAGAATTTCTTCCTGTTGTTTGATCACCTGGATCCAGCTGTGACTACAGCCAAGTCCCTGGAGCTTTTCCACTCCACATGCCAATAAATTCCTTTGTGTTTGTTTGTTTAGGCCAGTTTAAACTGGGCTTCTGCCATTTCCTACCAAAAATATCCCAACGCAGCCTATTTGTGCCAAATAGCTGAGAATCTGCCACACTAAAATAAGAACATGGTTGATGTTGGCAGGTTTGTGAAAGCGGCCGAATGTCATTACCTTGAATTCACTGTTTTGTTTGTTTTGTTCAGTGTGTTACTGCACTGTGATTTAATTTCAAAGAGACAGAAAGAGAGGGAAAAATAGGCTTGTTTTCTGATACACATGTAGGCTTTTTCTTATGGTGATTAAGTTTCTAGACATTGTCAACCATGCTTTCAAGTGTTGAAGGTTAACCTAGCTAGGTTTTGAGTTCTCTAGCCTGTCATAGGATTTACATGCATCGTTATTCTCTCCACCACCAGAGAGAAACCCCCTCCCCAAACCACCATCAGCTTTTCTTACTCGCCTGGTTCCTGTCTTTTAGCCTACAGCAATATCCATGCCTCCTCCATGCCAAAAAATAATTTTTAAAAAAAGACAAAAGGAAAAACAAACTTCAATACACAAAATCAACCATACTCACAACTGGGCAGAAACAACCAAAAAACACTTGAAGAAAAGTGTAAAATGTTCATAATGATTGTCTCTGGTGGTAGAATAATAACTGAATTTTTCTCTTAAAAAATACTTTCCTGTACTTTCCAAATTTCCTTGGTATTCTTTTTCTAATACAGTATATTCTGAAAATTTGCCTCCTCTTAAAGCCACCAACATCCCTCCATTCCTTACCGCCAAACAGCATAAAAACCAAAGACCCACATCACTCTCTCCACTTCCTTGCACCTGGCTCACTTCCACTTTGACTTGGTTATCATTCACCCTGCTCAACTGAAACTACAGTCCCCAGGGTGACCAATGTGGCCATCATGACACACGCAATGACTTCTCTTCCTCCTTCAGCCCCCCATGACCTCTTTGGACTATCAGCCATCGCTTCCCTTGGCTCAAGTTTGACTGCAGCATTATCCTCAGAGTTTCCTTTCCTTTCCTTCCCCGTTCAGTCATTAAACAAATCTTATTAATTACATTTTCTAATGCATCTTGTTTGTATCACCTCTTCTCCTTTCCCTCTGCTATCTGACCCTCTTGTAGCCTCACTTCCATTATTCCTCTGTGCCTGCACCCTCCCTCATCCCATGTGTCACACTGCTTTGGGAGTTACTGCCCTAAAACTCAAACATAATCATTTAATTCCTCCACCTTAAAATCTCTATCAGCCCTTGAATGCATAAAAAAAAACAAGCACGATTATTGGCCTTGCACCCAAGGCCCTTCACAAGCCAGCCCTGCCCATCAACCTCATCTTTCACTTCTGCCCAGACTGTACCACAGGCACAGGCTCCAGGGGACACCACCTGGCTGGCTGGTCCCAGACCTACTGTCCTCTGGCACTCCCATGCCTTTTTTCATGCTTGTCCTCTGCCATGGGTTGCCATTTTTCTCCTTTTCTGCATGAACTCTTGTTCATCCTTCAATTCCAAGACCAGCATTAAATTCTGAACACTGGAATAATTAGCACTTACCACACTGTATTTTGGTCCCTAGTAGACAGTGAACTACTTCAGGACAGATACATCATTTTATTTATTATTATATACTGACTTCTCACCTATAGAAAACAGCAAATAAATAAGAAAAACGAGTAGTAAAAATTGCAGACCTTTCCTAGAGAATTGATTTTTTAAATATATAGTATTTCTGGCTTCCAAAAATAACAACCATTTTCCCACAAAGACTTTCCTGTGGTCTGCATAATATTGTGTTTGCCCTATTCTAAGTTCTTTACTCTCAGTACTTATTCTACTATTTTGGCCAATCCTTCTGGTTTGGGAATCAGTCTGTTTAGATTTTAAAAAAAAATTTTAATGTGCATAATAAAAAAATTAAGTGTCATCTTAATTTCTTAGCTCGTCATTCATTCATGGCATCACCTAATATTACAGTCAAGATTTATAAATCTATAGCTTCCACTTAAAAAATTGAACGTGCCTGAATATACCTTTTGTGTAAGGAAAAGTAATATTATAATGTTCTTTAACTTTTTCCAGGTAAATCCACTGCATTTGTTTTTAAAAGGTCATTTATTTAATAAATTACTTTATTTTAAAGTTATAGGACATAGAATGAGGTATAGTCAAGGGAAATCTGAAGAATTCAGGATTCTAAATAGTGAAATAGTTAAGTAGTTAAATGGCATCTCGCATCCTGGAACGGTTAATTCTGTTGACAAAATCATCACTAAATTTTATTAGAAAAAGAAAGATGTCATGAAATCACTCTGTCCTTGAAAAGCAATGATGGAACTGATTCAACAACTATTTATTCAACACAAACTATGATCAAAGCATGACATGAATAACTCTAGAGCACAATAAAATGGGTAAGGTATTGCCCCACTCTCAATCCTCAAGGGAAAAAAGACAAGAACATGAAGAACTACGATATAAACCCAACACGATGCCCCACAAGAAAGGTCCAAAATGCTGTGAAGGTTCTGAGGAGAAAGACACACTATGCAGCTCAGAGAGCCAGGAAATACTTCTCACAAAGGATAACACACATGCCCTACAGAACAGATGTCATTTCTATAAACAGAAAGGGAAAGGGAAAGGGCCACTCCAGGCAGTGGGCACAGCAAAACACAAGGACAGGAGCAAGAAGCATGAGGTCGCAGAAGCCCCTGAGAACAGTGGCCTGAAGAAGCTCTGCACAGCCCTCCCAGCCCTGGGCTCTGCTCACTCTCCACTGTAGCATCTCCTCCCACGCCATGCGAGCCAGTCGGTTTGAGGCTAAAACATAAATGCTCTTCCTATTCCTAATAAATCCTGGGTTCAGTCCAGAGGACGATGGGAATAATTGAAAGGTTTTGAGCAGAGGTCCTATGCAAGTGCAGGGCAGTGCTTGAGGAAAATTAATCTGGCAACACATATAGAAATTGAAGGGAGAGACTGAAGGAGAAACCAAAATATTGCAATAATAGGAATACGGTCAGGGTGCAGTATTCACTGTTGCTAAATGTTTACGTAATAAACTCCAACACAGCAAACAGGAGCTAGAAGCCATCAATTACTGCTTCCTTTGTATCTAAAGTCCTAATTTTAAAATGCATATTTAAATATTTAATTCCCAGAAAGCTTTACAATCCCATTCTCATCTTCTCTAAATTCTTTGTAATAAGAAATAAGAAAGTCTGACTCTTTTTTTTCTTTTTTTTGAGACAGAGTCTGGCTCTGTCACCCAGGCTGGAGTGCAGTGGTGTGATCTCGGCTCACTGCAACCTCCACCTTCCCAGTTCAAGCAATCCTCCTGCCTCAGCCTCCCAAGTAGCTGGGATTACAGGGGCCCACCACCATGCCTGGCTAATTTTTTGTATTTTTAGTAGAGACAGGGTTTCACCATGTTGGCCAGGTTGGTCTTGAACTCCTGACCTCAAGTGATCCACCCGCCTCAGCCTCCCAAAGTGCTGGGATTACAGGCATGCGCCACCATACCTGGCCCTATTTTTGGTATTTGACCATTGAAGGCTTTTGAGCCCCATCACTCCCCTTTTGCCCCACATCTGTGTAAGCCAATAAGAAAGTGGGGGCACTTCTTCCCTGTGCCAGCAGGAAGATCAAACCTCTGCCCATTCATAAGTAGCCTCACCCCAGCCCACTCTCCAACCAAAATAAAAACTAGACCCGTTTGGATGGCTGCCCTGCTCTCCCCAGAAAGCCTCATGTGAGCAATACATCTTTCCACACCCTCCTGAGATGTGGTGAATCAGTCTTGACACCCAACCCAGTTTTGGGTGGGAGAGTTGATCCCACCCTTCACTGGGTAACCAGAAATACTCTTAAAGAGTGAACTGCTGTAGTGTCCTTGCTATAGCTAGATTAGAGGCAGGAGGATGCAGAGAGAAGGGGCATGGAAATCCTGAATGCTCCTGAGCTCCAGATCTCTCCACAGGGAGATGCCCATTATTAAATGCCCTGTGCTCTAAAGATAGCTCAATGGTGACTATGTTGAATGGCCCTATATATTCATTCGAATATCTAGTTATCAACTTTAAAACAATTCAATGTACACTTGGTAACTGCTTGGCCCCAGCCTTTCCTCCCCAGCTAACTCTAAAACACTGCGTAGTCATAGGAGCTACATGCTTATTTCTCCTATAATCACTTGCTTTTAACTAAAAGAAAAAAAAAATCTCTATACCAGTTGGGATGGAAAACACAATTCAACATTTCCCCTTCTTAAGATCCTGAGTTAAAGTGCCCAGGCAACTGAAAAGCTAATGAAAAGCACAAAGAACCCTCTCTGAATAGCACTTTAGTTACAACGATCATCTTGACATGTGCATTATACACAAAGTATTTCCATGTCTTTTCAGCCATACCCACAGAGATCTAAAGGTCATAATCATGAAAAACAGCAACTTCCTCAGAAAGACAGCTTATAAAATCATTAATATTCAATACTTACACATCTTTGGCTGCTCCTGCAGGGCCTAGAGAAAAAAAGAAGATAGGTTTGTATTGGTGTGATAGTATTGCTACAAAAATGTTGTCTAATACCTAATTAAAATACAGTAATATTCCTGAAGAGAAAATGGGTTTAAAAAAATTTTCAAAAACAGAGAAAGGAGGGCAAAAAAATCATAAAATTCAAATCTTTTTTTTTTTTTTTTTTTGTTTCAGATACAGTCTCACTTCGTTGCCCAAGCTGGAGTGCAGTGATGCAATCTCGGCTCACTGCAACCTCTGCCTCCTGGGCTCAAGTGATCCTCACACCTCAGCCTCCTGAGTAGCTCGGAATACAGGTGCATACCACCATGCCTGGTTAATTTTTGTATTTTTTCTTGAGATGGGGTTTCACCATGTTGCCCAGGCTGCTCTCCAACTCCTGGGCTTAAGCAATCCTCCCACCTTGATTGCCCAAAGTGCTAGGATTACAGGCATGAGCCACTGCACCGGGCCTCAAATTCCAATCTTAAATTTCAAATTTAGTTTAAGTTTCAAATCTTAGCTTTGGAATCTATTCCACCCATCTTTAACAGTTCCTGTAAATTACAAGGTGCCAGTTCTGAAAAAGATTTTACAGATCACATTAATCCAACCTCACATTTTATGAATTTTAAAACTGGTAGACTTCGAGAAACATTTTCTTTTTTAAGCCATACACCTTTTAAGTTGGTGTCTGCACGGCAGGTTAAGTCAAACTGTGCGCTAATGCAAGCAATGGACTAAATTAATTAGGAAGCCTCAAACACACCAGCCTAGCTCCAAAAAGAGTCACATGCATCTCTAACTCTGCTCCCATTGGCTTCCCATCTGTGATGGTTAATACTGAGCGTCTACTTGATTGAACTGAAGAATGCAAAGTATTATTCCTGGCTGTGTCTGTGAGGGTGCTGACAAAGGAGATTAACATTTGAGTCAGTGGACTGGGAGAGGCAGACCCACACTTAATCTGGGTGGGCCCCATCTAATCAGCTATCAGCACAGCTAGAATAAAGCAGGCAGAAGAAGGTGGAAAGAGCAGACTTGCTGAGCTTTCTGGCCTTCATCTGTCTCCCATGCTGGATGCTTCCTGCCCTCGAATATCGGACTCCATGTTCTTCAGCTTTCAGACTCTTGGACTTAGACCAGTAGTTTGCCAGGGGCTCATGGGCCTTCAGCTATAGACTGAAGACTGCACTGTTGACTTCCCTACTTTTGAGGTTCTGGGACTCGGACTGGCTTCCTTGCCCCTCAGCTTGCAGACGGCCTATTGTGAAACTTCACCTAATGATCATGTGAGTCAGTCCTCCTTAATAAATTCCCCTTCATACATTCATCTATCCTATTAGTTCTCTCCCTCTGGAGAACCCTAATACACCACCCATGTGACAAAAACAGCTCATCTCTTCTGGTCTCCATCCCCATTACTTCTCGCAGATTCTCTGCCCACATTTCCTCCTCCCAATATCTTTATCTGGGAGGCACAGGACTTGGTTCCAACTCCTACAAGATATATGGTATTAAGCATCCTTTAACCTCTTAAAACCTCACCTCCCTTATGTCAAATGAGGGTAAAAGGTATCTTTCTCAAAGGTTATTGTGAAGATTTAAAAAGACAATGTGTAAAAAGACAATGTAAACACTTAACACAAAGCTGGCACATAAAAATAGCAAACTAAGTTATTATTAGACGTCACACTTAATATTTCAATTTCGATATATATTAAATAGAAATTAAAATAACTTCTGCACAAGTCACAGAGGTGTAAAAATAAAGGAAGATGTGCTACAAAGTAAGTAAATAAGTCTGTGGGTAAAGTTATTGCCAAATTGCAAGAACAATCAAACAATGATATTCATTTTGCATCTGTAATACTGCAAATTAAAAGCTGATCCTAAAGATAATTGAGGCTATGTCTCAAACGAATTCTTTTAAGGCTTTGACTAAACCTAAACTTTGTAATAATCTTAGTTCCTTTCTTCAGGGAAGAACATTTCTGTGCCACCATTACTGTTAAAATGATACATTATGTAAACTACTTTAGAATCAGAGATTATTAAACCAAAAGATCCTAAACTTAAAAAAAAATCTTAACACAGGAAAAACTGCCAACAGTAGAGTGTTTTTGATAGAAAAAAATTAACAAAAATTAGTGCCACCATACACCCGTGAAAATGAACGTTTTATTTTAGAGTCAAGCATGAGAATCTAGAAGAAAATCTGTGTAAATCAAAAAGTATTGAGATAGGTCTCAATCAATTTAGAAGTTTATTTTGCCAAGGTTAAGGAATGCCTGTGATACAGCCTCAGAAGGTCTGGAGAACACGTGTCCAAGGTGCTCAGGCTACAACTTGGTTTCATACGTTATGGGGAGACATAAGAGGCCAATCAATACCTGTACGATGTACACTGGTTTGGTCCGGGACAACTCAAAAGTGGTGGGGGTGTGGGGGGTTGTTTCCAGGTGATAGGTGGATTCCAAGATTTCCTGATTGGCAATTGGTTGAAAGAGTTTATTTAAAGATCTGGAATCAATTGATTCCTGGAATTGTCTTGAGTTAAGATAAGGGATTTTGGAGACCCAAGGTTTTATTTTGCAGATGAAGCTTCTTTAAATGTTTCTTATCAGACTTAAAAAAGTGCTAGGCCGGGCACGGTGGCTCACGCCTGTAATTCCAGCACTTTGGGTGGCCGAGGTGGGTGGATCACCTGAGGTCAGGAGTTTGAGACCAGCCTGGCCAACATGGTGAAACCCTATCTCTACTAAAAAAAAAATACAAAAATTAGCCAGGTGTGGTGGTGGGCGCCTATAATCCCAGCTACTTGGGAGGCTGAGGCAGAATTGCTTGAACCCAGGAGGCAAAGGTTGCATTGAGTTGAGATTGCACCACTGCACTCCAGCCTGGGCAACAGAGCAAGACTCTGTCTCAAAAAAAAAAAAAAAAAAAAGGCCAGACACTAATTCAAGATCAGGAAAAAGACCTGGAAAAGGAAGAGAATTTATCTACAGAATACAGATTTCCCCCCACAAACGACAGCTTTGCTTGACATTTCAAAATTTATGTCAAAGAAATATATTTTGGGGTAAAATACTTTGACTTCTTTTTTTTTTATATTTGTTTTTGGAGTCTTATGCTGCCACCCAGGCTGGAGTGTAGTGGTGCCATCTTGGCTCACTGCAACCTCCGCCTCCTGGGTTCAAGCTATTTTCTTGCCTCAGCCTCCTGAGTAGCTGGGATTACAGGCGTGCACCACCACGCCTGGCTTATTTTTGTATTTTTTAATAGAGACAGGGTTTCACCATGTTGCCGAGGCTGGTCTCAAACTCCTGAGCAGAGGCAATCCAATCACCTCAGCTTCCCAAAGTGTTAGGGTTACAGACATGAGCCACCACACCTGGCCTGACTTCTTTCAGAGCCTGCTGTCATGTTGGTATCTTACTGCTACAAAGAGTCTGCTTTGTCAGTCTTAAGGTCTGTTTTAATGTTAAATGCTGGTCAGTTGTGCCTGAATTTCAAAGGGAAGAGGGTATAATGAGGCATGTCCAATCCCCACTTCCCATCATGGCCTGACCTAGTTTTGCAGGTTAACTTAGGAATTACCTTGGCCAAGAGAAGGGGTCCATTTAATTGGTTGGGGGGGGGCTTAGAATTTTCAGCTTACGTCTAAAAAGAAAATAATATCTTTTTAGCTTTTATTTTTTTATTTTTGTGGAAAAGGATAAAGAGTATGTTTGGGTTTTGCTGGAGTCAGGGCAAGGGAGAACCAGAGATGAGCCTTTGACTCTGCAAGTCTTACAGAGGGAAGAAAACAATGATTATAATGTGGACCATGAGTCCTCAACTTTTTTTTTTTTTTTTTTTGACACAGAGTCTCACTCTGTTGCCTAGGCTGGAGTGCGGCAGCACAATCTTGGCTCACCACAACCTCTGCTTCCTGGGTTCAAGCGATTCTCCTGCCTCAGCCTCCTGAGTAGCTGGAATTACAGGCACCTGCCACAACACCCAGCTAACTGTTTTTGTATTTTTAGTAGAGACAGGGTTTCTCCATGTTGGCCATGCTGGTCTTGAACTCCTGACCTCAAGTGATCCACCTGCCTTGGCCTCCCCAAGTACTGGGATTACAGATGTGAGCCACTACACCCGGCCGAGTCCTCAACATTTAAAGATGAGGGGTGACCTAGTACAATCCACAGGAAGAAGAGAGTGGCCAAGGCTGCCCTGCTACATCTCAGGGATGGCAGAACGGTGATGGGGTAAGAACAGTGTGGAATCAGAAGGCAGATGACTGGAGTCGGATCCCTATGCCAGTATTTGTCTGACAGTCACTAAATCACTTTGTTTCAGCATCTAGTAAATGAGGACATACTGGGCCAACAAATGCAGCTAGGAAGGCAAAGCACAGTAACGTGTGTGAAATGAGAAATGAGTTTACAAATGGCCACATGTTGTGCATTCAGTGCTTATTTTAATCAGCATCAGGAACTCTCCATCCACTTCACCTTGATTGCACCAAGCTATGGGCACCATCAAGGGCCTCCTCCCTGCTGGGCTCACCATTTAACATCCCAGCAGGCCCAAGGGAGATGCATGGTGCCACCATTTAAAACAAAGTCAACAGACCATTCCCTCTGTTCTAAAATGGCCCTCATTTGAAAGGGCATCATCAACTGAATAACTGCAATGGTAGGGGTGGGGCAAAGAAGTCAGAAACACTCCAAGAAGTGTGTGTGTGTCTGTGTGTGTGTATGATTGTAAAATGTGCTCCATTTTTTAATAGGAAAATGTGCATCTTAGAAGCAAGGTAACATGGTGGTTACTGAGAAGCTTGTAACCAGGGTAATGAGAATATGACTCCCTAACACACAACTTCCCAAAAGAAAAAAAAAAAGGTTGCAAATGTTGGAAACCCTAAACAAAACTATCAGAGTACCTAGGTACATAAAATGCAAAGCATAAGTTTATTTGTCCTGTAAAAGTATAAAATCATAAAATGATCAGAAATAAAATTACCCTCACTGCAACCTTTTAATTACACTTTGCTTATATATTTATTGTAATTAACCAAATGGCAATCCCTAATCTAAGTAATTATGCAAAAAGTGCTTTGATCAAAATTAGATAGTGGCAAGATCCCATTTGCTTTAAACTGTATCTGTGGTTCATGTGCTTTATCATTTATTAAGCAAATATGTATAATGTTACATCTATTTTTTTCCAGGCCACAAGGATACATCATTCATCCTAATACCACTTCATGTCCTGCCAAATTGGCTCCTTACTGTTTAAACATAACCTTGGTGGGTTAATACAATGGGCCTAGGGCCTCAGGAGAAGTAGAAATGAAAAAAAGGTAACAATGTTTCTTGTGGGGAAAAAAAACACACCAAAAAATATAGAGAGACTATTATAATTTGGAGGGGAGGGGGTCAAAAGATTTAATGACTATTTCCCAAAACTGTAGAAATGATAATCATAATTTTAAATATCTTCCTAAAAATGGAGAGGGGAAAGGTTTGTTCTCAGGAAAGTATTATATGCAGTTTCAGTAATAAAAATTGTAAATAGAATGTAAAGAAGGACATTTCCATCACTGTTGGTTGTTTACAGTATCACTTCATCTCACCTTGGCTCTGTTTAGCTTTTACTTTCCACATTTCAGAAGATTTTAACATTTTATTCATCAGTCTCAATGACAGAAGTCTCAGTTAATTAAAAATGCATAGCAAATCCCATCTATTCAAACATTCAAAAAACTTAATCTGATATTGCAGTTTCATCATAAGATATTTGGTCTTTGCCCCTGGTTCCTGGCACAGAGCTCCTAAAACCCCTGGAATTTCCTGAGTGATGAGTGACAGGAGCCTCTCTGTGAGGCTTCTAATGAGATGACTCTTGGCCAAGCCCCTATATGGCTTCAGGATGGGGGCTGTTTGCTAGAAAGACCAAGCCTTGATTAGAAGCTTGGAACATTGAGCTCCACCCTGCCACCTGCAGAGAGAGGAGAGAGGCTGGAGATTGAGTTAATCACCAGTGGCAAAGGATTTAACCAGCCATGCTTGTGTCTTGGTCCTTTTTGTGTTGCTGTTATAGAATACCACAGACTGGATAATTTATAAAGAAAATAAAATGTATTTCTTACAGTCTAGAGGCTGGGAAGTCCAAGATTGAGGGGCTCACATCTGGTGAGGGCCTTTATGCTCCTTCATCCCATGTGGGAAGGCAGAAGGGCAAGACAGCAAGAGCGCAAGAAGGGGCCAAACTTGCTTTTACAGCAACCCACTCTCTCAATAACCAGCCCACTCTCTCAATAACCAACCCATTCCATTCGTCCCCCAGTTTATTTATGATTAAACACATTAATCCATTCATGGGAGCAGAGCCCTCAAGCCCTAATCACTTCTTATTAGGTCCCACCTCCCAACACTACTGCATTGGGTATTAAATTTCCAACACATGTTGGGGAACGCACTCAAACCACAGCACCTACGAAAACCTCAAAATAACTGGATGTATTAGTCTGTTCTCATGCTGCTAATAAAGACATACCCTAGACTGGGTAATTTATAAAGGAAACATGCTTAATTGACTCACAGTTCCACATGGCTGCAGAGGCCTCACAGTCATGGTGGAACACAAAGGAGGAGCAAAGTCACATCTTACATGGCAGCAGGCAAGAGAGCTTGTGCAGGGGAACTCCCATTTATAAAACCATCAGATCTCATGACTTATTCACTACCACGACAACAGTATGGGGGAACCACCCCCATGATTCAGTTACCTCCATCTGGCCCAGCCCTTGACATGTGGGGATTACTACAATTCAAGGTGAGATTTGGGTGGAGACACAGCCAAACCATATTACTGGATTCAGTGAGCTTCCAGGTTGGTGAACTTATCTACCCATCAGGACTGTGGTATAGCCCAACTCCACTGGGGCCAGAGGCTTCTGCACTTGGGACACTTCCAGACTTCCCCAAGTACCTCTTCCACTGGCTGTTCATTCAGACCCTTTATGATCAAACAGTAAACATGAGGAAAGTGTCCTCCTGAGTCCTGTGAGCTATTCTAGCAAATCATTGAGCCTGAAGAGATTTGTGAAGACCCCCAAATCTATAGCTGACAGAAGTGTGGCAACCTGGAAGCGCAATATTTGCAACTAGAGTCTGAAGGGAGGGCAGTCTTGTGGGACCGACCCACTAAACCTGTGGAGGCTGACACTAACTCCAGGTAGTGTTAGAATTGAATTGAATTGCAGGACACTTGGTGTCAAAGAATTAGGTGTCAGGAAACGGGGGAAAAAAAAAACCTCTCAGACATTCTTTATGTTTCATACAAAAATTGTATGTGTCCTAGTAGTGGTTAAGGTTCTGAACAGTCTTGAAGGGCTTTATGAATCACACCAAGATTGCATCATGCTGTGTTTATTTAAGCAAAGAATTATTTATACTCCAGGTATACAGTTTAATACATTTTCTTATATTCTGATTTTGTCTCATTTCTGAACTACTGCAGAAAAATATTGTCTTCGTTTCACATGGCTGCTGTAACAAATTACCACAAACTGGGTGGTTTAAACAACAGAAATCTATGCACTCATAGATCTGGAGGCCAGAAGTACAAAATCAAGGTCTCAGCAGATCCAAACTCCTTCCAGAGGCCTTAGGGAAGCACCCATTCCATGCCTCTCCTGGCTTCTGGTGCAGCAAGCATTCCTTGGCTTGTGGCCCCATCATCTCTGCTCCACCTCCATTTTCACATCACCTTCCCTTCTATGTCCGTCTTCTCATCTTGTGTCTCTCATAAACACCCTTCTCATTGGATTTAGAGCCTACTCAGATAATCTAGTATAATCTCCGCATCTCAAAACCCTTAACTTTATTACATTTGCAAAGATCCTTTATCCAAATAAGGTTGCATTCACTCACTGCAGAAAAGAGAACATGGACATATCTTTTTGGGGGCTACCATTCAACCCACTAGACCTTCTTATCTTTGTCCTTCCCTGTCTCCAAAAAATACTCTCTTTTAAAATACAGAGCAAAATGAGTATCTGGAGGGAAACTAAATGTAATATATGTATCATGCACGACACAAACGGAACTTTATTCCTCGTGAATGATAACACAAGCCAGCTACAAGATACTGCACTGAGTAAATTTTTTTTTTTTTTTTTTTTGGCGGGGGCACGGAGTCTCACTCTGTTGCTCAGGCTGGATTGCAGTGGCACGATCTCGGCTCACTGCAACCTCCGCCTCCCAGGTCGAAGCGATTCTCCTGCCTCAGCGTCCCAAGTAGCTAGGACCACAGGCGCATGCCACCACGCCCGGCTAATTTTTTGTATTTTTAGTAGAGATGGGGTTTCACTGTGTTAGCAAGGATGGTCTTGATCTCCTGACCTTGTGATCCACCCGCCTCTGCCTCCCAAAGTGCTGGGATTACAGGCGTGAGCCACCACGCCCCACCTGCATTGAGTAATTTTAAGTAGATGGACACAATATCTTGGTTCCTACAGACAGATGGTCCTTTGAGAGCTAATCAGCCTGTCGTATACATTAAAAACCATGAATCATACTGTCCAGCATGTCTTCAGTATTATACAGATTCAAACATTTATTGATGTGAGTATTTCCTCCCAAATGCCAAAGTCTATTATGAAGAACATACTTTTATCTTTTAAAAGAAACAAGGGCCAGGCATGGTGGCTCACGCCTGTAATCCCAGCATTTTGGGAGGCTGAGGTGGGTGGATCACGAGGTCAGGAGATCGAGACCATCCTAGCTAGCTAACACAGTGAAACCCCGTCTCTACTAAAAATACAAAAAATTAGCTGAGCGTGGTGGCGGGCGCCTATAGTCCCAGCTACTCGGGAGGCTGAGGCGGGAAAAAGGCATGAACCCGGCAGGCGGAGCTTGCAGTGAGCGGAGATCACGCCACTGCACCTAGCCTGAGTGACAGAGCAAGACTCCGTCTCAAAAAAAAAGAAAGAAAGAAAGAAAGAAAAGGTCATATACATTTTAGTCCATTAATACCTTTTATGACCACCATACTATATAGACTCTAGACTTTATAAAATATACTAGAAATATTCACAGGTAAATGAATTGCTAAGTTACATATTAAGTTACATTCTTCAAACCAAGTGGTGATAATTCACACACACACACACCCGAAATAAAATTATGTATGTGAAGAATTTGTAAAAAAAAAAAAAAAATACTGAAGATTTAAAAAGCACTCTTCTTTCAGCATAAATTATCAGAAACATAAATGCCTATGGTTCTTATGGGAAATAATAAAAACATGCAAGAATGTCTTACTCCTTATTTGTTTTAGAAAAGAAACAGTCCCTCCGAGAACTATATAAATATAACTGCAGAAAAATAAATAAAATTCTCTTTAATTTTGACAGCTTGCTATGCTCTTCTGACCCACAATAGTTATAAAACTATGTCATAGTCTTGGTTTGGCCAAAAGAAATGGAACAACAGCTCATTACTTCATCCAAAGCAATGCTTATTTTTCAGAGTGCAATAAAAAAATACAGATTCATAAGTGATTTCTTCAAATAATGGAGGAAAAAAATTCAGGTCAATGTGTCCTAGAAATATAAAATTATATATTGACATAAAATTATGTCAATGAAAATGGAAGCTCTTATAGAAAATCTCATTTTTATAGGTCGTCCTTGTTG